>NC_000016.10:64865530-65168560 GCF_000001405.40 Homo sapiens
CTGGACTTAGCTCATTTTTGTAGCAGGATATGATTAAGGACAGAGAGATAAAAGAGGAATCAAGAGAACTTCACTAAGACTATTTTTTCCATTTCCTGAATGAGAATATTTTTTGTTTTTAGTAATCCATGTAAGCTTCAGCTTCTCTATATCTAAAATGGGAATACTAACAAATCTGACTTGCTTAGAATATTGATATGGGGCCCAAATGATATTAATGTAATGCGTAAGAAAGCATGCAAGACCCTGAAAAATGCCCTTACTATTTGTATTAATGAGCTGGGTTTTGCTGGCAGAACAAAAACCCTCCGATCTCAATGGTTTGCAACCAGAATATTGTCTCTCATTCATGCTACACGTTGTGGTTGCATGCCACTCTGCACCAAATGTCTTCTTCTTCATTCCAGAGTCAAGGCTAACCCTCTACCTGGGATATTATTACCTGATAGTAGAGAGAAAAAGCAATAGTAGAACCTCATGATGGTTCTTGAACCTTCTGCCCAAATGTGGTGCATGTCACTTCTGCTTAGATTTAATAGCCAAAACAATTCATGTTACCAAACCTGACCTCAATTAAAAGTGTACACCCAACAGGACGGAGCCCTATGGAAGAGCCCTATGGAGAGGGACTAGTAGAGAGGACCAGTGAATATCTTCAGCAAGTAATGCAAACATAAATCTCCCTGGAATTTGACCCAGCCAAGTCTCTGGGAGATGTTTCCTGGTTACTAGCTGTATTATTTAAAAACCACAAGAATAAAAACTCTTTAAAATTGTTTCTTTCCTTCCTTATATGAAGTTCTTAAATAGCTGTCATGAAATAGCCTAGAAGGAAGGGATTCATTTGCAATAAAATCGATAGGGACAGAATGGAGGATGAAGAATTTTTTGGGGGGGCGGGGGGGGCAGAAATTAGAGTAAAAGGCAATGAAGAGGGAAAAGGTGAAAAAGAAAGACTAAAACATCATTAATGAGAATTCTGTGACTAGGATTAGTAAAGAAGATGCTGTATTTGATAACACAAGTGTTAATGGCGCATTCTTAGTGAAAACCAGGGTTCACACACTCCATGTGTCAATCACTGTGACATCTTGGATTAGACTCTGGGTCTCAATGAGCCTTGGTTACTTGATTATAAACAAAAATAATTCATGTAAGTGCATCTCATTAGTTTCAGTGAGCTAAAGGACATAAAAGGATAAATCACAAAATGATGACGAAATAACAATTAAAGCAATGTTCTTTTAGGGGGTTGTCTATTTGTTACGTTTTTCTCATGTGAACAGTAATCACGGTAGATTGACCCAAGACCAATCAAACAATCTATGCCCCATCTACCTGGCCATGAACTGCTAAGTAATTTGTCTACTAATTTACTCTACAGTCTCCTACATAAATGACCTAAGAAATTCAGAGTACAGTGAAGATAACAAAAGTATTTGCTAAAGTCATTATCCTACAGCCATATTCATCATTATACACATTTAATTGTGAACAATTTTGAGTAGTACACTATAGTCCTCAATCCTTCCATCTGTAGAGTTGATGAGGCAAGGAAAACTCATAGAAATTTGGTTGCACAACCGGAGGTGGTGGCTCACACCTGTAGGAGGCAGAGGCAGGCAGATCAATGAGGTCAGGAATACAAGACCACCCTGGCCAACATGGCAAAACCCCGCCTCTACTAAAAAATACAAAAATTAGCTGAGTATGGTGGCGGGTGCCTGTAATCCCAGCTATCCAGGAGGCTGAGACAGGAGAATCGCTTGAACCCGAGCGGCCGAGGTTGCAGTGAGCCAAGATCGTGCCACTGCACTCCAGCCTGGACGACAGGGTGAGATTCCACCTCAAAAAAAAAAAGAAAAGAAAAGAAAAAAGAAAAAGAAAAAGAAAATTGGTCGCACAAAGTCCTGAGAACCCATCTCTAGAACACACTCCCCTCTCAGTCAGCCTGAGGACTCTTTCAGGACTGATTTTTGTTCTTTCTGCCTAGAACACTTCTCCCCCGTTGGTTAGCACGACTGGCTCCCTCATAGCCTTCAGTTCTCTATTTAGACGTTACCTTAAATGATGACTTTTGTGAAAATGTTACAGAAAACAATCATCCTGCAGCATGTTTGATTACAGATATAAGATTGCATATATATAAGATTGTGGGTGTATACATATATAAGATTATATACATGTGTATATAGTGTATACACACACACACACACACAAATGTAAACTCCATGAGAATACAGACTTTTTTTGTTGTTCACTGATCTATTTCTTAATAACTAGAATAGCATCTGCCTCAAAGTAGGCACATACAAATATACTTTGAATGAAGCCAACTGTGGTTTCTTTCAAAATTTTTCAGGTTTGTATGGTTCAACTTTTGCTTAAACAATGCCATGGGGGCAGGATGTGGGGGCTCATGTCTGGAATTTCTGCACTTTGGGAGGCCAAGGAAGGCAGATCACGAGGTCAGGAGATTGAGACCATCCTGGCCAACATGGTGAAACTCCATCGGTACTAAAAACACAAAAAATTAGCCAGCTGTGGTGGCGGGCACCTGTAGTCCCAGCTACTCGGGAGGCTGAGGCAGGAGAATTGCCTGAATCCAGGAGGCAGAGGCTGCAGTGAGCCAAGATCATGGCACTGCACTCCAGCCTGGGTGACAGAGCAAGATGCTGTCTCAGAAAAAAAAAAAAAAAAAGCAATGCCATGTAACAAATATCCCCCTAAAAATCTAAGTGACTTATCATGACAAGCATTTACTAATAAATCTGCAGGTAGTTTGTGCTTGGGTGCCAGTCTTCTCCCTGTGTTTCTAATTCCAATACTTAGGCTGCAAAAACAGAATGTGTTTAGTGTGCACTCTTCCCGTGGAAGAAGGCAGATATGAAAGAAGCAAGTCAAAACACAGACACACACAGACACACACAGACACACACACACACAGACGCACACACACACACACACACATTTAAAAATCTCCTCCTCGATGTGGCATATGTTATGCTCAATCACATTCCATTGGCCAAAGCAGATCATATGTCCGAGTCCAACTCTTTTAAGGTAAGAAATGTATGTCTGCCATGGAGAAGGGAAGGAAATAGGCAAATCCTCTTGACTGGGAAGTAGCTGCTGTAAGTCAGAGAGTTTCAAGAACTGAACCCAACACTTGGGTTTTTCTTACGCAAATGAATCCTAATTTTGACAATGTTATCTCTTCATAGCTGAGTGTCTATCACTCAGCAAGTCACTTCACCATTTTTTAATTCTGTGTTTTCATCTATAACATGGTAATGATAGTAGTGAGAATCAATGCATGGGGTGAAGAAATATAATTCAACTCAGTTGCTTAGTACCTGGCACTTATTTTAGCATTTTTTGATAAATCATAATGATGTAGAATCTTAACACTTTTGTCAGTTAAAACCTTTGAAGCCTATATGCATTGAGATTCTTGGATATGACCAACAGAAAGCAAAGTCAAGCCTAAGCAAGAAAGCTAGTTTATTGACTCCTATAACTGGGAAGATTGTAGGTGTATATGCACTCAGCAGATGCAAAGATATCATCCTCATCCTCTTCTCATTCTTTTTTGCCACCCTCTCTCCCCTCTCACATCTTTTCTTCCCTTTTGTTGTTCTCTGTGTCCCTACTTTTAGTTACCTAACAGACTGATTCTTTTCTGCTTCATGTATAGCATCTTCCTATAGCTGGAAAGATGGTTGTTGCCAGCAACAAACCCATATCCTCAAATTTATGACATAGGAGGAAAAAAACAACAACCTTGTATTCCCATATCTGTTCCTAATTTCATGGAAAAACTGCTTGAGTCAGGTATTCACCATTTGTACCCATCTCTGTCAACAGACAAATCATGCAAGACAATGTGCATGCAAGAAAAAGCATACAAGAGTCTCTGAAGAACCACACAGAGTGGGCAGGTGTAGCTCTCAATGGACCAGGACAGACACAAACAGATATTTTCTGAAAGTACTTAGATATATAGTGGTCATAACAACACTGTACTCATTATGCCAATAGGAATTTTTACTAGTGGAGCAATAACTGTCCACCTCTCCTACACTAAACAGTTAATATAAGCCTCCACTCCAAATCCCTAGATATCTCAGGTTTGCATTCCATCACCACAAAGTCAGAAGAAGCCTGATATACATGACCGCTACAGAGGATCCGTTCTTAAGACTAATAGAATATTACTTTGGTCTTTTTCTTTCCCTGTGCTCTGACCACCACGGGAACTGCAGAAACTTAACGATTATAATTTTTTATACACATTAAAAAATTAAAAGCAAAGTAAGCGAGGTTACAGTGCAAGTGTTATGGTGAGGAAGTTATTTTTTAAATGCATCAGTGACTCCTACCCAGTGGGACCTTAATAAATGTTTAATAATGACTATATTTGTTTACTTTCTATAATTGCTTCTGCCATTAAAATGCACTTCTGCTTTCTGGAGGAAAATGACAAGCGATGCCTTGTTGTGAGCATGTAAAGAAGGTTAAGATATGGAAACGGTATGCCACTAAGATGGGTGCAAGGGACATTATTCTGGCCAGAATAAAATAGCTCAGAGATTTTTACTTCTAAATTCCTGGTTTAATCACACATACTTTGTATATGTAGGGATTTCAGGATTTAGGGCCATTTTATTCACGTTGTTCCCAGTTCTGTGGTTTTTTGATAATCAGTAAACAGATCAATTCACCAAGCATTTTCAAAGTGCCTGAGTGAACAAATAAAAATGTCAGATGATGTAGATACTGCAGAGATAAAAATAGTGAGAGTTCCTGATTTGTTGGGAGGGAAAGATTTTTGCAAAATTAAATATAAAGCAGGTTATAAAATGTTTTGATGTGAGTGATTTGCATATGTGTGTATTGGTTTTATAAAGGCTCCCATTCATACAATATACAGAAACCATATTTTTGTAGACTCACGAACAAACATTCATTCAGGTTACTTAATGTCCTATTCCATATTTAATTACTTGCTGAGAACAACAAATTCCAATGCAATGTGTTAAATAATCTATTAAATTCCTCATCTAAAAATATCCAACGTTCTATTGTACTTCTGTGCTAACGTGCACAAACAAGTAACCAGCTTCTTTTTTTTTTTCTTGTTCTTATTTTTTTAACAGCCATGTAACTGACATTCTGAAAAATAACAAGTACTAGAAATTCTAAATGGTCAGAGAGACAAGGAAAAATGAAGAGATCTTTCACACCTTATCAAGTATTAGCTACTACTGCCTATACTTTTTTTTCACTAATCATAGATGTGTGATGTACTATTCTGTTTTATTTATATCATTGCACTCCCCGGAGTAACACACATGTGGTATATATTATTCTCCAGTGTTTCTGGTAATTAAACTTTCTCAGATACTAGAATGTGGAAGACCTGAAACCAGAGCTGGTCTTCCAATCCCTGCATCCCATGTGTTTGAAGTGTTTGAAAAACCCTAAATTGTTCTATATATCTGATCACACCAGCTGTGCATGGAGATATCTGAGGCAAGAATGACAGACAGCAGCTGGCATCAGGAGCCTTATCATGTCATAATGTGAGCATAGGGTAAACAATTGAAGATTTAAGCATTGATGTGGTTCGGTGTGTGTCTTAGAAATATCACCCTGATGTTTAGACCGTGGGCACCATGGCTTAGACAGAGAGGAGGAAGAATAGGAAGGTCAGTAAGGAGGCATTTTTCAAAATCACGGACAAGAATATAGATGGAGAAGGCAGAAGATTAAAAAGTATGAAGGAGGTAAACACTATTGGACTTATTAAACAGCTGAGTACGGGACTTAGGATTCAGGCATAATGGAAAAACAATCATATCAATATACCTTGTTGGTAACAATACCTGTAAGCTCTCCTGCATCATTTTCTTGTCCTATCCCTTGTCAGGAATTCTTAAAGGTAGTTTTATCTGTGAGAAAGCATATTTATGCAGAAATAAGGACAAGCCACTAAAACCAGTGTAGGTGAGAAGCCAGGCTGCCATCATTCTCCTTATTAGCAAAATATGGGACATGCTCATAGGTTTTTAAAATAGGTAGGGAAGTTCCTGCCTTCTTGTTCAAAAAATATTTTATTTTTGGCCTGAATAGATCTGCTAATTCATATTTGGGGGTGTGGAAATTACCTGTATATTATACTTGTAGTAAAAAAACAAAGAACACACCAAAAAAACCTTAATTTTCAGTACTAGTAATGATCTTTATAGCTAAATTTTATGTGGCAGAACTGTTGTGTTACTTTACATAGATTAACCTATTTAATCCTTGCAACACTTCTTGGAGGTAAGTACTATTACTAGCATTATTATGATGGATAAGATCAACTTATTTTACATAAAAAATCTTGCATCAAGAAGCTGCTTGTTAAGGAAAAATTTATCATTGTGAACTTAGACCTAAGGTCTGACTCCAAATTAGTCCACTAACCTTAGGACACAAGAGGACAGAGGGAACACAAAGTGAGGAAAAGTAGGCATGAATTTTGTTTCTGCTTCAAACTTTCAATATTACAGAATTGGAACCTTGGGTTTTTGATATGAGAAATGAAAAAAATTATACAAAATACTTTTTAAAATCTTTTTTTTTTTAAAGGTTCTATGGTTTAATAGAACTATATTTGTTAGAACAGGCCGGTCATTTGTGAAACTCTTTATGTCAGCATCCATTTCACACTATCCTAGTTATGACTCTGTCTCTCTGAGCCAAAATTGAAATAGGACCCTTCTCAACACAGAGATTTAGCAGCCATTACTAACTAGAGTTGCCACCTAAGATGAAACTTACATTCCATCCAAGTGATACAATATCTATCGTATTGCAAAAGAAACAAACACCTTTCCACAAAGGCATATCCCTCATGTAAATCTAAAACAATAAATGTTTCTGCAAACTCTTAAAGAGGACAGCATGCTAAGCCATGAAGCAGTGCTCAGAAAATTGAGTAATTTCTGCAATTCTCTCTTTAGATGTAAGTATCGCAACACCCTTTGTCCTGACTTTGTTAACAGATAAAGACCTGAGAAAATTCTGAGCTGAGAAAATCTCATTCAGAGACTGAAGAATTATTTTTAGTATCTGGAAGGATTAATAATAATGTTATCTAGGCAGTAGGTGTTAAATTAAAAAGAAAGCTGGTATATGAGTGTGTTAATGGGTCAACAGACAGACTTCAAGATCCACCACCTGGTGCATCCAAGCCCGCTGTTTCTCACATAGGCCCGAAAGTCTCACATAGGCCCGAAAGAAGGATCACACCCTCATTTTGTCTCTGAACTCAGAAGAGGTAGCTTGGGGCATGAAAAGAGCCTAGAAATAGAAGGCAGATTAATACAGTTGTGTATGGTGGTTGTGCTATTTGTTACTAGTTCTTGGGACTACAGACAGGTGCTTTCCAACTAACTAATAAAGTAAATGAGCTGATCTCTTGAGGAAGAAGCTAAGCATGACTCTCTGACTCATTAAAATTTAGATCTCTGGCTCTCTGGGCAAGATGACATGATCATTGCCTGGTTGAGAGGAATAACTTATGCCAAAGGCAGAGTGTGTCCATCCAAAAAGGTAAAAGGAAGTGATCTGTCAATGAGACCTAGAAAATGTGAGCTAGAGAGACACAGGCTGGCAGCATCTGTAGACATATGCAAGAGGAGGAACCTTAATTGGCCATTTCTCTTTTAAGATGTGGGGGGTCAGAGCAGCAATTCTATATTTCAAGGGGCTTCATCAAATGCATTCAGATAACATCTTCCAAGGAAATGGAAATGTCCCTAAATCCCCAAACAATCTTCTTTTTCTTTTTTTTTCAAAAGTCCAGAGTTGTACATTTCAAAGTAGAAACTTTAAAACCAAAATATCTAATCACGAATAAAAGGCTATAGCTTAGCTCTTGAAGAATTGCCCTGACTGGGTTGTTCTAGCAGTAAGAACAAATTCTTTTCATCAATACTCTTGTCTAAAAGCCAACGTTTTATGCTGAGAAGGGCAAGAGCGCTTTGAATCTCAGGGGAAACTTTCCTGACTTTAATTTTTAATTAAATCTTTTCTTGCCAGCAATAATATAGTTTAGGAAAAGGTCATCCACAAAAATCATGATTTTAAGTAGAGTCAAGAGAATGAGGATGGGGAATGTTTAACCTCTTCTTTAATACCCTGTAATACTTTTAGAGAGTGAGGCAATGTTTAGTTGAAAGACATCAACATTTATTGAGTACCTACTCTGTCCCAAATATTGTGTCCTGTGTTTAATAGAATTAATCATTTATTATCATCTCAAAACCTCCATGAGGGAGCTCCTAGTTTTGCCTGGTTTTCCAGGTGAGTGACCTATATTTGGATAGGATTAAGTAATGTATAGACCTAAAAAGAGGAAGGCCTAGGAGTTACCCTTCTGGCTTAGGAATTCAGTGCCTGCTTCCTCAGGCATAATCTTTCCCAGTAAAGGAACTAACTAAAGAAATTTAGAAAAAGCACAATGCAAACACTTAATAATGTGTACACCTAGAATCTGACATAAATTTAATTCCATAAACAATTTCCTATGAAATGTTACAAACATCCTTGCCCTTCTTTTTAAGTAGGAAACTATAATGCATTGGATTAATGTAATTCTTATTTTATTAATATTTGATATGTGCCTTTCTTCAGGAAACTTACTGTTTTGAGGATGTATAAGTGTATAATGTTTGTTTCCAAAAGAAGAGGGTCTGACACTCCTCCTTAAATGCCAATTCAAATTTACCGTGGAGAAGAAAGATTATATATTCATGATTTCTTTCTTTCTCTTTCTTTGGTTCTTTCTTTCTTCCTTCCTTCCTTCCTTCCTTTCCTTCCTTCCTTCCTTTCTCTTTCTTCCTTTCTTTTTCTTTCTTTCTTTCTTTCTTGCTTTCTTTCTTTCTTCTTTCTTTTCCTTCCTTTTACTGCTAATAGTAGTGTTATTAGTTAACAAGATAACACTATTAAATTATTTGTTTTGATTTGGAATATAATAAAATCTCATTTATTCTTTCAAAATGCAGAGAAACTTCACACTACTATGGATGCCACTTTTAAGTTTCTAAGTATATGGCAACCAATCATGCATTTATAAGGGAAATTATTTTTCTCTGGGGCAGAACTGCATAGCACTCTAGAAACATATAAATGAAATTCCAAAAAAAAATTAAAATACTTATGGAAATTAGAAAAAAGGGCTGCATCATCATCATGTGCTTGTAGTGGTTTTGGAGCACTCAGTCACCTGGTAAACACTTACAATATTAATAAGATTCTCATTGTCCCTACTCCAACAGGGTACTCTATGTATACTGCTTGTATAAAACAAGCAGAATCACAATTATCCTTAGGAAGTGGGGTAGCAATGCCTGAAATTCCTACAGCACTTTCTTATTTTTAAGAGTTTACTGTTTCATTAGTCTTCACAAAAATCACAGGAAGGGTCATAATTGTCCTTCTCTAGAGAGTGAAACAGAGGCCCAGGGACTTACATTGACTACCTAGTTTGATGCTGATAGTGACTTACAATACTCTCAGCTTCTGACACGAAGCCTAATGCCACAACTTCATACCAAAACTCCCCACAAAGGGCATCAGCATTTTAATTCCTTTACCTAGTACTGGACCATAGTTCTATATATCACTTATTCATTTACTAAGCAAAGGAGTCAGTGTCTACTAGTTGTTTAGAACAGTGCTGGGTACTGGGAATACTATATTGAGCAAAAACTGTCAGAGTTTCAAGGTGCAGGGGAGTAGTAAGCAATACAACCGCAAAAGTAAATGTATGGAAACTGACTATAATAGAAAGACGTTCGGGTAAGAAGCTGACCAAAGGTTCATGGAAGACATTTCTAATGAACAAAGAAGAAAGAACAATTTAGTGAGTATCTGAAGAGCGAGCAGGCATAAACATGTGTCTACAGCGTGGATGATTCAGTGTGTGTTAGGTCAAAGGCACAGTAGTGCAAAGGCCCTGTCATGTAAATAATACCAGCAAGGCTGGAGAAGCAGGTGGAGTTTTTCAGATTGTAACTAAGCCTTTAGGCCATCAAGGTTTAGCATGCTTCTAAAATCAGTGGGAAGAAACCCAAAGGTTTTTCCATCTTGGACAGAGAGATAGTGATGTGACTACATGGCAGCTGGCAATCTCAAGAAAACTCTACCTAGTTGGGATCCTCTGAAGTTAGCGAACGGTATCTCCACGACATTCTCAACTAAAATTTGCACTGTGAAATTAAACATCCCTAAATCAAATATCATGACCTTTTTTAAAAAACGTAGAAATCTTTTTTTGTTTGTTGCCATTTCTAACTAAAGAACATCTACTCTTCTTCTGGGTTGAAGGGATGACAATAACCTGGCTGCAAAAATTGAAGTGGTGATCGGCAATTCTTAAATCATTTTTAACTGAACAAACCTAACTATTTTCTTCTTCCTCCTTCTTCACTTTATCTTCCTTTTTTTGATTGCTAAAATATTTAATATTTAAAATATTTGATATTTAAAATATTTAATTCTTAAAATATTTAATATTTAAAACATTTAATTCTTAAAACATTTAATATTTAAAATATTTAATTCTTAAAATATTTAATTCTTAAAATATTTAATATTTAAAATATTTAATTCTTAAAATGTTAATTATGTTGGGATTATAGAAAACTGACAAAGCATATTATCAATTTTATAATTTCATAATATATTTCTATGCAAGTGCATGGAAACATATTGGACCAATATTTTAAGATGACAGAGCATGATTTAGACTCTCAGAGCTTGCTTACTATTATAATCATCATTTTTGCTAATTACAGATACAATAACAATAATTCATGTGTATGCTTTAAAAATTGTGGAAGTCTCTTTGAATATAATATAGATTCTAATGAAGCAATATTCTTCACCATTATTAGAATCTATTCTTTCTTTCTTTATTTCAGTAGGTTTCTGGGGAACGGGTAGTGTTTGATTACGTGAATAAGTTCTTTAGTGTTGATTTGTGAGATTTGGTTGCACCCATCACCCAAGCAGTGTACACTGCACTCAATGTGTAGTCTTTTATCCCTCACCCCCTCCCACCTTTTCCCTTGAGTCCCCAAAGTCTGCTGTATCATTCTTATGCCTTTGCGTTCTCATAGCTCAGCTCCCACTTAGAAATGAGGGCATACTACCTTTGGCTTTTCATTCCTGAATTACTTCACTAAGAATAATGGTCTTCGATTCCATCCAGGTTGCTGCAAATGCCGTTATTTCATCCCCTTGATGGCTGAGCAGTATTCCATGATATACATACGTATTGATTGATTGATGGGCATTTGGGCTGGTTCCATATTTTTGCAATTGCTAATTGTGCTGCTATAAACATGTGTGTGCAAGTATTTTTTTCATATAATGACTTATTTTCCTCTGGATATATACCCAGGAGTCTGGATCTGGATCAAATGGTAGATATACTTTTAGTTCTTTAAGGAGTCTCCACACTGTTTTCCATAGTGGTTGTTCTAGTTTACATTCCCATCAACAGTGTAAAAGTGTTCTCTTTTCGCCACGTCTACACCAAAGTCTTTTTTTTTTTTTTTATGGCCATTCTTGCAGGAGTAAGGTAGTATCACATTATGGTTTTGATTTGCAGTTCCCTGATAATTAGTGTTGTTGGGCATTTTTTCATATATTTGTTGGACATTTGTATATCTTTTTTTGAGATTTGTCTATTTGTGTCCTTAATCCACTTTTTGATGGGATTTTTTGTTTTGTTCTTGCTGATTTGTTTGAGTTCCCCGTAGATTCTAGATATTAGTCTTTTGTAGGATGTATAGATCGCGAAGATGTCCCCCCACTCTGTGGGTTGTCTGTTTACGCTGCTGATTATTTCTTTTGTTGTGCAGAAACTTTTTAGTTTAATTAAGTTCTATCTATTTATCTTTGTTTTTGTTGCATTTGCTTTTGGGTTCTTGGTCATGAAGTTCTTGCCTAAGCCAATGTCTAGAAGGTTATCCCAGCACTTTGGGAAGCTGAAGCGGGAGGATCACTTGATGCCAGGAGTTTGAGACCAGCCTGGCCAATATGGCAAAACCCTGTCTCTACTAAAAATGCAAAAATTAGCCAGGCATGGTGGTACATGTCTGTAATCCTAGTCACTCAGGAGGCTGAGGCAGGAGAATCGCTTGAACCTGGGAAATGCTTGAGCCCAGGGGTTGGAGGTTGCAGTGAGCTGAGATTGCACCACTGTACCCCAGACTGGGCAACAGAGCAAGACACTGTCTCAAAAAAAAATGAAGACCTCTTTTTTTTTTTTAACAAGAACATAATTTCATGGTATAAAAAGGTTAGAGTAAGGCCACAGTATTTATAATCAACCCCTAAATATTAGGAGTCTAAAAGATTGCACATAATTTCAAGAGTGGAGATAATTGGAGAAAATCTTGAGTCTTAGCCTTTTATTGTATAGTCAAGGAAAGTGAGGGTCAGGAATTGAGTTATCAGAATTCACAGAGTAAGTGAGAGTCAGAGAAATGATTTCTCTGGCTGCCTTAGCATTTTCCATTCCTAGAGAGACGTGAGTAAATTTCCAGGGAACTAATCTCCCCTCTTCATTCTGCACGATATGCAACCAAGATTGTATGGCACCTTCAGATAACAAAGAGCAACAGCTCTCAGAAGACTGGCAAATATCCATTTCAGAAGCAGTGGGAAAATTAAATGCAGGAGACACACACACATTTATGTATTTTCCATATCAGAAAATGACCTTGTTAACTGTCATCTTCCCATTGAGGCATCTCCTTCAGTACAACATATATTAAATTTATGGATACAAGGTATAAATACAGTCACCAACCATTCATTCCGCCAGCATGTATTAATCATTTGTGTGTATCATGCCAAAATTCAATTAAAATCAATTCATTTTTACAAGGATTTGAAAGGAAGCAAGAGAAAAGAACATCCGATGCAATATTGAATCATGGTTTCAGTACTTACTGACTGTAATGTTAAGTGAAACATATAACCCCCTGAGTCTCAGTTTCCTCATCAGTAAAAGGAGGAGGACTAATTATAATGACCTTGCTTTGTGCAGGAAAGAGTAAATGAAGTCATGCGATGCCCAATGCCTGGCACATAAGAGCTTAATAAATGTTTCCTAAAAAAATAAAAAAATAAATATTTTCTAATGCATGAGTAACTGAAATAAATACTCTTTTTCCTTTTAATGATTATAGCTGTTTCTGAACAGATACTTTGCTTATTTCTCTACTTGGAAACCTGTGCAAACCGGAATCCATCTATTCCTGTGGTAAAGCAAATGATTCCATCACTATAAAATAGCCCCTGGAGACTATGAAGTGGAGTGGAAAGGCTGGGCTAGGTTTTGCCAGGTGTTAGAACACCATCCCAAACAGGGAGGAGACCACAATGACCTGCCTTTCTCAGGCACCGGGAGACTGCTAGAATGATTATGTTTTCATAACAAAATGGAATTGGCTAGAAGCCTTTTTCCCTCTGTTCCTGCTGCACGGTGATTTGGCCCATTAGTGAATTGCCAATTGGCTTTCCAGTGGCCTGGGACTGTTCTGTGAACCCAGAGCTCCACTCAGCTGGGGAAGATGTGCTGTTTAATTACATTAGTCTTGACTGCCAATGACAGAATGACAGAATCCATGAGCTGCTGGGAGAACCATTTGTGTGTCCTATCTCGTTGACCGTATGGCACTTGCCATTTGTGTCAGTTTCTGGCTGGAGTCTGAGAAATGCCTTACAGTACCCATCTTTGAAATGGAGGAGATGATCACACTTGACTACTGAGCTTGCTGTTTGAGGAATTATATACTCTCTTTGTACTTTGAAAAATGAAGAATTTTACTGCATTGTGGTACACACATCCATATCCACAAATATAAGTGCCCTATGTACTTTACAATATGCTGGGCTTTTAAAAATCTACTGGTTGGTATAATGAAGAAGACATAGGGTCCAGAATAAGCTGGATTTGGCATTGATTCTAAACTCAAATTCTTATCAACCCCATGACTTTGAGCAAATTATTTCATCTCTCTGAGCAGGGCCAGGACTAAGGTGGTGTTAAGGAAGCATCTAGGGTGCAAAATTTAAAGAGACAAGCAGGACCCTATAGTATCCTCAACTTTTGTATACAGAGCATCTTGTTTGCCTCACCCTCATGCTGTCCATGTGTCTGGGCCTCAGAATCATAGGAACAGAGACATTTAAAGCACCTACTGCACAACATAGCGCAGCCACTTAGTAAATGCTGAGGTTTGTTTGTTTGTTTGTTTGTTTGTTTTGAGAAGGAGTCTCACTCTTGTTGCCTAGGCTGGAGTGCAATGACATGATCACGGCTCACCGCAACCTCCGCCTCCCAGATTCCAGCAATTCTCCTGCCTCAGCCTCCCGAGTAGCTGGGATTATAGGCATGCACCACCACACCTGGCTAATTTTGTATTTTAGTAGAGACAGGGTTTCTCTATGTTTGTCAGGCTGGTATTGAACTCCCGACCTCAGATGATCTGCCTGCCTCAGCCTCCCAAAGTGTTGGGATTACAGATGTGAGCCACTGTGCCTGGGCCATGCTAGCCTTTAATCGCAAATTTCACAAGCACAAGTGCCTGGTGCAGCCAGAACCACACCCAGATGTTATGCCTGGCTCCCTTCCATGTTAGGGTGAGGTGGGTGTCAGTGACCACCCAGTGACCCATGAGAAAGCAACCACTGATGGCCCAGCAGGACTGCTGAGACCCAGATCAAACATCAACCTGGTGGGCTTCTGGGGGAGAGTAAACCAGTCCATTTACACTGTACACGGAGCCACCCAAACAAAAGCAAAGGAATTCCAAAGTCACATTTGACATACCTTTCCTGCTTGAGTTAATTTTAAAGAAAAGATTTAATGTAAAACAAGAACAACCCAACAGTCCACAACAGAGTCACTATTGATTTCTAAGATAATTATTTCCTCTATTGTACACACTCTCACATAACATGGATTGGCTTTGCATATAAAGGTTTCTCTTTCATTTCTTACATAACATTGTGCTATGACTATTATCCCTCATCATGAAATGTTTCTCAATTTTAATGGTTGAGAAGTAGGTCATTTCATAGATCTAACATAACTGATGAATTTTACATTGTTGGATTTGCAGGTGGATCTGAAACATATAATTTGATGAATATCTTGTCTGCATTGATCAAACACGTTTATTTTAGTATTTATAAGTTGAATTATGCATCAATTATCATGAGCATTTTCAAGGCTTCCTATGTTAATTGTTGAATGTCTTTCTGGGGAAGTTGTACCAATTTAGATTCCCTACAGCTGGGTGTTACAGTGTACATATCACAGGACATTTGCACTCTACAATGGCTGGTGGTTGAGACAACAGACTTGGCTTTAAGCTATTTAGTCACAAGCAAACCTTTTAGGCCTGTGATGACTCTTCTCCTCCTAGCAGCGAGTTTTCCTCTCTTTGTTAGCTCTACCTTGTGTTCTATAGTTGGGGCTATAATATCTCAGGATCTGGCTGAAGGTTGGGACATTCTCTGATTATCCCTTCCTCTCTAAAGAGCACACTCTGTACAGTCTTTAAGAGTGAGTAGGCTCTGCTGAGCACAAATCAAGATGAAAGGCACAGGAAGTTGATCTTGTTTGCACAGCTGGAAAAGGGGGCAAGAAGTTTCTAGAAATTGGTTAAATATGGGAACAGCACGTTCTGCAACTCTGGGAGTATTGAGAAAATTGTTGAAAAGGTTGGTCTGGGCCCTTTATTTAAGTTACCATTTGTTAAGCACATGTATTTTACTTCCTTAATTCTTACTGAATTAAGAATGATCACTTGGGCAAGTGACATTATTCTCAAAATAGATGAGAAATTAGAGTCAGAGAAGTTCAGCAAGTTCCTCCAGAGCAATTAACTAGTGAATGACCAGGCTGAGATTCAACCCCAAGGCTGACCCAATGATTGCCCTCTTTGTGCAACATTCTCCTATCTGCTAAAGTACCTTTGGCTCCCAGCAAACTTATGTGGATATTGGACTTACCAAACAGATATTTTCAATCCTTCTTATCTTGGCGCTGTTTTGAAATTACTTGTTTATTTTTATGTATTTATTAATTTATTTTTTGAGATGGAGTCTCAGTCTGTCACATGGGCTTCAGTGCAGTAGTGTAATTTCAACTCACCACAACCTCCTCCTCCCAAGTTCAAGTGATTCTTCTACCTCAGCCTCCTGAATAGCTGGGATTACAGGCACATGCCACCATGCCCAGCTATTTTTTGTATTTTTAGTAGAGACGGGGCTTCACCATATTGGCCAGGCTGGTCTGGAACTCCTGACCCCAAGTGATTCACCCACCCTGGCCTCCCAAAATGCTGGGATTACAGGCATGAGCCACTGCACCCTGCTTACTTATTTATCGTTGATGCTCTCACTGAAGTGATTTAGTTTGTCCAACTCCTTTTGAAAACAATAATTGATAACTCGGCATTTGCACTCTTCCAGGTGCTTTTCCAAAGCTTTACCTCTTTCTTTGAAGTCATTTCACCCAAAACAGCTCTACAAGGTTATTATTATCCCCATCTTACAAATGAGTAAGCACAGGCCCTGAGAAGTTAAGTAATTGGTCTATGACTGCACAGTGACTGCATGACATAGTTAATTAAGTCTGTCACCAGATAACTACACACCCTTCTGCAGTGATGTTCCTGGTAGCACCTCACCATTGCAGATGACATGATGGAACCCATGAGAGGCGCCTGCACTGCATGGATAGCATAGGAGCAGTAGGTGACACTCACAGGAAGGTGGTTGTTAGACCTGGGGCTTGAAGGTTATTGAATGTGAATGAAAAATCAGCTGCTGCTATATCACTTTGCACCTAAAATATATTCAAAATCATCAATTTAGGCGGTATTACACCATCTCTTATGTGCTGGATTTTACAAGTCTGACCTTTAGTTACACACACTGGCTGCATGCCTGTGACCTACACTTGGCCCCTACTTGAGTGGGCGCGTGCTCAACATTAATGGCCTGAATGACTCCAACCGAGGAACGGCAGATGAATTTAAGCAGTCAACCATCCAACAAATAAATTTCTATTAATATTCACAGAACTTAGAGTGCAGTAGAGCAGAGAGTCAAATTGATGCTGGTTTTAATCTGGTGGTGAATACATTCCTATGCTTCTTGGTGGGAGGGAGTGAAGATAGTTCACTGACATAACCAAAAAACAGTGACGGTCTCATGCTCTGGTGTGGACACAGCCAAGTCTGTCTGCAATGGAGCCATCAGATAAAGAAAAAAAACATTTAAAATTCTTTAAGGACCATGATTATGTGATTATGTCCATGTGGTTCTACAGCATCTGAAAAGAAAGTGAAAAACATGGTTATTTTTCCAGACATGTTCTCCTTGTTGAGCATATACGTGTTTCCGTATCTTCAGGCATTTGGCAACAAACAGTGAAAAAAAAAAAACAAAAAAACAGGTGATATATTTCATGTTTCCTTTTACATCTACACATTTTTATGGCATATATCAAATGGTATGCCATAGGAATCTATTTCTGGTTTGAATGGATAAACTAGCCCGTGTGAGTTTTGCTATACTCAACAGTCACACAGCTTCCATTAGAAGTGTGACCTTGATAAAATTATTAACCCTCTCTGAGCTTTCATGTGAATGTCAGAGAGGCTGAAATGCTCTCCATTGCTGTCAAGTCTAATGAGGTAGCGTAGGTAAAGTCCTTACTAATATTGGGTGGTTTATATTGGCCATTTCATAACACACGCTATTCTAAGTTCTTTATGTGAATTTGCTCACTCATGTTATCCACAAAACAACTGTATCAGTTAGGAAATATCATTACACAAATGAGGAAACCGAGTTTCAGGGAGGTTAACACATCTGGCCTGTAAGTGACACAGCTGGGATTTGATCTAAGGTAATTTGACTCTGAAATCAATGTTATTAGCAATTATGCAATACTGCTTTTAATACATCAAAATTGATTTGTAAATGGCTACTATCTCATTATTGTTGGTTGCAGAGTTGACCATGTTCTCTTAACAAGCCAGTAACAATCAAAATACACACAAATGTGATCTCTAATGGTGGCCCAAGAGGTTTTAGACTTGTGATTTAAACACATAATGTGCCTCAAGCAAGATTCACCTGGAAATGAGGGGAAATATCCAATAGAAATAGAGAACATGGGCTTTGGAGTCAGTCTATGAGTCTGAAGCCCATTTTGCCACTCAGTTAGCTGAGTGGCCCATGCAGGGGCTTATACTGCTTTTCTGCTTGTCACAGGGAATAATAAACACCACAAACATAACACAGTTGAAGCTCAAGAGATATTACTAATTGTAATGGGAGGATCACAGTAGTGGTTGTAATAGTAGTAAGAAGAGCTATAGTTGCAATTGAAATCATAGTAGTAGTAGAAAAGTAAATGTATTCATTATGTGGGAATTCTATAACAATGCGCCACAGACTATGTGGCTTAAACAATGGAAATTTATTTTATCCAAAAAGTCTGGAAGCTGAATGTCCAACATTAAAGTGTCTGCAGGGTTCATTTATTTTGAGCCCTCTCTTCCTGGTTTATTGATGGCCATCTTCTCCCTGTGTCTGCACATGGTCTTTCCTCTTTGCATATCTATCCTTATTTCCTTTTTTTTTTTTTTAACAAGGACACCAGTCATATTGGTTTAGGGACCACCCTATTGACTTCATTTTAGCTTAATTTCATTTTTAAGACCTTATTTCCAAATAGTAGTAACATTCTGAGGGGCTGGGGGTTAGAACAACATATGAGTTTAGGGGGCGGAAACAGTTCACCTCTTAATATTAGGCCTTCCACATAAGAATTTCCCATGGGTCAGGAATCCTTTAGAATACTTCACGTGGAATTTAGGACAGTCAATTTCAGAAGTAATGACCTGTGCAATGGTTTGAGCAAGGCACTGGACTTGTGGCCTGCCACCAAGAGAGTATCACCTCTTTAGTATGAATGCTAAAAAAATCCATAAGGGATTGGGGTGTGTGTGTGTGTGTGTGTGTGTGTGTGTGTGTGTGTGTTGTGTTGTGTTCATTTTAGAGACAGGATCTCCCTCTGTCACCTAAGCTGGAATGCAGTGGCATGATCACAGCTCACTGCAGCCTCCAACTTCTAGGCTCATGCGATTCTCTTGCCTCAATCTCCTGAGTAGCAGAGACCACAGACCACAGACACACCCCACCATGCCTGGCTAATTTTCTTTTCTTTTCTTTTTCTTTTTTCTTTTTTTTTTTTTTTTTTGTAGACACAGGGTCTCACCATGTTCCCTAGGTTGGTCTTGAACTCCTGGCCTCAAGTGATCCTCCCACCTTGGCCTCCCAAATTGCTGGGATTACAGGCATAAGTCACCATGCCCAGGCAGTGTGTGTTTTAAAAATGGTGGGGATGAGGGGATCCTGGTTTTTTAATGGGTGGAGATGAGGGTTTCCATGAAAGAACAGTCCTGTTCAAAAAACCTATCCTGCATTCCATATGACTTTTTAGAGTCTATCAGGAAGACAGGTAGACTAGAAACTCTTTAAAATCATAGGTACTTAGATTTGCGTTCATTTTAGATATGAACGTGAGGAAATTATTTCATCGTTTGAAAATTTTTGAAATTTCCAGGAATACAACTTCAGTGTAAATTAGGAAACACTAGATTTTTTAAACTTTTGCCAAAAGTTGTTTAGCTTTTGGAAAAATCATAGTTACAGAAATATCCCTATTTATGTTTATGCTTCCATTACAGTACATCTGTTTGTCTATATTTTAGGCAGTCTCATTTTTCATGATTTTTTATATGGATGTAGGTATCTTGCTACTTCATTATATCTTCTTATAATGTCATGTCAGAATTCTTAACTTATGGGAAGTAGTTATCATTTTATTATACTCTATTTTCTTTAATTTCTTTTCTGCATTACAATCAGGGCATTGCATTGATTTTTAAAATTATGGATGTAGATAACTTATATTATCATGGGTTTTATTTCAGGATAATAAAGGAAATGTTTCAAAATACTTGTTGTAAAAGAAGGCATTGAATCAATAGAATTCCCAACAACTACAGTCATCAGTACTCCCGGGATTAGAAAGGCTACATGTGACTAAAGAGTCAAATGTTGGACCAGTGGAATTGAATCCAAGCCATCGAAAGCCAGAAAGGGAAACTGAGTCTAAGAGAAGACAGACAATTTGCGAAGGTTACAGAGCCAGAATCATAAGTCAGACTGCATTGTAGAAATATATACCATATTAGAAACTTAAGTCCAGACAAGCTTTCCCCACACTGGCTTTCACAGGGATGCAATCCAAACCATGGACAAAAACAGAAGGAGCTTTGGGTTTGTGGAGGGAAAGCAGAGTTTACATGCAAAGTTTGAACACTGTAATATGTCTCTTCTATTAGTTTCCTTCTGGGGGATAGTGGTTTTGTTTGTTCATAGTCCTAAATTAATTTTTCAAGTTTGTTCTTTCAGTTTAGAGTCTACAAAGGAAGAAGATGAAACACAATAATTAGCTTGTTGCCCTGCAATTATTAAAAGGCTACAGTGGCAGTCTCCACAGGAATCTCCCCCTTGGGTAACATTCTTGGAAGAAAATCTTACCTTATACTTAGCTTTGCATTCACTTATTTCATGGAAAGTTACATGCCTCTCCAAAAACATCCCTCCCTTAGTTTTAAATGTATGAACTGTGTCTCTTAGCTTCACAACAATCACCATGATTCAGATAAATATCTTGGTAAATTAAAGCCATTGACTGGCAAAACAAATGCCAACAAAATCTGCAATGATCCTTGCACACATCAGTGGCAAAATCTAGAGTCCTTAGAATAACATTTGCATTTTTCCCTGTGATATTATTTCTCCATTTGGAAATCAGCTTCGTCTCCCATCCTCTCTCCTCCAAACAGTGCCCAGTTCAGCCACACAAACTGCAGGCTATCCATTTCTTAGCATGTCTTGTTATCCAAATGATTTCCAGCATTTGGTTGTTCTAGTCAACTTGGTGAATGTACACTCAATATTGAAGACCCAGCTCAAGTGAGAAGCATTTCTGTTTCATCAGCTTTGACCTCTTTTCCTCATGTTCCAGTGTTTTTCTCACCATAAAACTTGTCAACTTAGAGTGTCATTATTAGTGACCCCATTTCTGGGGATCCCCATCCAATCAGACAATGAGTTCTTAAAAAAAATACCTTTTATTATTTATCATGTATTCCCAGAGACTAATATGGCGCCTGGGACATTGCTGCTTAGTAATGTTCAATGAGAAGAAAAGCTGAGGAGTACAGAGTAGAGAGAATTTGGTCTCCTTCTATTTCAACAGTGGTTGAAGTATTTTCTTATTTTAGTTGCCCCCTTTCAGGTTGAGCCTCCTTATCCTTCCATAGCCAAGAGCCCACATCTTATTAAATACACCATAAATGAGTTGACATCTCTCTATTTACTTATATGTAATTTCAGGCATGATTTCACACTGATGAAATCATGTGATCTCTCTTTCTCTCTCTTATGAATTCAGCACTAAGAGTGAAAGGAGAGAAGTGAAGAACTGAGAAAAATTAATCAGAATTGCTTGTAGAATCTTAAAAAGGGGCTTTGAGTGAAAGTAGTTTCCTCAAAATTATAAGCTGGTAAATCAACCCTGTTGGAAGTAGAGATCTTTGAATCTTTGGCAGAAGCCTGAGATAGAAGCCTTCTGGTGAGGCCATCGGTGTGTTACCGATGGCTACGGTGGGGGAGTGGTCAGCCGTCTTCCTGCTGAACTTACCAAAGCATCTGGGGTAGCTAAGGAGACACCCCCTCCTCAAGCACAGGTCACAAGACAAGGACATGATGCAAACTTTCTAGAAAGTAACTTCTGAGTGTATAGAAAATTTTGTTAATAAAGATGTAGAGATGTTCATTCTAGAATTATTGAAATTGGGAAACTAATGAAGAAACTAAATATGTAATAATAGAGATAAACAAATAAATTATAGGACATCTACATGATGAAATACTGTGGAAATACTAAATACTGCATTTATTAATTCAAAATAATACTACTAATAATTACCAAAAACAAAAGCCACAGCTAGACAAGTTTTGAAGAGGAACAGTTTTATCCTTTTACCATGCTTATGTTGTAGTTACTATCATCCCTATTTTACAGACAGGGAATCTAGGCTAAAAGAACAAGTAAAGTCTTGTTTACATCACATCACTGCTAATAAAAGCTGGGACTTCAAGTCAGATGTGCCAAACTTAAAAGTTCATGTTCTTTCCAGTATATATAATAGCTTATGAATACTTTTAGGGACATAAGAAAATGCTCAGGCTAGAGTGTTACATAACAAAGGTGAAAATAGATGCATGCATTGTATCAAGACCTTGAAGGGAAAATAGAAAAAGATGGAAGAGGAAGAGGAATTGGAGCAGGAGAAGAAGAAGGAAAAAAATGAAGTTGTGATTTGATTATATGCATCTTTTTCTTGTCCTTATGTTTTTCTTTTATTCTTTCTTTCTTTCTTTTTTTTTTTTCTTTTTTGAGACGGAGTCTTGCTTTGTCACTCAGGCTGGAGTGCAGTGGCGCAATCTCAGCTCACTGCAACCTCCGCTTCCCGGGTTCAAATGATTCTCCTGTCTCAGCTTCTGGGGTGACTGGGATTACAGGCGTGTGCCACCACCTGTGGCTAATTTCTGTATTTTTAGTAGAGATGGGGTTTCACCATGTTGGCCAGGCTTGTCTCAAACTCCTGACCTCAGGTGATCCACCCTCCTTGGCCTCCCTAAGTGCTGGGAATTACAGGCGAAAGCCACTGTGCCCGACCTTCCTTTTGTTTTTCTACAATGAGCATACATTACTTACATAACACAGATATTGAAATAATATAGGAAAAGAGAATATTCTAGTTTTATTACAGGTACAAAATTTGAAGGAATCTATCTTTCGTTTCCAGGAGAACCCTGGTACACCT
This sequence comes from Homo sapiens, assembly GCF_000001405.40. Lineage (NCBI taxonomy): Eukaryota > Metazoa > Chordata > Mammalia > Primates > Hominidae > Homo > Homo sapiens. The sequence goes on from NC_000016.10 coordinate 64,888,591, forward strand.
ATTAAGCAAAACTAGGCAAGAAGCCTTCTTCTCAGAAAGAAACTTTAATATTGCCTTTTTCCCCCCAGCATGTCTTGCTGCATTTATAACATTATTGGACAAAATAAAACAGAGTGGTGGGTCAGAAGGATTGGGTGGACAATGTGACAAATAATTGAATCTGGTTGAAGAGAGTTGCAACAAAGAAAACACATTTGGTATGGTGATTAGAAAGGTATTGGCAGCACCTGCCAAAGTCAGTGGGCTATCAGGGGCCAGAGCCAGACCACAGGGTGTGAAATGAGACAGAGAAACGGGGAAAATGTCAGCAGGCACATGCCGCTTTCAATAAATGGTAGAGTAATAGCATGTCAATTAAAGTGTGCCCAAGTTTATATGAAGGTTGTCCATTGCAATTAAACAATCATTTCAAGTTTCTCAACTGCAAATATTCATACACATTTGACTGGTGGTAGAAATTGGTGTCAGTGGGTTCTAAGGAAAGGGCTAAGACTGAACCATTTTGGATTGTCATCTTAATACCCTGCTAATTTCTAGATAGAGTTGAGTTTTTTTTTTTCTTTTTTTTCTTTTTTCTTTTTTTAGTTGTTCAATGGCTTTATCTTAAAAATGGGGCTGTCAGTGCCACACAGGAGATGTGGTATGGATTAACTACTGATCTGAATACTTGTGAACTAAATAATCTTGCTCCAGGTAGCTTTCTAAGAAAATAATACTACAAGAAAAGCAATTGCAATTAGCTCAGCCTGCCCTTGGAGAATTTAATGAAGAGAAGAAACCTGGGGAGAAAATAGCACTTTTTAGAGAAAACTTGGCTATCTCATTTCTGCTGGCCTCCCCATCCTTACTTGTCTAAGCTGGATCCATTTTTCTCCTGCACCCAGCAAAGCTTGCCAGTCTGCTTTTTTTCTTTTTACCTTAAGTGGCAGCCTCCAGTTTAACTTATTGGTGTTCTCAAGTGAGACTTCAACAGAACTGAGCCATTTAAGGGTTTGCCCTCATCTCATTATAAATTAGTTTTGAATATCTCTCAGTATGCACAACATTCCTCAGCTATCCAAGTTAGAACTCCTTATTAGGCTAGGAAGAATTTGCGTTTTAATGAGTTTTACCTCTGGTGTATGAAGCCCACTGAGATTACTACACTTAGTAAAATTTAATTAACTTGACAAAAGATCCTAATTGTTTTCGTGCCACTGGTCCTTTGCAAGGCTAAAAATAATGCCCTCCAAATTAAGTGGACACCACAAAGCTTCATTTTCACTGTCCTATTTTTTTTTTAAATTGTAATTCACATGAAGTTTTTATTTTTCAGACATTGGTGCAGTCTGTTGCTAAGGCAGAGATTTACGAACCCTTGAAGAAAGGATATCTGGGGGTGAGAATGAGTGGGAAGGGAGCAGGGAATAGACACCTCCTCTCACCTTCATTCTTGTGGAACGCTTTGTGGAAATGAGATGAAGAACATATTGATTTGTTCAATTCCGCACAGACTCAAGCAGACATAATATATCATGTGAATTAATAATGAAAGTTTATAAGTAAAAAATGCTGAATGAATGAACACCCATCCATTCATTCATTCATGTATCATCTATTTACTCTTTTAATGTGCATTTCTGGAAGATTGTTTTATTGTGTCAAGTGCTCACAATGGAAATACTCAATCTTTAAAAGCTTCAGTCCTTTGCAATGTCAATCCCAATGTATAGCTTTCCTTTCCCCTGCTCATTCTGGCTGACATTATATAGCCTTCAAGACCAGCACATTTCTTATTCATTCTTTTGTGATTCTAAACTCCTTTGTCTTCCTATTCCAATAATTCTAACTGCATTGGAAAAAAGTATCTTGACATAGTGTGTTGCGGCTGCTGATGGCTTTCATTGGTTTGTTTGTGGTGCTGTAGCAAAAACAGGTTTTCACCTTGACACTGACCTTATACAAGGAAATCTTCTTTGTGTTTCAATCTCTTCTTTAAATTAAAAAAATATGTAATCGCCTCTCTCTAGTGGAAGTTGCTGAAGGATTGAATGAGACAGTAAAATTAAGCAATGGAGGGAGTCTGACATGGAGTTGATACTCAGAACTCTATTATGTGTATCGCTTCTAAGAGTCACATCACTTCCCTCCACCTTGAGTCTATCAAGCCTAATTCTGTTACCTCCTTCCCTGAGCCACCACATAATTTGAAAATGCACAAGTCTATCAATCACTAAACCCAGCTGACTTATGGCATATTTTTTGACTCAAGGATATCATTGCAATCATTATTATTCCTTGTGTTATGAACATAAGACTAGGCATCCAGCAGAAGCTGTTATCTATTATTTGGATTTTTTTTTTTTAAGGCTGATAATGAGGATAGGCTGCAACATTTCGAAAGGTCCCACTTCCACTTAATTACAGAACTGGGCCACTCTACTTCATGGTGGAATATTGTAGATACGCCTAGAGCCTTACTTTATTTTCTCTCTGTCTATTCTTTTACCCCCATTAATTAAGGAAGACTCTGCAAAAGTTGTTTTTCACTCCACTGCTCACCGTTGTGAACTGCGGAGAAGAGTCTTTCCCCCATTTCTAAAATGGTCTAGTAGTCTCCTTCTCATGTCCTATTTTGTCATGTTTCCCCATTCCAGACATTTCACTAGGAACCTGCCCCTCCTCCACATAATGTGGTTCTACACAGGCTGTGAATCACAGTGTTCTGTCCCACTAAGGGTGGGCAAGTGATCCAGGTCAGGTCACTCAGGGTACGCCACCCCTCTGGCCACAGTGACTGCACAATGATGAGTCTGTCACCAACCTAGACTAGATACCTTCTCTGGATTGTGTGTAGGCTAAGTAAGTTTTCTATCTATTTCATGCTCAGAGAGTTAAGCTAATGGAAGCCTAGAGCTGGATATGCCTGTGCCTCTTTCTGCTAGCTACATGGAGGATGCCTCACTATAGGAAGACAGGCCAAGGACAACCTATTGAGAGAAGCAGAACTAAGACATGGGAAAGGGAAAGAAAGGAGAAGGAAGAGGGAAGTAGATGGAAAGAGAGGGACATGATATTCTTGAAGTCAATGTAGACATTTGGTTCCAAACTCAGGCTTTCTAATTATGTGAAAAAGTAAATACCTGTTTCCCACTTGGATTAGTTAAAAACAGATTTCTTCTTGCCTTCTTTCAAATTCTTGACATCTGTTCAGTAATAGCATGCCCAGCTCCAAGGATCAGGGCTACTATCAGTGTGCAGTTTTGAGAGACTATAGGTGAAAAAAACGTGAGGGTCCATGAATGGTGCTGGCCTTCACCCCTGCCTCCAGTCCACATACATCCTTAGCATACCAGGAAGGACATTGTTTCAGGAGTCCAGTGCGTACTCACTGATGAATTCTGATGAGGTCAGCCACAGAGGATCTCAGCACCTTTTAGCTCTGAGATCTTTACTAATTCAAAGGACAGCCAGAAACAACTGAACCTTTTCCAAGCCAGCGGACCCCACAAGTCAGATTCACAGCTCAGAAATGGGCTTCTTTCTCCAGAGGTGGGTAGGCCTTCTTGGCAATTTCCCCTCCACAATCTGAGAATGAATTTTGAGCCATTTTTTAAATGGAATGAAGTAATATTTGTTATTCAAATACCACATATTTCTAAGGCCAATCATTATCATCATGTGAAATGTGACAAGCATGTATTTTAGCACTGGGGGGAGAAATATGTATGTGATTGATCCCTATATCCATATCCATATCCATATTCATATTCATATTTATATCATCTCCCCTTTTTGTTCTAAACTTTGGGGATCATCTCTACAATACTTACATTATTGCAGAAAATTAATCATCCACAAGCCTTGTTTAATTTGTCCACAGATACTCTCATTCAACACACCATTAATGTTCACCAACTATGTGCTGACACAGGTGCCACGAAAACAAGGATCCGTGAGAAACAGTGCTCACACTTATAGTGTGCATAACATGTTCACTACTTCATAGTCACTCTATCAGTTTATATTGTTTTTCTGTCCTCAAAACCCTCTGTTTCCTGGTGTACATTGTTCCAATCCTATATAAACTTCACTATCTATGACATCATCTCTGATATACCTACTGTGGAACTGGTGTTTTCTTTTTTCTTCTAAACTCTTATAGCCTATTAGCTATATCTCTCTTTTGAAATATAATACTTTTGGTCATTTGGTAGTTATTTATGTTCATGTCATCTCTGCAAATCAGAGGTTCTACCATATACATATATACATATGTGCATAATGTACATAATGTGTACGTTTGTGTATGCACATCCTGTAGTACCTATTATAGACACTGTGCTTAGTACTGAGTATGACACACTGTTGGTGTTTAAAAAAATTAAAAAGGTTTTTAATGACTGTGTAAATAACTGACTCAAATTCCCCTGGAGCGTGGGATCCTTTCCAGTAAGAATTGTGCATTAGAGACAGTGATTGTCTGAGATTGTTGCATTTCCCAACAAAAATGCTGAGGTCTGTTTATACTGGATAGAATGAATTGCTTCCTTGTGACTCAAGCATCTGTTTGAGAGGTTACATTACAAGTTCCTGTAATGACCACCACAAAAGATGGTATTGATCTCTGAAACTGGCAGATACATGTCCTATGGATGGAATATTCATTTATGAAAATTGGAAGAATCGATAGCTCAAAGGTCATCAAGAATGATGACACACTGTAATTTCGATATATGGCCTGACACAAGTTAATGAAAAGGGAAAGGGCTCATTTGTCACATCTGGGTGATAAATCTTCTGTGTGCCTCTTTATTGAACATAAAGCCATGCAAGCTGTCAGCAACTGTGATCTGGGCATCCTAATCTGAGAAATGGAGTAAGGTTTATTTTATTTATCCAACGGACTATTCAAAGGGAAAGAAGTGAAAGTAGCATTTGTTAAAAGCATAAAGTGCGTGCTAAACATGACAAAACACACTTTACAGCTATTACTAAATCTAATAGTCACAATAGCCTCATGGGACAAACAATGTCATTTCTGCTTTGCAGACGGGAAACCGGAAGTCTGAAGGGTGGGTGCGGGGACAGGGCTTAGCACGGTCCTATCCATGTAAGAAGAAAGCTCATAGTCTTGCCTCTCACTAAGTCCAATGGAGTGAAGACAGCTTAGAAAAGGAAATGTCGCATGCACTGAGCTCCAGAAAGATCACCCTGATCCCCAAATGGATCTCCCACTTTCCTTCTGGCTGACATTCAGGCAACTCATTTCTCAGCCTCGGTTCCCTCATCTATAATGTGGGAATAATAAGATGTATTCGAGAGGTGTTTAAACACTGCAAGATTCTTGAAGCTTCTGCACATCACTCTTTCAAATGTCAGAGCGTTTTACTTACACCTTCAGAGAGGGGTATATTTTTACTGTGAAGATTAGGAGAATGCCACATATTAGAGGGTGGCTCTTTTATTTTTTAATTTGTTATTCATCTGTCTAATTCATTTATGATCCAGTCCATTAACTTTAACACTAGCACTGGGAATATAACCCTTTCTCTATCACATGGAAAGAAGAGAATTCACTTTAAATTCTCAGTTCCCTAAAAAAGCCATACTTAAAGCCTCCTGTTCATCTACTCACTATGAAATATATAGACATTCAACAGAAAATCTCTCCCCAATATTTTCTGACTTGTCCTAGAGGAAGAAGAGCAGAGTAGAGAAATGATTAGCCTCAAACAGATCTACAACCGAATCCCAGATCCTCCTATAAAAGTGATGTAAACTGAAATTACCAAGTTAATTTACCTTTGTAAGGCTCAGTCTATTCATCTGTAAAATGGAAATATTATCTAGTTTACAGTTTCATTCTAAGTATTCAAAGGGATGATGTATGTAAAATTCCTGCTCTGTAGCACACAGCAATCACACAAAAAGTGGTTCTTTGATAATTTTCACTGGCTCTCAGTGTCAGTATGTCTGAGTGCACATGAGAAAAATATCTGTCTGATGCATCTTTGGTAGACATCCATAAGTTTGGGTTCCTTACAGACACTGACTGTCTAAATTGATTACACTGAAACAGCAGATCAGAAGAATAATTTATGCAGCTGACTGACACACACCATTTGTGTAGGAGGGAGATTTTCTATGGGTGCTTTTATGGGTGTATTAGTCTGCTTTCACACTGCTATAGAGAACTACCTGAGACTGGGTAATTTATGAAGAAAAGAGATTTAACTAACTCACGCTTTTGCAGGCTTAACGGGAAAACAACTGGAAAGCCTCAGGTAACTTACAGTCATGGTGGAAGGTGAAGGGGAAGCAAGCATGTCTTACCATGATGACTGGAGGGTGGTGGATGGCGAGGGGGACCGCCACACACTTTTAAACTGTCCAATCTCCTGAAAACTCTCTCACTATCATGAGAACAGTGGGAGGGGGGTCTGCCCCCATGATTCAGTTACCTCCCACCAGGCCCCTCCCCTGACATGTGGGGATTACAATTTGAGATGAGATTTGGGTGGGTACACAGAGCCAAACCATATCACTGGGCATTGGGAAATTTAAATAAAGAACAGAGGATGAGAGGTGAGGAGTCACATAAGAAAAAATTGCATTGCAAATCATTCCAGTCTTCTTGTGAAAACTGTTCTTCCCAGCCTCCACCCACCCCGCCCGAAGATGGAGCCTCACTCCGTCGCCCAGGCGGCTGGAGTGCAGTGGCACAATCTCAGCTCACTGCAGCCTCCGCCTCCCAGGTTAAAGCAATTCTCTTGCCTCAGCCTCCGAAGTAGCTGGGATTACAGGTGCATGCCACCACACTCAGCCAAGTTTTTGTATTTTTAGTAGAGACAGGGTTTCACCATGTTGGCCAGGCTGGTCTTGAACTCCCGACTTCCTGATTCGCTCGCCTCGGCCTCCCAATGTGCTGGAATTACAGTCGTGAGCCACCTTGCCTGGCCATGAAAACTATTCGTTACCTGACAGTTCTCCAGCACTCTTTTCTTTGGTGAAAAGGGGACTTCTTCATTCCATTTAGCTGTCACTAACCAAGGTTATTGAAGGACTTGCCTTTTTCATAATAATTTTGAAGATGCAATTGCTGATGATAAAAATCTTTTCATTTGTTGTTTTTATTGTCAGGAGACACAAATGAGTGTTTTAGAGCCATTAGCTCACAATTCCTCAATGGAAGGTATTGTTTTTATAAGTATTTTGTAGAAAAGAAAATTGAGTCTCGGCTTCCTCAAATTGCTCATTGTCACATGGCTGGTTAGCAGCAAAGCTAGGAACAAACTCAACTTTGTCTTAAACCTGTAACATTGGACGTTCTGACAAACTGAATTGAGAATAATCAACCTTAAAAATGAATGAAGGGAGAATGATAACATTGATGATATCCTCAGTTTGAGCTTCCATGGCCAAAAGCTTCCTTTGAGATTATTTCACAGAATCCTGAAGAAGGGGAATGATATTAGGTCTGATTAAAATTTGGGGTGGGGGAGGAAGGAAATGCTGCTCAGAGAAGCCAGGCAACTTGCCAAGGTCACACAGCTTTTCATAGGCAGAACTGGAGGATTTCATAAGATGCTACATTCATGTTTGCAGAAAGATAGCCTATGCTTAATTCTTATGTCCTCAGGAGAAACATCTGTCTTACTATAATTAGTCTACATCAAGGTCAGCAGCACCATAAAGAGTGTCATATGTAAAAGAGAAACTAAGTCTGGTAGAGAAGGAACTTTTCAAGTGTTAAAAGGAATATGAGAAATGAAAGAAAACATCTGTTCCTCTGTCTAAGCTAACTAAGGCCATGCTGACTTGAAGAGCAGGAGACCGTACCTGCACCCTGATGAGGATACAGAGGAAGACTTCAGTAAGAACCTAATAAATATATGAAACTTAAATTAATAAATGGGCAAACAAATGACTACATTTAAGAAACAGTTTCAGGATGGCACAGTGTCATGGCAGGTGTTCCATTATAGGTGGCTTCAGAGCACAAGAGGTGGCTTCTCCCCTTGCAAGGGGAGGCCAATAGGAAGCCAGCAGCATCTGATTCTGGATCCTAGACAGAGGTGCAGAAATGCATGCCTCCCATACCAGGGCCCTTCAGATTTAGGCAAGGGAATCCAAACTCCCTCTCCAATATTGTTTTGATGGCACAAGCAAATTGTCTGGGGCTGCAAAACGATAAAAATGTAGACAAGAAGAAAGTAGCTGGAAGAAGCATTGGAGGAAGAGGTGAAGAAGGAATTAACACATGCTGAGTCCTCACTTTGTGCCAACCCTATACCAAGCATATTGCATCATTATAGGGTAAATTTGTCCAAATATCATGAAGCAGAGTCTATGTTTTTACAAATGAGGTTACCATAGCACAGAGAGGGTAAGATTTTCCCAGAGCACAGGAAGGGGAATATGGAAGCCCAGGCTCTCTGACAGCAAGAATATGCTCCTTGGGGCTGCAGATTTCTGCTCAGGGCTGGGATGCCATAGCACTCCATGCCTTGGCCCCAGCAGACTGCATTTATTTTTAATTTCTTTAGGATCTGGGAAGAGTCTGGAAGCAATAACCAGACACATTCTATTTTGCTGACAAAATGGACTTCGGTGTGGGATATAGCCTGAGGCCCTAGAGTATGCATTTCTAGCTAGAGAACTGGGAAGGAGGTGGTGTAGTTAGAGGCTAACGCTGTCAGTGCTGAGACTTTAAGGAGGAATGGGTGATCAGGTGTCTTTATCAAGCTCGTAAAGCCACTAGTGCCTCCCAGGGCCTCTGCTGAAGAGTCACCCTGGGAGCACAGCAAACAACAAAAAAGGCCTTCTCCTCTATTCTACTCTGTTATCTCTGGATCCTCCACCACCTTTGACCTCTCTGGCCACACTAGGAAGTCCCACTGCAATAACGAGTGATGAAGGTTATTGTCCATCCCCCCTTCCCGTCTTTGCCCTCTGTTACCCCTCCTGCATTTTTACTAAAATATTGTATGTCACAGAATTTTTCTTAAGTAATAAATTTATGGCAGCAAAATTGGAATAGCCTTTGAAGCACATTTCTTGAGATGAACATTAGGTTGATGTATTATAACATTTAAAGCAGGAATCCTGCACACAAAGAACTCATTGGGACCTGAAATGATTAGATACATAGGGAAAGGGACACTAATGGGAAAGGCAGGATTCTCTCCGACCTTTGCTTCCCACAGTCAATACTAATCTTGTTCACTTTCAGTGACAACTACAGCTCCTGCCTAATGAAAATGTTCTCATCATTAGCTGGGCATGGTGGTGTGTGCCTGTAGTCCCAGCTACTCGGGAGGCTGAGGCAGGAGAATCGCTTGAACCCAGGAGGCGGAGGTTGCAGTGAGCCAAGATCGCGCCACTGCACTCCAGCCTGGCGAGTCTCCATCTCAAAAAAATAAAGGAAAAAAAAAAAAAAAGAAAGAAAAAAGAAAGAAAGAAAATGTTTTCACCATGAGCTTCTGTCAGAAGAGTGCACCAGAATAACGCACATGCCCACATCTGGACGCATACTGGGGTGTATCGGCAAAGCTGAAAGAAGAACAAACTTTCATAATGACAAGTGCTTCCTTTCTACAAAGGGATGTTAGCTGTTCCCATTTTTGCATTTATCTCAAGGGTGGAATAAATCACCGGCTAGTTGTTATGAAAAATATGATTCTATTTGTCCCTGATGTAATTGTGTGGGGGCAGCTTCAGAGGCATGTTTTTAAATTGGCCTCTTAATTTATTTTAATGCATCAGTTAGACATGGGGAGGGAGTGGGCAAGATTGCCACACTTTTTGGAGCTCGTACACAGTGTATTGGTTGACTTCAAAATGAAGGTGGCCCTTTTGAGCCAAGTATGATTTCTTAATTCCATGCTATTGCATTTTAAGTCACCTTTGAAATTTTATCATAACCTATAATTGATTGGTTTAGTGAATCACATCTTAATTGAAAAAATATAATGTCTAAAAGCTATTTTAATTGGCCATTATACAGGCATTTAGCAGCTGAGCTGCTGTAGACACAGTGAAAATAAATAAATAAATGAATAAATAAGTTTATGGAAGATTTGCCAGATCTATCTGATGTCAGTGTTCTATTTCTGCACACAGAGTTGTGATCTGGGGCTCAAGGGGTAGTTAGAGAAAGACTAAAAACAGCACCTCTCATATGACAAATTTCAGTCCAGGAAAAAGTAGCTGATTTTTTACCCTACTTATTATACCCCACTGAATTTCCTTCATTCATTTACCCAGCTGCTGTTTCAAAAATAAGGTCTTCGGACAAAGTTTATTTTGGAGTTAGAATCATGAGTTCTTTACGAAAAATTAAAAGAGCATGCTTCATAAGGAAGTTTCTCTATCATTTTGGGGGTAACAGGATCTGAAAATCTATAAAAATATGCTTCGAAGTCTATTTTTAAAAAATCTGATTTCTCTCAATTTGGATGACAATTACAGCAGTACATACCTGTCAGAAGCCACTCAACTGCACATTAAAATGTTGAAATGTGTGTATTTATTATATGTAAGTTATGCTTTCATTTAAAAGAAGTATTAAGGAGAGTAAAAAAGCCCAGTTTACTTAGATCTGTCTTCCTTGGCTATTTTAATGTCTTATTACCCAAAATGAAAGGAATGGTGATTAAGAGAGCCACTGATCACTAGTGAAAAAACAGAAAATTAAAGGCTCTCTGCTACTTTATCTTTAAGAAGATTATTGTCATATAGTACTTTCTGTATTCATAGCATTCACTTTAAAAGGAACCAAACAAAAACGTATCAAATGAAAAATCCTTTCAAAGCCGAACATCCTGAAATTGTATAACTTTATGTCTTGCAGGAATTCAAAGAAAAGAGAAGGGTCAGGGTAGAGAACCCAGCCTGTTTATAATATATTTAACCAGCCAATTACACTGTTAGCCCACAATGACAAATTTCTCTCCGAATATTGCTTAGCTGTTCCTTGTTCATGGCACTAATTTTCTCTCATTTGGCACTATTTCATAAAGTTTTGTCAATCATAAGCATTTTTTTTAGAAGATTGAAATGACAAGTTAATAGTTCACTCTAAAAGAGACAAACAGAGGAAAAACAGCTGCAGTATTTAAACACTGAAGGAGAGCGTCAGCGTAATGAAGGAGCAAGCGGGCAATTAAAGAGAAGGAAATGCTCCTAGAGTAAAATTCTAACATTGGGGTTCTCTCATTTTTAAATCTATTGAGGATTGTTCAAACACATTTCTTTTGATCAATAAAAATACTTGTGGCTATTTGTATTCCCACTGAATGTCCCCAAACTGGCATCTGCAAGTTTAGCAAAGTTGAACACCAAGTAAGTTAAGGAAAACGCAGAATACTAGTGTATTTACCATCCCTATAAAACTTGGAACTCGGGGACAAAGACGATGTGGCTGCTAGAGTGAATTGCAAAGATAAAACAGAGTTAAAAGTATCTTAGAAGCATGCTAATGCAGAATTTTTCTACACCTCCCTCTAGACTACTTATTGTTTTTTCCCCCGCAATCTGGTGAGGAATGAAATAAGATATGAGAGTTGAACACCAATATTTTAAGTCTCTGAATTAGGAAGCTTCATATATCTAAAACAGATGTGAGGGAAAAAGATGTGTCTTCAGCAATACATTGCTAGAAACAGCTTGGCCTACCCTTAGCTTTTCTTGTTTATTCTGATCCTTTGAATTACCAGGCCTGTTCCTGATAGCATCAAATAAAAGACCTCCTCTGACTCTTGCTCTACGTTTTGCCCAGCCTTTCTACTAAATTATTTCTCTTGACATAATCCATGCTGTATTTACAAGGGTGTCACATTCTTCCTCTCATTTGATGGAGTGTGTGTGTGTGTGTGTGTCTGTGTGTCTGTGTGGTCTTACTTACAATTTGTTAGTAAGATACAATCTCTTGCTTCATTCTAGACTAAGATTGATATTCTCCCCTCAGTTCCACTGACTTTAGCTGCACTGAGTAAAAAGCCCTACCTATGTTTTGTTTCTATCTTTGCACATCTCTTTGAAAGGACTTTTCCAGTTTGTTAATAAGAGAATGAAGTCGCACAAGAATAGTGAAAACAAAGTTCATTCACACTCACTTTGGAAGCACAGGGAAGACGCATCAAATTGATGAGTAAGGAGAACAGGCTTAGCAAACAGCAAGGGTGTGGTCCAGTTGAGCAAGACAGATATTGGCTCTGAAATCTGATGTTGGGGACTCCAGGAATTCTCTCATCACAAGTTGGAAGCATAGAGAGAATGTGGCCCCCTTACCCCCACAGTGATGGGACATTCAGCTCTGTCATCTGCATTGGCACAGTAGCAGCAAGGCTTCTTCTCTGCAGTGAGGGAGAAGGGAACTAAGGACTGTGGTTAATTTCTATCATCTATTCATTTTAAGTAGAACCTTCAAAAGTAACACATTATGACATGAGCTAAAGTTTCCCATGGACTGCAGATGAAAGAATAAAGAACACTTACCTGGCACTTTACAAAGCTGAGAAATCTGAGGACAGATGAGTCTGAATGATGAGGCTTTCAATACACATTTTATATATATATATACATATAAAGGTACACACACACACATATATGGACACACACATATATATATACACACACACACATCCAGTTTTAACACAAACACATAAAGGAAACCTTTTCTCTTGAGAATGTCCTCTGTGCTAGCTTCCGTTCTAGGTGCTGGGGATAAAGAGATAGACATGACCATTGACTTCATGGAGCTTACAGGTTAGTAGGAGAGGCTGTTATTACAGAGCTGCTAATCCCCCTCCACCCCCCAGAAAAAGACATTACAGGCTTAAACTCAAATTTTACAAAAAGATAGGTGCTAATCCAATTGGAGATTTTTTGTTTTGTCTAAAAAGTGGAATGAGTTTATTTTTATTTTCAAAATTCAAATAGCATAATTATTTTTTCTGATTATGGAAGCAATGCATGCTCATTCATAAATATTTGATCATACCACATATATGACTCTCAAATTTTACAAAAAGATAGGTACTAATCCAATCAGAGATTTTGTTTTTGTTTTGTCTAAAAAGTGGAATGAGTTTATTTTTATTTTCAAAATTCAAATAGCATAATTATTTTTTTCTGATTATGGAAGCAATGCACGCTCATTCATAAATATTTGATCATACCACATATATGACTCTCTAACCTGCTTATGTTAATCAACAAGATTCAGAGCACATTTTTCAATGTCAAAATAGGCTTTATATCATCTCTAAAAAAAAATGGCTGCATGGTACTCCATTACATGAATGAACCATTTTACCTGGTTTTAAGTTCATTGTCTCCTTAAATAATAATTTTCCTATTTATTTCAAACTAAAGATAGTTCTTTTGATTTTACTGTATGATTTGAAAGCAAATTAGACAATATGTTTGAGAGCATCTGGTAACCTATAAACATGGTGCAAACTACTATTTTTTCTGTTTCTTTTCTGTTTCAAATATAGACCAATATTTCTGCCTCACACAAATCTTGAACAAATTCTGGCTCTACCAATCAAATAAATTTTTTGTTTTGTTTTTATCTCTCTGAAATATAGTCTCCTCATTTTCAAAATGGGGCTACTTACATTTCATGGTTCTCTCATATATTAGGACATCAATTCAGGTAAAATGTTTAGTCCTGTACCTTATAGTAAGCTGAACACATTAGATGTGTTCACTTCTGCCACTGCTCCATCTGTACTCCCAACATCTCTATTGTAATTCCCTCCCTCCTACTTGGTCTTTCCTCTTTGCCCAATCAGTTTATCTTCACTAAAGAAAACTTATTAATAAAGTGCTAATAAGAACTTTGTATGAATGTACTCAACTAGTCTTCCAACAGCCTTCGGGTAGGTACCATGATCATTATCATCATACAGGTAAGGAAGCTCAGAGAAATTAAGTAAATTCCCTAAGATCACCCTGCCTGTAGATGGTTCTCTACGATGGTGAAGACACTAGGAGAAGGGAAAGACATAGTTGAGACTAGAGAGGCAAGCAAGAGTGGAAGCACGTAAAGCACATTTTGCCTTGCAATATGAAACATGAGTTCAAAGAGCTCAGCTCCAGTACCACAGCAGACAATTGGACCCAAGTGCAAATAATCATCCCAAGTGGGGTGAATATGTAAGTCAGGTGGAGTATGGGATGGCTGAGACACATGGCTGTGTCACCAAGCTTTGAAGTGACCTGGCAATAGTGATAACACTACTTATTATTTATTGAACATATATACTAGGCACTGTTAGAGTTGGAGAGAAAGGTAAGATTGAATACCAGGACTGATCAGGATTGCAAAGCTCATCACCCCTCTGAATTAGCCCTATATGAACTACATGTGTAATTCTGAAACAGAAATGTCAATTTTGGTCTTTTCAATTTGAAATTCCAGCAAGAGAAGAGAAGAAACCAAGCCCTTGGTCATTATTGCTATACCCATCCTTGTCTTTGAATTCATACACCTTATTTAAAAGTATCTTCCAAATGTATCATTTGTCTCCAAACTCTTCAAGAAAGACAAATGCCAATATAATGCAGCCATATGTATCTGAGTAGCTTGATACATATAATAAGGGAAAGACATATATTACGACAGATGGCAGCATAAGGTAGAAAATTCCTTTACCACGTGATATCTTCTGCTTTGCTAATACATTAAAACCCAGTGAGAAATCTCTAAGGAGTGTGGTTTGATGGGTTGAGGTAGAGGAAAGCCCGACATAAATAGCTATTTGTATATGAGATCACATACCAAAGAGTTATTTTCACTAAGACTGAACTTGCTAACCACCAGCCCATCTGACAGCAGAATGGCGTAGACCCTTCATAATGCATGTGCATGAGTAGGGGTAGATGTCTCACGGGGGCCCCATGGTAATGCTGTTGATGTAGTTTCCGAGAAGGGTGATAATACTTTATCCTGGAGACAGCCTGAGTTACAGAAACACTGTTTTCCCACTTCACCCACCCTCATTATCATCAAGAGATGCCTTCATACTTGATTGTGTCTTAAGATGCTTGGCTAGCACTGGGATGAAAATTTTATAAACTATTATTTTTTAAAGGATGTACATAGCTGGCAGAAAAGCATCCCATTAATCTGAAATTTCTTCCTTGTAAAAATATTCTTAAAAAGATCAAAAAGATAATCTCACTCTGGTATAGAATGGTGGACTTCGTAATCCTGTTATTCCACACCCAGTATGCCTGACACCAAAGATGATCATGATTGCCAAGAAGATCCAGAAAGAGAAGTTATTATAGAAGGTATTTATTCAGTTATTCATTCAGCAATTCGAATATTCAGCAATTTGAATATGTCCTCTATGTAACAACTATGCTAAGACATGAATATACAGAGATGATTAGACCTTGTTTATGCTCTCAAAGAGTAGAAAGACAAACTGACAGTTATGATGCAATGTGATTACTTCTATAAGGAATGTGGATGCATAAGTGTGTGCACACGCCTGATAAGAATGACAAAGTTTATCTTAAAAAGCAAAGGATAAAAGGAGGTAAGGTCACACACTACAAACTTTGGGTTAGAATGAACCAACCTGCAGTACATCAGGACAAGGGAATTCGATAGAAGTATTTTAGGGCAGGTAAGAGGAAGGCATATGTCACAAAACAGCTAGTCATTTTGAGAAAATCATTTGCTCTAAAATGCGATGTGACCCAGGTGTAGCAGCTCATGTCTGTAATCTCAGCATGTTGGGAGGCCGAGATGGGAGGATGGTTTGAGCCCAGGAACTCAAGGCTGCAGTGAACTATGATTGCACCACTGCACTCCAGCCTGGATGACAGAGAAAGATCCATTCTTAAAAAATAACAATAATTTAAAAAACTAAAATAAAATTGACCGAGATGCTTCCTGAAAATAGAATAATCTTCATTAAAAATAGCACCTACTTCTCAGAATTGTGGACACAAGAAGATATGTCTAAGACCCCAGCAGAGGAACTGATGTGTATCCAGGACCAGTACCGTTTACTCCTCCTGCCTACCCAGGATCCTTAACCTACCGGGGCACTTGACTTCAGACTTGTAAAGATACATCTTTCTCCAAAGACAGCTAAGCTCTTCTTTTATGTAAAAGTCAAATTCTATCAACAAGAAATTCTTCCCAATCTTGTATTCTAGGTCAGCCTATATCACCAATTCACCATGCCCACCCAGAGAATTGCTGAGTTCCAGAAAACCACTCTTCCTGAAAATGTGAGCACCTTCCAATTTCCTATATGTTGGTTCTGTAAGCTCACTTCTTTTGTAATAGCTCACCATTCTATAAAATGTATGACACTCATGGGCCCTTTAGCTAAAGAAATATCCTCTGTAGTTTTTCTTTTTAAGAGAGTGCTGTAGACTGAATATTTATGCTGTCCTCAAAATTCATATTTTGAAACCTAATCCCCAATGTGATAGTATTAAGAGGCGAGGTCCATGGAGGTCATTATTGGAAAAGCATTTGAATTTAGAACCACAAGAGAAACACACTGAGGGTGGAGCCCTCCTGAATAGGATTAGTGCCATTATAAGGGAGGCCTGTAGGAGCTTGTTTTCTCCTTCCGCAGTGTGAGAAAGCAGCAGAAAGATGCCTTCTATGAACCGCAAGATGGCCCTCAACGTACCAAATTTGTCAGCACCTTGATTGGTTTCTCAGCCTGTAGAACTGTGAGAAACAGGTCAGGCGTGGTGGCTCACACCTGTAATCTTAGCACTTTGGGAGGCCTAGGCAGGTGATCACCTGAGGTCAGCAGTTCAAGACCAGCCTGACCAACATGATGAAACCCTGTCTACTAAAAATACAAAAATTGGCCAGACATGGTGGTGCATGCCTGTCATCCCAGCTACTCCTGAGGCTGAGGCAGGAGAATCCCTTGAACCTGGGAGGTGGGGGTTGTAGTGAGCAGAGATTGCACCACTGCACTCCCGCCTGGGTGACAGAGCAAGGCCCTGTCTGAAAAAAAAAACAAAAGCAACAACAACAACAAAAAAAACTGTGAGAAATAAGTTTTTGTTTCTAAGGTACCCACTCTGTGGCATTTTGCTGTGGCAGCCAAAATGGACCAAGGCAGATGGTTATTATCTCAGTAATATAATATATTAGTACTTACCTAGCCTATCTCAATTATTCCCAGGTATTGTTGTAGGATCTACTAGTATCTATTGGTATTAATCTATTTTTAAAATCTTATAATTACCTCTATTTTATTAATGAGGTAACAGATTCAGAGATAGAGAGGTCAAACCAGAATTAAAATTTATTTTCAACAGACCTCAAAGCCTGTGCTCACACCTTGTGCTGACTCTTGTGGCTCTAAGTCCCAAATGCTTTTTCAATCACTTGCCTGTTCTCTGGTTGATTCTTCTCATACCGTCCTGGCTACATAAGGTACCCAGGTATCTGCACTCATGTAACATATTTAGGAGGATGACCCAGTTTAATAGAAAGAGAGAAAGCAGAGAAATAGAAAAAGAGACAGAGAGACAAAGAGAAACAGAGGCAGGAGTGGAGGCACAGAAGGATTCAAACATGCCCTCACTCTTTACCATGGCTGAGAATGCTGCCATGTCATCAGAAAAGTTCTTGTCACGCTTAGGAAGTTAACGGGTCATTATTAAAAAGTATGCAATGTACCTCCCCACTTAGTATAATTCAGTTACTTAACTTTGCAGGTAACCTTTCTAAATCAATTTAGAAATCTGAGGAATTAGACATCCAAGGCCATAGGTTCTACTTTGGACTTCATGTAAGAAATGGAATCCAAAAAGTGCACTATATTACAGAAGAATGGGATTCCCTAATGAAATTCCATGAAGGAATCATCTGCCATTTTGTTTTGTTTTGTTTTAGAGTCAGGTTTTCACTCTGTCACCTAGGATGGCATACAGTGGAACAATCATAACTTCCTGTAACCTCCAATTCCTGGGCTCAAACAATACTCCCACCTCAGCCTCCCAAGCAGCTCAGATTAATACATGTGCCACCAGGCCTGGCTAATTTTTATTTTTATTTTTATTTTTGGTAAAGATGGGATCTTGCTATGTTGCCTAGGCTGGTCTTGAACTCCTGGGCTCATCAGTCTCCCCAACACTGGAATTACAGATGTGAGTCACTTCACCCAGCCATCACCCACAGTTTTTGTAAGATATGGAAGGCTAACAAATCCTTTGAGTATTGATCCCAAAATGTTATGAAGGGAAAGCTGGAGAGTGTCATGGAGGCAGAAGAAATTCCTAGAATCTTAGATTTTGGAGGGCCCTTAAACATCACCCAGCACATTATTAAAAACAGGAACTCCTCCATTCTGTTGTTACTAAGACAGTTTTCTATGAAACATCCAGGTATAGGGGAACCTATTGTCTCCCAAGACTGTGCATTTTACTTGCCTGGCAGCAGTAATATTGTTAAAAAAATTCTTACTTCTATTGAGATTAATTTTGCCTTTCCAGTTCCAACCTTGTCTAGAATGAGTGTGACCCATCTTGTTCATGACACATCCCACAAGACAAGGTGGGGCATCCTCTTTCCTCCCCTGACTCTCAGAGTCTTCTCTGGAGTGAGGTGGTAAGTTCTCTACTTTTTTCAGGTAGAAACAATTCATTAGAGAGTCAAAGTAGGAGAGAAGGGATCAGTAAATAAACTAGGCAAGATATTACTCAACGATTTTTTTTTTTGACACGGAGTCTCGCACTGTCACCCAGGCTGGAGTGCAGTGATACGATCTCAGCTCACTGCAACCTCTGCCTCCTGGGTTCAAGCGATTCTCCTGCCTCAGCCTCCCAAGTAGCTGGGATGACAGGTGTTTGCCACCATGCTCAGCTAATGTTTTGTATTTTTAGTAGAGATGGGGTTTCACCATGTTGGCCAGGCTGGTCCCAAACTCCTGACCTGGTGACCTGCCTGCCTCCACCTCCCAAAGTGCTGGGATTACCAGGGTGAGCCACCACGCCTTGCCTACTCAACAAATCTTAAAGGAAGAGAAAGTGAGCACAGGTCCTTTGCAATTGTTTGGATGCAGAGGCAGCTCAAATACCTAAAAAGATTCGTGGACCCTGAGATAGATGTCACTTGGAGGTGATTTTCCTCAAAGGTCTATAGCGATGAGACTAATGGGTGTTCAGCATAACCACAGCGCTGACAAGGATAATGTCTGTCCTGCAAGCATATGCACTTAAACCCTTTTCTTCCTGCATCTTTCTGGTCTTCCATGCATAAATGTTTAATTCTCCATTTTGCCATCAATCAGCTCACTGCTTTGGGAAGGGTCTGTGGATAAAAGCTGCCCAGTGCGGTCTGTCCAGACCTCCAAATGCACTCAAGGCACCCAAAGAGCTTCTAAAGAGCTGATGTCAGGACAGGGCCGTTGATTTATGATTCCCTAGGACATTCTGACACCCTTGCATGGATGGGAGAGATAAGAGCCTAGCCAAGGCTGCCAGAAAGCCTTGTTTTAGAAGAATGAGGTCAAGGTCAGAAGCATGTGGGAAATCCACTGAAAAAACACAAGGCACAGAGACTCCTCCGTGGGCAGTGAGCTGGCTCGCTAAGGCCAGGAAGAGAGGGAAAGATCATTTTGTAGTACTATAAGGCAAACAAGAGACAAGACAGATCGTGTTAAAGGGGACACTGGATATAAGAGAAAGAACTACAGATAGCTAGGGCAGGAGGCACTTGGGGATTTATTCTGAAATGCATGATTTCATTTATCAGAAGAAGGACTGTTTTGTGTCACCAGCCTTTGGTTCTGCTCATTTGTGTGTGTGTGTGTGGGGGGTCGTCTACTTAATGCAGGAGCACCTCAAATTACAGAGCTTTTTGATAAATTGCAATCCTATGTTTTCAATAGCTGGAAACAATATTCTCTGTGGCAGATATCCTCATCAAGGAAGGTCTCTCTGGGCTCTCATAAAGAGTTTACCTCAATCCAGGTACGGTGCTGTAATTGATGATCATCTCCAAGAGGAGGAACAAGAATGTCTCCTCATTTTTACCTCCCAGAAAGTCTCTCCATGCTTCCTTGGCCTAGGCTTTGGCACTTTCATCCTGGATGACCAAAAAGGGCCTCTGGTTGGCCTCCCTGACATCTATCCTAGTCTCCTCATAGCTACTCTCTAAAATCAGTGATCCTCAAAGGTTAGCAAAGTATGGAGGGTGACAGTCAGAAGGGGAGGAAGGTTAGCACTCAATGAATATTCTTTAAAATTCACGTGAATCAGTTTTTTTAAAACTGCATATACACACACGCATAAGAATGAAAGTACATGATATATTTATATTAATAGGTATATATGTTTGTTGATATAGATATATAAATATAGTATCTATCTATCAATCTATCTATCCTATTGCTCTATTGCTTTGTGTGACTTTAGCTGCTTCTCCCCATTATTCTCAGGCATCTATGAAAAGAAAGGTTCTGTTCATGGGATATCTTAAAGATCACTGCTGCATGTGAGCTTCTAGACCTCACATGTAGCTTCTAGAACTTGTCTGTTTGAGATTACTGATTTGTCAGAGAGAGAGACAATGTTGACCTTTAATGTTATTGTCAGAGGACTGGAACTACAAGCAGTATATCTTCATTTATTCATTCACCATTCATTTAGTCATTCACCATTTATTCATTCATTCATTTATTCATTCACCATTAAACTTACAGTACATTACATTCACCATTAAATTTACATTATTTATTTACAAGTTAGGCACTGTACAAGGTGTTGGAGTTACAACGATCAAAACAAGGTAGTATATTCTCTGAAGAGTTCCTAGTTTATAGGAAAATATAGGCAGTGAGACAGGCAAATTTCAATACAAGGGAATAATTTTTATAGCAGAGGAGTGCTTAAGATACTTACTATGACCCCCCACAAAAAAGCAAAACATACTCTTTTATATGTGCCACATGAGATATGAAAAAGCAAAGACTGATTTTAGGGAGTAGTTTTGCTCAAAGAAAACAGGGCCTCAACAAAAAAAAATTCACCGCAGCAGAAAGTTGAAACAAAACAACTGAGTGTGTTTTTATTTTGCTTTTGAATTTTTTTTTAATTTCAGCTGTTTGGTTTTAAATCTCAGCTGAACCTTCCATGGGTCTATAGGATTTGGGAAGGGGAGAAGTGAAATTAGTTCTAGACTAGTTTGTGAAGGTGGCTTAGTTATCTACGCTTTGTGTGTTCTGAGCTTCCGTATCCAGAGGCACAGAGTAGTAAGAAAATCTCTTAAGAACACACAACAAGTAATATAAAGACTAAGGGGGAACAAATTGATCATTTTTACTTTACCCTCAAGTCCCACTGAGGGGAAAGGTAAGGCTCATTTCCGGCGAATCCCATAGAATAAGTGAGGAAAGCCATGCAGGACACAGCCCCCAAGCCTTTCTGTTAACCTGCTGCTTCTGGCTTGGGAAGAACCCCTGGCTCCCAACCACAGGGGCTGAAAGCATGAGGAGACAGGTGCTGTCTCACACATAAGCGGAAGACACCAGTGAATTCCTTATGGGGTTCCTAATCTGCAAGGGTTTGGGGAAACAGGGCAGTTAGAAGCCAGAAAGAATCAGAATCATGGGAGGAAGAAACAGCTAAGCTCCAGGCTGTTTCACTACCTCTGAGTGGCAGCTGTAATACACCCCTCTTGCCAGTCAAGTTGCAAAGGTGGAATGGCAGATGGAAAGCCCATCATCACATACTGCAATGCATACAAGTTTCGTAACCAGTAGCCCAGCTTTCTCTCCATAAGGATGGCGTCTTACCCTGTCTGATTTAAAAGACCTTGATGATGCTCTCTCCCACTCACCCTTGATGAGTTCAGCCTCATTCTTTGTCTGATTCACTTTGTTGGCTGAAGCAGGAGACAGCCCAGTCCTCCCTTCCCAGCCTCTCATGCCCTAGCAGCAGGAACCAGCTAAGAAAGGAGAAATCCTGATCCCAGCGGGGCTCTGGTGTAGCTGAGCCAACACCCACACAGCTGCTAGACAGGAAACACATCAGACAAGCTCTCTCTTCCCAAGGGAATTTGGCTCACCAGCGGCAGGATTCTCAGGCAAAAAAACGCGGAGACAAGGATCAGACATTTGGCTGCGTCAGGCTCCCTTACTGCCTTACATATATTTAGATGATTTCTGAGTCTTTCTAAAGCTACCACTGAGAGCCTTCGGTTCTTATTGTTATAAACAGAACGTCTGAGATTCTAGTAGCAACACAGAGATAGAAATGCAAAATTAAGCTTTCGAGGAGCAATACAGTATTGTTGGGAGACACACAGACACTCTGAGCACAAAATAAAAAATACATTGGCTACCAAGTCTATGAGATTATTCTCAGCTTCCCTAGTAATCAAATGCATGAAAATCAAAATATGATATGATACGATTCTCAGTTGACAAATATGAATGAATGAATGAATAAGTGAATGAATGAAAGCATGTATGCATGCAGAAGAAACATAATACCTAGTGCTGGTAAGGGTGTGGGGAAACAGGCACTCTCATGTACCATACAGGAGCAAAAATTATTCTACCCAAGTATGTTAATAACATGGTTGAAAAATTTAAAAATGCACAGAATGCCTATAGAACCCCTAGGGATTTATATTAAATAAATAATGCCATGTGTTATGGCACACACCTGTAATTCCAGCACCTTGGGAGGCTAAGATAAGCAGATCACTTAAGCTCAGGAGTTTGAGAACAGCCTGGGCAACATGGCAAAACCCCATCTCAACCAAAAAAAAAAAAAAAAATTTAGCTGGGCATGGTGGTATGCCCCTGTGGTTCCAGCTACTAGGGAGGCTGAGATGGGAGGATCACTTGAACCCGGGAGGTCGAGGCTGCAGTGAGCTGAGATTGCACCACTGCACTCCAGCCTGGATGACAGAGTGAGACACTATCTCAAAAAAACCTGTCAATTCACCCATCCAGCCATCCACCCATTCGTCCATCAATCCTTGGATAAATATATAGAGATAGGCAGTTTTTTATTATCTCATAATCTTTTCAAATTCTGAAAATGTTGAAAAAGAAACTTTAGGTTAATAATGGTACATTCCTATGATGTAATATTATTCAGGCTTTACAATGACAATGATGTTCTATCTGTATTTATTAATAGATCTTTGGAATTTAGTAGCAGGTAAATAAGTGGTTGTTTTCCATTTACCACCTTTTCTCAATAAAATGTTCTTTTTCTTTTTATTTTATTAGTCATGCTTTTATTTATGTTATATAAATAAGACATATTTATTTCAAATTCTAAAACATATTGAAAAGCATTTAAAAAATCATTCGTGATTCAACATCATTCGGAATGGAGTGTACTGTATATTTCTGTTGCACATCTTTTCACAATTTTCTTATGCAGTTACAAGAATATATTATGCATATTTTCTGTGATTGGAACAGATTATACATGTTTTGTACTCTAATTTTCTGATGAGTAATACATTATTAATATCTCTATATATTAATAAATACAGATGGATAGTAATGTTTAATCATACCTGAACCTCATAGTCTCCCTGAGGGTAAGTATGATTAAATACTATTATTCTTATTTATACGTAACCATATACAAGGCAGGCAATTTCATTATTTCACTTCACATAATTAAAAATTTTAAAATGAAAAAAACCTACCAACCAATAGAAAGCAATTCAAATTATTTATTAGAATTTCTTATTAATATGGGGAAAGACGAAATAAAAGATGTGATGAAGAAAACACACTATGAAAACTTTATACATAGCATAATATTAATTGTGAAAAAAATGCATACAAACTCACACACAAAAAGAGATAGAGGGAAAAAACAATCTACCAAAAGATTTATAGATGTTTTTTCAAGCTGAGAAATTTCAGGTGATTTCGAGTTCTACATTCATGTTTTTTCAACTTCAATATGAGAATAAGTTCATTTTATATTCAGAAAAATTTATAATGAGAAAATGTGATAATCCATGTAGTATTAATTTTAAGATTATAAACACACAAATGTGTAAATAAATAAATAAATACAAAATAAATATTTTCTCTTATTTAACTTTACTGAGGCCCAAGGTAGTCTGGTTTTGTCTCTAGTTTAGAAGATAAAGAGGGACGGGGGTGGTGGAGCCCTATATTCCTGGGATTTTATAGGAAGAGATCTGATGATATTTGCATGCTTACTTGACATAGGATCTTACTCTTGGCTGCACATTAAAATCACTTGGGGGACTTTTAAGGGTTACAGAATCCTAGGCTACATTCCCAAGAAATTCTGATTTAATTCGTTAAAAGTGGAACCCAGGCATCAGTATTTACAAAAAAAAAATTCCTTTTTTCTACTGATGTGTAGCCAGGGCTGAAAATAATTAGGTTATATCATTTAAATTCCCAAGGCTCCCTCCAAAAACTGTGTCAAATATCTCAGAGTGTCAGTGTTAGAAAGTCTTCCTCTTGAAACCTGCCGCATACATATATGTTCAATGGCTTGAGCTGAGCCTCCTTCTAAACTGGACGGTATTGTAAATGTGCTTACATTTCCCTGCTTATTCTGCTTTTTAAGTTTCTGACAATGCTCCGAAGGACAACTGGAGATGTTACAATTTTAATCCATTAAATAATTTCCTTAATATTAATTATTTGATTAGTGCTTAAAAAGACTTGGAAATTTTTACGGCTCTTGATGCTTTATATATTACTTTCTGAAGTGTTTCTATGGATTTCCATCATCCCCAATACATAGCAATTTACCAATTCACCACAAATTTAATATATCCAATTACTCCATCTCTCTGGTTTTGGTTATCATAGCAGATGAAAACATTCCATTTCTTTCCTCATTTCTGATTACTCTTTACTCTTTCTTACTTGGGACTTTTTTTTTTACTAATATATCTATTAAAATCTGAGATAATTTTTACTATAAATATGTACAAATTCTACTGGTATCAAATATCATCACCCGCACTGATGATTTTAAGCATTTTATTCTGAATCCAACTTTTAAATTTTGTTTTTATTTTACTATAGAGAAAATTTTCATTTTATGAGAGAAAAACTCTTAGATTTTTTCCTTTAAGGTTTTTTATCACTTTGAAACTTACAAGCACTTCCTCATCCAAAGATCTCATAAAGTGTTAATTCTATTCTAACTTTTTATGCTTAGATTATTTTATTATAAGCCCTTTATCCATCAGGGGTTTATATTGGTAGATAAATGCAAAGGATTTATTGTAATTTTCATTCCCTCAAAGATTAGCTAATTTTACAAATGCCATTTATAAAATGGCCCCTTCCATTCAATTACACAATGATAGTTTGAAGCCATATGGGTAAGTGCACATATGGATTTTCCCTCTCTCATTGACCCAGCCATCTAATTTCATGTAAGTACCACACTGTGTTAGTTTTGGCTACTCTATAATATCTTTTTATATCCAAAAGATCTAGCATCCTCTAATTCTTTAAAATATTACTTGACTTGTAATATTCAAACATGTTTTAGAAAAATTTTAATTTGTTTCAGGTATTTCCTTTTGATGATTTATTTAGGATTAGATAAAATATATGCATTAACTTGTGGACAAAAGATATGTTAAGCATATGGCTTTTTTGGATACATTGAAATTTCATAATACAGCCATCCCTTAGGGATCAAAGCAAAGGGTGATTACCTTGTGTCTCTGGTCAGGACTTAATTTTGATACTGTCCTCTTAGGACTGAATTTCCTGCCTATCAGAGGTCTAGGTTTGAGAGCTATAGAGAAAATATTGAGATTTTTATTCATAGTTTCTGACAGTGACATTAAACAAACAGAGCAATAAGAAATCAATGGCTGGCATTGGATTTAGATTTCACCTGCAAGCAAAGCAAGCAGTGCCGTGCTGAGCTCGGGTGCATAATCTTGCCTTGTGAACAAGAAAAGGGCCGAGGTGATTATGCAGGGCAGTCACGTTGGGGTGCCAGCCTTTTTCCTTGCTCAGTTCAAATATTATTGCTTTTAAATGTCAGTATATAACCATTGTAAGCATGTATATTTATGAAAACTCCTCTTTCCTAAGACATTTCAGGTAGACATCTTGGAGCAAGGTATATATTTAAATTTTAATCAGAACTGCAGGCACAGCAATGCTTCTGTTAGAGCTGAATTCTTTAGAGGAAGAGCACTAACTTTACTTGAGATCCCACAGTAGGTGTGGAACTGTCCTGGGCACTGCATATATGCAGCCTCATGTGATCCTCACAGATGCTTTGTGATGGAGGGATGTTTCTAAAGCCCCATTTTATAGGTGATGAAATTAAGTTTTAGCCTCTAGTGTTGAAGTGGGCCTTGAGGGTCACTCAGGTCACTGCCTTCACCATTCCCTGCTCACCAGCATCTTTAATATCTTGATAAAGTTCTAACAAAGTCTTTCTGAACACTTAGGTCTGAATGCCTCTGAGGGTGAGCAACTCATTCCTTTCCTTCCAAAGATGGTTCAGTTCATTATTGGATGCCTCTGATCTAACCATTTAAAAACAAACAAACAAAACTACAGTCTTTATATCAAACTAGATCCCATTTCCTTAAATTTCTGAACTTAAACACTATTTCAGCCTTCTGAAGTCAGGGAAAAAGGCCTATCTCTCTGCCCAGAAACAACTCAAAGGAATTAGAGGGGCTTATTCCCACTGAGTGGTAAACTCTCCATTTCATGAGATGCAGAAACTGCCACCAGCCCTGGTACTTCAACAGTTAGGAACCCAAAGTGAAGTGTCTGATTTTCAAGGCACCATGTTCTTCATAACTGGAAATATCAAGGAAATCTGGTTTTCCCCTAAATGTCAAAGCTTTCACAAAAAAAATCTCTGGACCTCACGCTTATCCCAGGGAAAGTGATGCCTCCACATCCATTTCTAACATCAGTGTGTTCCAGGAACAAGTTTCCTTTTAATTTCCTGGAGAGCTGAGGGAAGCCAGAAAGTTGTTTTTTAATCTCCTTTGCAACCTCTCAGGTTAGAGCTTTTCTATGTCTTGTTTGATATACATTTCAGTCCCTTGGAGAACGAAAGGATGATGTGTCTCTTAGCTGGTCTTCCTGAAATCTTATTTCTCTTGCCTCTGCTTGAAATAGGAGCTACAGACCAGGCCATTCAAGGTCATGCCCTCTAATGATGGCCTGGAATAACAGCATCAGGGTAAGGGATTTGATATCAGGAACTATCAACATCCAATCAGTACAAAAGTATTTTCTGAGTCCAGCTAACCATGTACTTTTCTTTGCAGCTGCAACTTCATTAAATGGAGGACTGAGTTTCCAACAAGAAAAGGTCAACATTTCCATTTGGGCATTCAAACATCTCCAAGATGGGCTTGAAGCTTTAGTGTTCTATTGATTCAGCCATCTCCATGCTGAGCACAGAACTTTGCCCAGAATAGATGGGCTGTGTCAATCAAAGCCCACCAGTGGGGTTATTTATTTTCAGTTTGATTCACAGGGCTATCAAATATCGAAACTGAAGGAGATCAAGGTAATTGTACTTCAGTTTAAATTTGCAAATGGAACTTTCACAACTGATACATTACTGAAGCTGAAATTCATGAGAAACTCTTTGAAATGACAAGGTTTTCTCCTGCTTTCATTTGGCCTGTGTTTACCAAACACTCACTAAATACAAAAACACTAAATTAGGGTCTCCAGAGGAGAAGCTGACTCTAAATTAAAAAAAAAAATGTAATTACGTGCCAAGTGACATGGAAATATAAAGTACTGCTGATCAAGGAGGGAGTCTATGATTTGGAACATAACTGAAAATTGGTGGCATTTGTTCATGCAGATATAGAAAATACTCTCCTGATAGAGGGAACAGTCCATCTGGTAGTTAAGTTTACCTAAATTATGTAAGTAATTAATGATAGCAACTTCTCAAATGAATGTCATACGTTTTGTGAAATTTTATGGCATTTAACTGCATCCTGAAAATGTTTTTATTTAAAAAGCTTATTTTTATATTACATATTTATATTTATTATCTTAACAACATGAACTATAATAAAGGTGTTATTAATTTTTAAAAACCTTGCATTATTGGAGTTATGTTTTTCCTTCAAGTGTTCTCCTTCTCATCTTCATAAGGTATATTTTGCCCCCTAAATGGATTGCACTGTCTCCCCAACACACACTTAAATCATGTCAGTCTTTCTGATGTTTTGAAAAGTCTTTGTTCTTCAAGTTTGCCTTTGTCCCTCCACTTCCAGATAATTTGCTTTAATTTTAAACATATTTAATTAGCAGTGAATGTATCAGGTCAACATTAAATAACATGATTCAATCACCTATAATATCAACCACATCCAAAGGCTATGTATAAACCTTTTAATAAAATGTTTTCCCTTTACTTTGTAAATGTGTTCAGATCTCTAGCATTTCTACATCCTTAGCATCTTAATTAATTCATTTTATACAATTTATATTTTACTTTTTAAAATTTTCTTACAAGAGATGAGGGGTCAATTTCTTTTCTTTTTCTTTCTTTTTTCTGTGAGATGGAGTCTTGCTCTATAGCCCAGAGTGGAGTGCAGTGGCACCATCTAGGCTGACTGCAAGTTCCACCTCTGGGGTTCACACCCTTCTCCTGCCTCAGCCTCCCGAGTAGCTGGGACTACAGGCACCCACCATCACGTCTGGCTAATTTTTTGTATTTTTAGTAGAGACGGGGTTTTACTGTGTTGGCCAGGATGGTCTCGATCTCCTGACCTCGTGATCCACCTGCCTCAGCCTCCCAAAGTGCTGGGATTACAGGCGTGAGCCACCGCGCCCAGCCAACGAGGGGTCAATTTCTATCTCTTTAAGTTTTTTTATTTTCTTTAAACTTTTCTTTATAGATGGCCAGTGTATTAGTCTGTTGTCATGCTGCTAATAAAGACATACCTGAGACTGGGTAATTTATAGAGAAAAAGAGGCTTAATGAACTCATAGTGGCTGGGAGACCTCACAATCATGGTGGAAGGCGAGGAGGAGCAAAGCCAGGTCTCACATGGCGGGAGGCAAGGAGAGAATGACAGCCAAGTGAAAGGGGATTCCCCTTATAAAACCATCAGATCTTATGAGACTTATCACTACCATGAGAACAGTACAAGGGAAAACCACCCCCATGATTCAATTATCTCCCACCAGGCCCCTCCTGCAACACATGGGAATTATGGGAGCTACAATTCAAGATGAGATTTGGGTGGGGACACAGCCAAACCATATCAGCCAATTCTGGCTTTCCTGACCCAGGATTTAATACTTATGTTTATACAAATTATATATAAATAATCTCTTCACATGATAATATTCATGAATACAGAATGAATCTATAAGGCAAATGTGATGAAGTACTAAATCTACATATGTAAAAATCCTGTAGCAGGAGGAGGAGAAAAACCTGAATAAAGCAATTCATTTTGTCCTTATGGCGTTGCTATGGAACACGAGTTACAGTGGCAACTATTTCTTCCATCCTTTATGTTTGGAAATTGACCATGTCTAATGGAATCACCAGCTCTTCCTGAGTGGTCCCCAAGGTGATGCATCAGGTATGTGCAGGAGCAGATCCCATGCCCTTTCCTGTACCTCCTCATTCTGAAGACTTCTGCTCACTCTCCAACAGTGACTCTTAAGGAGTCGGTCATGTCAAGATGATGACTCCATGCATGCCAGTCCTATGCTGTCCTCTGTCTTCCTTTCTTCCTTTCCTGGAATGTGCCCTTTTCTGAAATCTACGAAGGCTCACTGAGATATGCCTCTCAATGTTTGTGAAGATTGTGCTAAAAATCTAATTAGTGTAGAAGAGAATACTACCTATGTTTCTCCTCCTGGGGACATAGGCCACACTAACTTGCCTCTACAGAAACAAGCCAGGTTCCTCAACCCAGTTCTTTCCCACCCAAGATCACATCTTCCCAGGATGACTGACAGCTGGAGTGCTCATTCCCCTTCAGAAACGCTCTCCCCCATCCCCAGCACCACCTGCAGGAGAGTGGTCTGGTTAGGACCCCCAGTAGATGCTATCACGTACACAGACACTAGCTCACTTCTCAAAAATGAGTTGTTCAATCTCATCTCCCCACATGTGGGATGACTTCAGCCTTATCCGCATTTGGCTATAACAGTTCTCTTTACTATCTCCTCATTAATGGCTTCAGAAAATCTCCATGTCAATTACGTCTTTATCATGACCAAAGAGAAAGCAAAGTTGCACTGTAAACTGAACCACTAACTTCACCCTCTCCTTCCATGACCCTCCCAGCTAATCTTCCTTCTTGATTACTTTCTTTTCATGGCCTCGTAGCCTTAGCACATGCAAATATCAACCAACCATCATTGTCTGAGCACCTGTGCTGAACCTGGGCCTGAGAAGGCACTATGAATAGAACTAACTTTAAAAAGAGGGGTGAGAGGAAAGGTTCTGAAGGGAGATGCAAGAGAAAAAGAATGGCACATTTTCATTGGAGAGATGTGAGAAGATGTCATCGGGGTGGTATCATGGAAGTCAGATCTCAAACAATGGTGATAACCTGAGAATAAACAAATATTTATTTTTCAGGTATATGAAAAGAATAGTCTCGGTTTGTACAACACTAATGTAATTTTATTTCCTTTTATCTCTTTTGTGATTCCCTGGAGCTCATTCCATTAATTCTTACCTAGAGACTCTGGCATACTTTCTTTCTCTGTGTCTTAGTATTTATCTTTCTAAGAACTCCCACATACCACATGGGAATATAAATTGATGTGAATGTCTTACAAAGCAATTTGGCATTAATGGATCCAGAGTCTTAAAAATGTTCATACAAGGTTATTATGAGCCAGCAATTCCACTCCCAGAAATCTATCCAAATGAAATAACCTAAGACATAGGGGAAAATAAATATGTATAAATATATTTGCAAGAATATGCTTATTACACCATAGCTTCTCACTTTGTTGATATGATAAAAAACTAAATTGATAATAAAAGAAATGATTAAATGATAACACATCCATATGATGGACTGTTAGGCAGCCATTAAAATGGTGCTTATGGAAAACTGGTAACATAAAAAATACATATAATATATTGTTAGGAGAAAAATTCAAGCTATGGAATTATGCATAGAATATGATCATGGCCATGCAGAACTTGCATATCAAATGGATTATGAGCAAAAAAAGTAGAATGGGAGGGAAGAGGAGAAAGTGTCACAGCAGGATTGTTGTGTGGGTTGTTTTCACCCTTTGTTTCCACTTTACTAAATATTCTAGATACTCTTGAACAGACAGGTTCCTTTTCAAGGTATAATATTTGCAGTAATTTTTTGAAAGTACCTTGTAATCCAAAAGTGCATCTTCTTCCTCACCAGGGTGATGTATTGTGCAAAGGAACCCAGCTCAGATGTCTCCATTTGCTTTCCTTCATTATCGGACTTGTATCCTAATAAATTTCATGTTTGAGGCTTCTCAGCCCACACTGGCAGCATCAGTCACAGAGGTCAACTCACTTCCTCCCACCCTCTTCAGGGTTATTTCCACCCAGCCCACCCACAGAGCACAGAGAGTCTGGCTATTTTAATATACAATAAACATACATATTTCTGTCACTTGTCTGGTGTTCTTGATCTGCATTGGACTAAAAAGAAAATTCCAGTTGGCTCAATAAAAATTTTGTTCTTACTTCAGCTGTCACTTCTATCCTATCTGCCTCTCTCTTCTGGTATGCCCTGTGGTTTAATGTTGCACAAGCACCAATATCAGGTCTTTTTGAAAGGTCTCTGTACCATGCACTGCAAGCCCCTGTTATCCCAGCAAAGTTTTGCTGCAAGATTTCCATAAACTCCTACAATCCTTATGTAGCAATGCCAGTGCATTCTTTCCACTGCAGATGGTGTATTAGTCCGTTCCCATGTGGCTAATAAAGACATACCAGAGACTAGGTAATTTATAAAGGAAAGGTTTAATTGACTCACAGTTTGACAGGGCTGAGGCCTCAAGAAACTTATAATTATGGCAGAAGGGGAAGCAAGCATGTCCACCTTCACATCGTGGCTGCAAGAAGTGCAGGGCAAAAAGGGTAAAAACCCCGTATAAAGCCATCAGATCTTGTGAGAACTCATTCACTATCATGAGAACAGCAACATAGGGGCAACCACCCCCATGATTCAATTACCTCCCACTGGGTCCCTCCCATGACACATGGGGATTATGGGAACTGTAATCCAAGACGAGATTTGGGTGGGGACACAGCCCAACCATATCAGATGGCCTCTCTTTGTCACCTTTTACAATGATTGCTTCTGTAGGTCTTCCACTGCCAATACCTCTCATTTGCCAATACCTCTCATTTACTCCTGACCAACCAGCATAAGATTTAGTCCATTATTAAGTGAGATTGCCCCAAAGTCTCTTCCACAGTTCAGGATGCTGCTCGCACATATATAATCTGATGCTGGGCTCTTTCTTGTCTCTTTCTCTCTATTTGCCCTCCCTCTGAAAGAACTTCAGGATGGGCAATTTTACTTTATACACATAAGAAATTAACAAACATGTATTGAGTGCCTACCACATGAAAAGTATAGTGACAGCAGCAGGAAAAATTCAGAGGAAGAAAAATGGGTGTCCTTGTTCTCAGAGTTTGAACAGTCTAGT
This sequence comes from Homo sapiens, assembly GCF_000001405.40. Taxonomy (NCBI): domain Eukaryota; kingdom Metazoa; phylum Chordata; class Mammalia; order Primates; family Hominidae; genus Homo; species Homo sapiens. The sequence continues at coordinate 64,921,248 of NC_000016.10, forward strand.
AAGAGAGAAAAGGAGGTTTTGGTTAGCACCTAAACAAAAGGCATAGGATGTTATGTGATGCAAAGGAAGAAAGGGAGGAAAGGAACCAGCATTTATTAAGCCCCTCCCTTATGCTGAGCACATAAAAGTCTGCCACAGAGAAATAAAGCCGAAGATTTGAAAGAACTCAATAATTTTCTAGTTGTGTGCATAGAAGACTTCATAAAATCTCTTTCACATGTTTTGTGGGATCAGTTGTGATGTTGGAACCTTTATTGTTTCTAATTGTGCTTATTTGAATCTTCTTTCAATTTTTTCTTTGTTAGTCTAGCTAGTGGTCTTTTCTTTTTTCTTTTTTTCTCCTTCCTACTCCTCTTCTTCTTCCTCCTCCTCCTTCCCCTCCTCCTCCTTCCCCTCCTCCTCCTCCCCTTCTTCTTCCTCTTCTTCTTCTTCCTCTTCTTCTTCCTCTTCTTCTTCTTCTCCTTCTCCTTCTTTCTCCTCCTCCTTCTCCTTCTCCTTCTCCTTCTTCTTCTTCTTCTTCCTCTTCTTCTTCTTCTCCTCCTCCTTCCCCTCCTCCTCCTTCCCCTCCTCCTCCTCCCCTTCTTCTTCCTCTTCTTCTTCTTCCTCTTCTTCTTCCTCTTCTTCTTCTTCTCCTTCTCCTTCTTTCTCCTCCTCCTTCTCCTTCTCCTTCTCCTTCTCCTTCTCCTTCTCCTTCTTCTTCTTCTTCTTCTTCTTCTTCTTCTTCTTCTTCTTCTTCTTCTTCTTCTTCTTCTTCCTCTTCTTCTTCTTCTCCTCCTCCTTTCTCTTTCTCCTTTTCCTTCTCTTTCTCCTTCTTCACAGGGTCCCACTCTGTTACCCAGGCTGAGTGCAGTAGTGTGATCATAGTTTACTGCAGCCTCAAATTCCTGGACATACAAAATACTCCCATCTCAGCATGCACAGTAGCTGGGATGATAGCTGTGTGCCACCATGCCTGGCTAGTTTTTATGTTTTCTATAGAGATGGAATCTCACTATGTTGCCCAAGCTGATCTCAAACTTCTGGGGTCAAGTCATGCTCCCACCACAGTCTTTTCAAGTGTCAGGATCACAGGCATGAGGAACCTGCGCCCAGCCTCTAGGAGTTTATCAATCTCGTTTATTCTTTCAAATAATATGCATTCTTTGTATGGACTTTTGGGTCTCAATTTCAGTTAACTCCATGGCGATTTTAGTTATTTCTTTTTTTTCTGATAGCTTTGGTGTTAGTTTGTTCTTGTTTCTCTATTTCATCTATGTGTGATATTAGATAATTAGAGTTCTTCCTAATATTTTGAGGTAGGCATTTAGTGCTATAAACTTTTAGCACTGTTTTTGCTTTTCCAGAGATTTGGGTATTTTGTGAATCTGATTTTATTTATTTCAAAGAAATGTTTATTTATGCCTTTATTTCATTGTTAACCAAAAGTCATTCAGGAGCAAGTTAATTTCCATGTAATTGTGTGGTTTTGAGAGATCTTTTTGGTATTGATTTCTATTTTTATTCCGTTGTGGTCCGAGAGTATGGTTGATATGATTTTGATTTTTTTGAATTTATTGAGATTTGCTCTATGGCTGAGCATGTGGACAATCTTGGAGTAAGTTCTGTGTACAGATGAAAATAATGTGTATTCTGGGGTTGATGGGTGCAGTATCTTCTTAACAATTTCTTTTTAGAAGAAGTTCTTCGTTTTGATGAAGTACAATTGATCTAGTTTTTGCCTTTATAAATCTGGCTAAAAAAATCTCTGTTTAATCCAAGGTGACAAGTATTAATTCTTATATGTTCTTTGCCATATTTTGTAGTTTCAGGTTTTACCTTTATGTTTATTACACCTTTTGAATTAATTTTTGTAACAGTTATGAAGTGTGGTTTGTGGTTTTTGCATTTAGCTATTTTGATCTAGTTTTGATTTCAATTTGTTTACAGCTTTACTTATTCAAAAATATTTATTACTACTTTAATATTTAACATTTGATTTTGTTGTAATTTTTCTTCTAATATTTTCTTCATTTTTCTCTTTTGTTATTTATGATTATTATCATTATTACATTGAAATTGCTAATTCTTGGTTATTTTGACCTATACAACTAGAAATTTTTAAGCTAGGAGGTCCCTTTTTGTTAAATTGGTTTTTAACATTCTTCATGCATGTTGTAAATTGATTTTTTGTTTCATTTTTTTCTTCAATTACTTGTTTGCCTCCGAGTTGTCATTCTAAAACATAAATAGGATTTCAGCATTTAAATGTGAAGACTTGAAGGCATACCTTTTGAACGAATATATGAGAATTACATTCATGAGAAAACTATCATTTAGGTCAATAAAATTACTGTCACTTCTGCCCAAAAATTGTTACAAGATGAAGACATGGAGCAGCTATAGTTCAAGGCCTTATGGCAAAACAATTTAAAATTAGCTTTCAAATTTCCTCCTTTTTTATCAATTTGTAAAAATGAGCACTACCTCTTGAAAATGCAAGGTTGAATAATCAAACGTGTTCTGCAAGAGAAGCAAAAAAGTCAAAGTCTTAAGTATTTTGATATTAAAATCCAACATTTATTTTAGCAGAGAAAATAAGCTGGATTTTTCTAAAATGGGTCCTCATTGACATATCTATTGTTACATTAAGAAATATAAGTACTTATGCCTTCACTATTCCACCCAACCCTAACATTCCTGGGTTTGCTATGAGTATTTAGGACTTGAAAGAAAAAAAATCTAATCATTAGATTCTAGTCTAACTCCCTGTGTTATGTATAAGCAATTTCCCTAATCAGTAATTCTATAGCATCTCCTTAATGTCCCTAAATGTCACCATTAATGGGGAGCTTATTCTCTTCCAAGGGCATACGTTCCATAGTTTTTCTTTACACTCATTTTTTTATTATTATTATTACTCCCACCCCTAGCCATCTGGGACCACTTGGACATAGCCTAACTCCATCCCACAAGAAAGTCTTTGGGATTGTTGTTAGTAGTACATATATCCAGAGAGGTCTATTTTCTAATCTAACAAGACCCTGATGTTTGACTCTTAATCTTGAGAAATGGTTTTAAAACCCTTTACGACTTAGATAGATGTGAATTTGTCAGTGCTGTTGGAAAACAGATGTATTCATATCTACAAACAAATTCTAAAGTTATGGTGCAACCAGGGAAGACAGAAATTATCTCCTCTTTTATTTTTCTGAAGAAATAAAGAACTGTACTTGGAAAATAAAAAAAGATATTACAGTATATTAGTGCAATATTGAAAGTACTGTGCAGGTAGGCTAGGATAATGTCTGCAGGAACACATAGTCAGAACTTCTATCTGCTCAACATTCCTGTTTTATCCTCCGTGTTCTCTATGCCTTTTCTTTAAGAAAGCCATTCTGTTGGCAGAATTTTGGCTGCCCCTTCTACCTCACTCTGTGTGACCTAGGCATGTCAAACACTAATATGCCAATCTCTGCTCATTGGGATTAGAGATTGCCATGTACATCAAGGCAACCCAACCTTCTCTTGGACTTTGTTAGAACCATCAAGGAAGAGGTGCTCTTTTTTTTTTTTTTCATAGCATTATGAGCTTGAAGAATAATGGAAACCTGGAGCAGCTGAAGGCTGTGATCATTGGTTTTATGTGTCAACTGGGCTAAGCCATGAAATCCAGATATTTGATCAAGATTATTCTAAATGTTTCTGAGAAGATATTCTTTAGATGAGGCTAACATTTAATTTTTTCACATGAAACAATCTTTCTGATAAATCAATAGACAATCCTATTTATAATAGCGTCAAAAAGAATGAAATACTTAGGAATAAATTTAAGGAGGTGAAAGATGTATACATTGAAAACTGTAAAACATCAATCAAAGGAATTGAAGATAACAGAAATACATAGAAAAATAGTCACTTTTCATGGATTGGAAGAATTATGTCCACATTATCCAATGTGATATACAAACTTAATTCAGCTTTGTTACATAGGTATACATGTGCCATGGTGGTTTGTAGCACTTCCCATCACCTAGGTTTTAAGCCCCACATCTACTAGCTATTTGTCCTGATGCTCTCCCTCCCCTTCCCCCACACTGTCCCAACAGGCTCTGGTGTGTGTTTTTCCCCTCCCTGTGTCCATGTGTTCTCATTGTGCAACTGACACTTATGAGTGAAAACATGTGGTGTTTGGTTTTCTGTTCCTATGTTACTTTGCTGAGGATGATGACTTCCAGCTTCATCCATGTCCCTGCAAAGGACCTGATCTCATTCCTTTTTGTGACTGCATAGTATCTTTATAATGGAATGATTTATATTCCTTTGAGTATATACCCAGTAACAGAATTGCTGGGTCAAATGTTATTTCTGATTCTAGATCCTTGCTCTTAATACTGTTTTGGCTAAATCTCAGAGATTTTAGAAAGTTGTGTCCCTATTTTGATTAATTTTACAGAACTCTTTATATCTGCTTTAACTTCAGTGTACACCCAGGAGTTATTCAGGAGTAAGTTGTTTAATTTCCTTGTATTTGTGTAGTTTTGAGAGCTTTCTTGGGATCGATTTCTGTTTTTATTGCTCTGTGGTATGAGAGTGTACTTGGTGCAATTTCTTATTTTTAAAATTTGTTGAGTCTCACTTTATGACTTAGAATATATTCTATGTACAGATGAGAAGAATGTACATTTTGTAGTTGTTGGGTGGAGTGTTCTGTAGATGTCTGTTAGGTCCACTTAATCAAGTGTTGAGTTTAAGTCCAGAGTTTCTTTGTTAGATTTTTGCCTGTATAATTTGTCTAAAACTGTCAGTGGAGTGTTTGTCTTCCCCTATTATTGTGTGCTTGTTTAAGTCTTTTTATAGGCCAAGACGGAGCTATTTTATGAATCTGGGTGCTTGAATGTGGGGTGTGTATATATTTAGGATAGTTAAGGCTGCTTGTTGTATTGTACCCCATATCATTATATAGTGCCCTTCATTGTTCTACTTTATTTTTATTGGTTTAAAATCTGTTTTGGCCAGGTGTGGTGGCTCATGCCTATAACCCAAGCACTTTGGGAGGCCAAGATGGGAGTATTGCTTGAGGCCAGGAGCTTGAAACCAGGTTGGGCAACAAAGTGAGACCCTGTCTCTACAAAAAAACAAACAGCAACAAAAACAACAAAAAAATTACCCAGGCATGGTGGCATGGGCTTGTGTTCTCAAGTACACAGGAGGCTGAAGCAGGAGAATCACTTAAGCCCAGGAGGTTGTAGCTGCAATGAGTCATGTGTGTGCCACATGACACTGAACTCAAGCCTGGGTGGCAGAGTAAGATCCTGTGTAAAAAATTAAATAAATGAATAAAGTCTGTTTTATTTGATGTAATAATAACAACTCCTAATCCACTAGGCATTATTCCTGGGAGGCAAGATGGTTTCAACATGGGCAAAACAATGAATGTGATTCATCGCGTACACAGAATCAAAAGCAGAAACCACATGATCATCTCAATAGATGCGGAAAATGCTTTCAATAAATTCCAACATCTCTTCATAACAAAAACCCTCAACAGGCTAGGCCTTGAAGGGACGTATGACAAAATAATAAGAGCCATCTGAGACAAACTCATAGCCAACATCACACTGAATGGGCAAAAGCTCAAATCATTTGCCTTGAGAACTGGAGCAAGACAAAGATGCCAATTTTCACCACTCCTATTCAATATAGTACTGAAAATCCTAGCCAGAGCAATCAGACAAGAAAAAGAAATAAAATGTATCCAAATAAGAAAATGAGAAGTCATGCTTTCTCTTCACTGACGATATGATTCTAGACCTAGAAAATCCTAAAGATTCTGCCAAAAGTCTCCTAGTACTGGTAAAGTTTCAGGACACAAAATCAATGTACAAAATCTGTAGCATTTCTATACACCAATAATGTCCAGGCTGAGAGTGAAATCAAGAACACAATCCTACTTCAATAGTCACAAGAAATGAAATACTTAGAAACACAGCTAACCAAGGAGGTGAAAGATCTCTGCAAAGCAAACTATGAAACAATGCTGAAAGAAATAAGAGATGACACACATAAATGGAAAAAATTCCATGCTCATTGATTGGAAAAATCAATATTGTTAAAATGGTCATACTTCCCAAAGCAAATTACAGATTCAATGCTATTTTTACCAAACTATCAATGTCATTTTAGAATAGCTAAAAACTATTCTAGAATTCATATGGAACAAAAAATCAGTGTGAATAGCCAATCCTAAGCAAAAAGAACAAAGCCAGAAGCATCATACTACCCAACTTCAAACTACACTATAAAGCCACAGTAACCAAAACAGTATGGTACAGGTACAAAAAACAGACACAATGGAACAGAATAGAAAACTCAGAAAGAAAGCTGCATACCTATAGTCATCTAATTTTTGATAAGGCCTACAAAAACAAGCAATGGAGAAAGACTCTATTCAAAAAATGGTGCTGAGATAAGTGACTGGCCATCTGAAGAAGATTGAATTTGGACCCTTACCTTTCACCATATAAAAAAGTTAACTCAAAATGAATTTAAGCTTTAAATGTAATACCTCAAACTATAAAAATCCTGAAAGACAACCTATGAAACACCATTAAGGACATTGGCCTAGGCAATGAAATTTCAACTGAGTTCCCCACAACAATTGCAAGAAAAACAAAAATAGACAAGTAGGACCTAATTAAAGAAGTTCTGCACAGTAAAAGAAACTATGAATAGAGTAAACAGACAACTTACATAATAGAAGAAGATATCTGTAAATTATGCATCTGACAAAGTTCTAATATTCAGAAACTATAGGAAACTTAAATCAACAGGAAAAAAATAACTTCATTAAAAATGAGCAAAAGACATGAACAGACACTTCTGAAGAGACGATGTACAAGTGGCCAACAAATATTTAAAAATGCTGCACAACAACTAATCTTCAGAGAAATGCTAATCGAAACCACAATGAGATACCATCTCACACCAATCAGAATGTCTATTGTTGAAAAGTAAAAATAAAATAACAGAGGCTGGTGAGAATGTGGAGAAAAGGGAATTGCTGATACACTGCTGGTGGGAATATAAGTTAGTTTAGCCACTGTGGAAGGCAGCGTGGAGATTTCTCAAAAAACAGAACTACCATTAGACCTAGCAATTCCATTAATAGGTATATATCCAAAAAAATATAAGTTATTCTACCATGAAGACACATGCACACGTATGTTCATCACATTACTATTCACAATAGCAAAGACATGGAATCAGCCTATATGCCCATCAATGGTGGAGTAAATAGAGAAAATATGGTACACATACCCCATGGAATACTATGGAGTCATAAAAGAGAATGAAATCATGTCCTTTGTAATAACATGGATGGACCCACAATTGTAAGTGAATGAACGCAGAAACAGAAAACCAAATATCACATGTTCTCACTGTAAGTGGGAGCTAAACATTGAGCACAGATGGACATAAATATAGGAACAGTGACAATGTGGACTACTACAGAGTGGACGGGAGTGTAGGATAAAAAACTATTTATTAGGTACTATGCTCACTACCTGGGTGACAGGATCTATACTCCAAACCTTAGCATCACAAAATATTCCCATTTAATAAGCCTGCACATGTACCCTTGTATCTAAAATAAAATTTGAAATAAATAAAATAATGTTGAGCATACTAAATATCTACATGCAAAAAATGAAATGGAACTCTTATCTTACACCACACATAAAAGTCAACACAAAATGGCTAAAAGATCTAAATATATGACCTGAGAATGCAAAACTCTTAGAAGAAAACACAGGAGAAAAACCTCCTTGATATTGACTTTGGCAATAATTTTTAAAAATATTCCATCAACAGTTCAGGCAACAAAAGCAAAAATAAACTAGTGAGACTACATCAACCTAAAAGCTTTTGCACAACAAAGGAAACAATCAACAAAATGTAAAGGGAGCCTATGAATTGGGAGAAATTTGCAAACCTTATATCTGTTAGGAGGTTAATATCCAAAATACATAAAGAACTCAGACAACTCTATAGCAAGAAAACAAATAACCCAATTAAAACATGAACAAATGACCTGAACAGAATTTTCTCAAAAGAAGACATACAAAAGGCCAACAGGTACATTTAAAAAAATGCTCTGCTTAGTATCACTAACCATCAGGGAAATATGAATAGTATGTTAATTTATTGTTACACTGCTATAAAGAAATACTTGATTCTGGGTAATTTATAAAGAAAAGAGGTTTAATCAGTTCACAATTGTGTGGATGCACAAGCTTCTGCCTCTGGTGAGGCCTCAGGAAACTTACAATCATAGTGGAAGACAAAGGGGAAGCAGTCACATCTTTCCATGATGGAGCAGGAGACACAGAGCAAAGGGAGAAGTGCTACACACTTTTAAACAACCAGATCTCATTTAAACACACTCACTATCATAAGAACAGCAAAGGGGAAGTCCACACCATGATCCAATCACCTATAGTCAGACCCCTCCTCTGACACTGAGGATTCGAATTTGACATGAGCTTTGAGGGGAGACACAGAGCCAAACCATATTATTCCACCCCTGGCGCTCCCAAATCTCATGTCCTTCTCACATTTCAAAACACAATCATACCTTCACAACAGTCCCCGAAAGATTTTACTCATTCCAGAATTAACTCAAAAGTCCAAGTCCAAAGTCTCATATGAGAAAAGGCAAGTCTCTTCCACCTATGCGCATGTAAAATCAAAAACAAGTTAGTTACTTCCAAGACACAAATGGGGGTACAGGCATTGGGTAAATGCTCCTATTCTGAAAGGGAGAAATTGGCCAAAACAAAGGGGCTACAGGTCCCATGCAAGTCTGAAGCCCGGTAGGGGAGTCATTAAATCTTAAAGCTTAAAATAATCTCATTTGACTCCATGTCTCACATCCAGGCCACACTGATGTAAGGGGTGGGTTCCCAAGGCCTTGGGCAAATAGTGTATTTTTAAAATGTTAAGCATCACAAATCATTAGGGAAATACAAATTAAAAGCACAATGGGATATCACGTCATACCTTTTAGATTGGTTATCATAAAAAAGATAAAAGGAAAGGGTGTAGAGAAAAGGAAGCTCTTATATGCTGTTGGCGGGAATGTAAATTGATATAGCCATTATGAAAAATATTATGGAGGACCCTCAAATAATTAAAGATAGAACTACCATATGACCCATCAGTCCCTCTGTTAGGTATATACCTAAAGGAATTAAAACCAGCACCTCATAGAGGTGGCCATATCCCCGTATTCATTGCAGTTATTTGCAATAGCCAAAGTACGGAAACAACTGAAGTGTCCACAGACAAATGGATAAAGAAATAATAAAGAAATTGTGGTGTACACACAGACACACACGAAGAAATTTTATTCAGCCTTAAAGGAGATATTGCCATTTGTGGAAAAATGAATGAAACTGGAGAATATTATACTAAGCAAAATAAGCCAGACACAAAGAAAAATACTGCATGATCTTACTTATATGTGGAATTAAAAAAATAGGGAGAATAAATAGAAACAGAGAGTAGAATGATAGTTACGAGGTGTATTAGTCTGATAATACACCTGGGTACCCGAGACTGGGCAATTTACAAAAGAAAGAGGTTTAACCGGACTTACAGTTCCACGTGGCTGGGGAAGCCTCACAATTATGGTGGAAGGCAATAAGGAGCAAGTCCTGTCTTAGGTGGATGACAGCAGGCAAAGAGAGAATGGGGGAGACACAAAAGCAGAAACCCCTGATAAAACCATGAGAACTTGTGAGACTTATTCACTACCATGAGAACAGTATGAGGGAAACTGCCCCCATGATTCAATTATCTCCCACTGGGTCCCTCCCACAACATGTGGGAATTATGGGAGTACAATTCAAGATGGGATTTTGGATGGGAACACAGAGCCAAACCATATCATCATGGGTGGAAATGGGGAGAAGTAGGTCGAGGATACACATTTGCAATAACGTAGGATGAATAAGTTTAGCAATATAAAGTAGAGCCTGAGAGCTATAGTTCATAATATTATATTGTATAGTGAAATTTTGCTGAAAGAATATCTTTGAGGTGCTCTTACCACGTACACACACACACACACACACACACACACGTGGTGTGCGTGTGGAAGATGATGAATTTATAGTAATCATTTCACTGTGTATATGTATATATCAAAATATCATACTGTAAACCTCAAATATGTTCAATAAACATAAATTTTAAAACAAGAAAAAACATTTTAAAACAAGAAAAAAACATCTAAATTAGTAGGCTTTGAGCAAAGCAGATTACTCCATGTTGTGGGTAGGCTTCGTCCAATCAGTTGAAGTCTTTAATAGAAAAAGACTAAGCTTATTGTTAGAAGTAAGAATTCTTCGTGCAGACTGCCTTTGGACTGGCACTGCCATTTTTCCCTTCCAGCTGCCACAATCTGGTGAGTTCTGACTAATGCAGGCCAACCTTTCCTCCACGGGGAGGAAGAATAAACACCCATACAGACATGGGAATGTGCACATGTATACATGTGAAAGCAGTTTATAAACTTAAACTGTAATCAAGATACATACATGATTGCGCTACAGAATTTCACCCACTTCCATTTAAACACGTCACAAACATTTTCTATGTCATCATGTTAGTAAATCATTTTTGAATCATCATTTTGTTTTTTATTTTTGAATTTTTAAAAATCATTGCCTTATTTTTAATTATGATGGGTACCTAAGAGTAGTATATATTTGTGGGGTACATGGGATGTTTTGATACAGGCAAACAATGGGTAACGATCAATTCAGGGCAAATGGAGTATCAATCACTTCATTTATCATTTATTTGTATTAGGAACATTCCAGTTCCACTCTACTAGTTATTATAAAATATGCCATAGATTATTGTTAACTATAGTCACCCTTCTGTGCTACCAAATTCTAGATCTTATTTACCCTTTCTAACTTTGTTTCTGCACCTATTGACCCTCCTCACTTTATTCATCCCTTTCCCAAACTCTAGTAACTATCCTTCTCCTCTATCTCCACGTGATCAATTTTTAAAATTTTCACCTCCCACATCTGAGTGAAAGCATGTAATATTTGTTTTTGTTTTGTTTTTTGTTTTTTTCTTTGAGATGGAGTTTTGCTCTTGTCACCCAGGCTGGAGTGCAATGGTGTGATCTTGGCTCACTGCAACCTCCACCTCCCGGGTTCAAGTGATTCTCCTGCCTCAGCCTCCTGAGTAGCTGGGATTACAGGTGTACGCCACCACACCCGGCTAATTTTTGCATTTTTAGTAGAGATGGGGGTTTCAGCATGATGGCCAGGCTGGTCTCGAACTCCTTACCTCAGGTGATCCGCCCACCTTGGCCTCCCAAAGTGCTGGGATTACAGGCATGAGCCACCGGGCCCGGCTGATATTTGTTTTTCCATGCCTGGCTTGTTTCACTTAACATAATGTCCTCCAGTTCCTCTATGCCGTTGCCAATGAATCATCACTTTTAATAGCTACATATTAATTTACGAGTAAAATTTGCCACATTTACTTAACTCATATCATGTTGCTGGACACTTAATTTGCTTCTGATACCACTGACCACTCTTGTGAATACATATATGCAAGTACTTTTTCCACATTTGGATTATATCCAAATATTTGGATGTATTTCTATATTTGAATGATGTCCAAATATAGGTAGATAAATTCTCAGAGGTAGGATGACTGCTCTTGAGGCCATTGAGCTTAGGATTCACATTTTCAAATTGATTTTCCAAAGAAGAATACCAATTTACACTTCGGCCATCAAAACATTAACGTTTGTTTCTCTGAGTTCTTGCCAGTACTAGTATTATAATTTTAACTGTTTTGTTTGTTTTTATCGTGGTTTCTTTGAAATGTAGCAGTTGAAACACTACCTTAGTCTAGTATACATTTATTTCATTACTCATGGTTGGTAGAGATATAATTTTTCTGGGTTGTTTCTAGTCTGTTGCACTTACTCTTTTGTAGTTTGTTCATAATATTTACTCATTTTTCTGTTAGTGCCTTATTGATTTATGTGAGCCATCTGGACGTTAAAGATATCATCCCCTTTCTTGCTATATTTCACTCAAATATTTTCCCTTCTCTTTATTTTGCCTTTCCAGTTCAGTTTCCTTTGCTCTTGGTATTCCCATTGCTTGAAATGTTCTTGCACCAGATGTCTGTGTGATTAGCTGCTTAACCTCTTCAGGACTTTACTCAAATATCACCTTCTCACAGAGGCCCCTTTTGGCCAGGCTGTATAAAACACGAGCACCTTCTCCCCAAACTAAAGATCTCTTTCCACTCTTTTCTCTCCTTAATATTCATCACTATTTAACTACATATACCTTTAATTATAACTGTAACTATATATGTATGTGTGTGTATGTAGACAGATTTTTTTAACCGATTTGTTGTAAAAGGGGGCCTATTTTCTGACCCTTTTTATGACACCCCCACCAGAATGATATAGCAGAATATTATCATTCAATACTAATTGGAGCTGATTTGCTTTATATTTTCATTTCCACTCTCTCCCATTTTAAAATGGATGCCAGAGTGTTTTATATTTCTTGCCTCAAGGATATTTGCCCTGCAGAAAGCAGACATAGCCTGAAGTCAAATAGCTTTTCAACATATTTTATAAAAGATTAAATCCAATAAGATAATAGCAGTGAGAGGGAAAATGTTTAATGCTCGACCTCCTCTCTCAGCTAAGACAAAGAGATGTAATGTCCATCTGACTGAGCTGACCCATAGTCGGCTCATTGGCAGAACCCCAGGGAATCAGGCATCTGTCAGAGGAGATGGAATGAGGTGGTGTGTAGCCAAGACAGGACTCTGTTCACTGACAGCCAACCCCTGAGAGGAACTACTTCATCTAAATGTGTCAGGCTTGACTGGGGACATGAAGGAAATATTTGAATGGGATAATAAACTAAGGCTCTTTTTGATCATCTCCAAATAAAAAAAGTTTTATCTGTTAACTGTAATAGGCTTATTACTGTTATTTTAAACTGAATTAATAAATACATATTTAATTTTTTCAACCCTAAATGATAAAGGCAAAGACCAATAAATAGATATAACAAACAGATACAAGATCTCTTTGGGGTTCTCATTATTTTTAAGTGTGTAAAGGGATCCTAAGACAAAAAAAAATGAGAATCTTTGTTTTTCATCCTCTGATTAAAAGCTTGAAATTTTTAGATTGGTAAGAAACACAGTAGTTGGCCAGGCATGATGGCTCATGCCTATAATCCTAGCACTTTGGGAGGCTAAAGTGGGCAGATCACTTGAACCTAGGAGCACGAGACTAGCCTAGGCAAAATAATAAGACCTCATCTCTACAAAATATACAAAAATTAGCTCAGTGTGGTGGTGCATGCCTATAGTCCCAACTACTTAGGAGACTGAGGTGGCCTGAGCCTGGGAGGTGAAGGTTACGGTGAACCGCGATTGTACCACAGCACTCCAGCCTGGGCAATGGAGACCCTGTCTCAAAAAAAAAAAAAAAAGAAAAAAGAAATAAAACAAACAAACAAACATTTTTTAAAAACACAGCAATCATGCTATCTACAAATAACCTGTTTTCGAGGAAAAGATATACATAATTTAAAAGTTAAAGAATGGGACATCATGCAAAATAGCATCTCATGTAAATACTAAGAAAAAATTGGCTAAATGAATATCAGATCAAAGAATATTACCAGAGATAAGATATTATGACTGCCTTATGTATATTCACCTTATAAAAGAGTTTCAAAATACATGAAGTAAAAATAAATAGGACTAAAAGAAGAAATGGAGGAATCCACGATTATAGTTAAAAATTTCAACAGTTCTCTCTCAGTCATTCATAGATCATTAAAGAGAAAATTGATAAGAATATAGCAGACTTGAACATTATCTACCAATTTTAACTAATTAACATTTGTAGAAAGTCCATCCAATAAACATACTTCCAAGCACTCATGGAATGTTTAGCAAGATAGGCCAAACTTTGGTCCCATAACACAAGTCACAAAAAAATCACAAACATCAAAATCACAGAGTATTTTCTCTGATCACAATGAAATTAAACTAAAAATAAAAAACAGAAAGGCATATAGAAAATCTTTAAATATTTGACATGAGTCAATAAAGAAATCCCAAGGGAAATTATAAAATATTTGAACTAAATGAAAATGACAAAGCAGCATATCAAAATTGTAGATGCAGGTAAAACAGACCTTGGAAGGAAATTTTTAGCATTAAATGTTTATACTAGTAAGACAGAGAGGTTTAAAATTAATAGTCTAAGCTACTGGTTTAAGAAACTAGACAACAAACACCAAATTAAGGGCAAAGTGGGAAGGAAGAAATCATAAAAATAAAAAGAGAACTCAGGAAAATAAGAAATGGACAAGCAATAATGTCAATGAAATCAAGGGCTGCTCTTTCAAAAATACAATAAAACAAGATACATTTCTAGACAAATGGACAGAGAAAACAAATAAAAAGCACAAAATACTAGCAAAATACAAGACACAAGTCCTTTGGATGCCCTCTAAACACTAAATGGAAAATAAGGGGATATTGTGAACAGCTTCATGCCTTTAATTCAATAATGTGGATAACATAGACAAACTCCTTGAAAGACACACGGTATCAAAACTTACTCAAGAAGAAACAGGTAACCTGAATAGCTTCATATCTAGTAAATAAATTGAATTTGTAGTAAAAAGCCTTCCCATAAAGCAAACTCCAGAACCAGATGGCTTCCTTGGTGAATACTCACACACAGTTTAAGTGGAAAGAATACAAATTCTACATGAGCTCTACCAGAAAATAAAAGAGGAGGGACCACTTCTCAAGTAATCTTAAGAAAACAGAATCAACCTGAATCACACAAGGACTTACAATAAATGAAAAGGACAGTCCAATACACTTCATTAATATAAATGTAAATACCTTCAATGCAATTTTAGCTAATCATGTACAGAAACACATTGTTAAAATGACTAATATACATATTATGACCACATGAGTTTTGTCTCAAGAATGCAAATTTGGTTGAAATTTGAAAATCAAGCAATTAAAACTTGTACTACTTGACTTCAAAATTTTGTATAAAGCTATAGTAATTAAGGAAACATTGTATTGGTGTCAGGATAGGCATATAAATCAAGGAGACAGAAAAGCAAATCAAGAAATAGACCCATGCTTACATGGTTGATTGTTGTTGTTTTTAGCAAAGATACCATGGTAATTCACTAAGAAAAGGATGTTGTTTTTAATGCAATCCTCACTAAGGAGGACTTTTCTGAGGATACATACGAAGAATAGGGTTTTCAATAAAGACTTGTAACAGTTGAATATCTGTATGAACATATTCTGATCCTTATCTCACACTACCTACAGAAATAATTTGAAATTTTTTACATAAAATCAGTGGAAAAAATCAAAAAAGAAAACTATCACACAGGATTCAATGACATAATTTTCTGGTATGTATTATTAAAGCATATAAGTTTAATATCAAATATCAAACAGGAAAAAAATTTCAGCACGTATTAAACATCATGATTCAGAATCTCAACAAAAAAAGAACTCTTGTAAATGCAAAGAAAAAAAACTGACATGCCTCAAAAAAGGATAAAGAATATTACAAGGTAGAAATCTAATAAATGAAAGAAATATGACTTTAAAAATTTGGAATGCCAAAACTGTGATAGTGTCTTGACATATGTAGTCATGTGCATTGCTGGTGAAAGTAAAAATGGGAACAATTTTTCTAGAAAAAATTGAAAGCATGTATTCAAAATCCAAAATTTAGTGTTTATATGCTTTGACTCTCAATTTTGCTTTTCAGAATCTCACTTTTTGGAATCCAGCCAAAGGAAATAATCAGAGCTATACACATTGCTTTATGCACAGGTATGTTAATTTTAAAATGATGTATAACCTTATGAGGAAATAATCTATTTGCCATTATAATTATAACTGCTTGCTTCTATGTCCTTTGTAATTACAGGTTTGAGTTATATACCTGTGTCAGTACTTAATTATCACCTGAACATCCACACTAGAACTTAATTCATATGAAGATAGGGACTTAGTCCATTTTGCTACTGGTGTTTTCTTTGGTCCCTGATGAGTGTCTGGCTTATAATAAGATATTTCTTTAATATTTGGTAATTTAGTGATCAAATAAGTAGTGATTCATCCATATTCCATATGGAATAGCAATTCAAGTAAGGGTTAAAAAATCTGTTTTCATATTGAACATGCTCCTATGTTAAGTGAAACATACAGAACATTAAATTGTACAAACAATATGAATGTACTATGCACTTTTTTTTGTTTTTGATACTGATATATCTTGGGGAAAGGGTTAAGGTTATTTTTAAAAATTGGTCTTAAAATTTAAACCTTCAAAAAGGGTAGAGGTTTGATATGTGGAATATTTATCTCAGATTATTGAGATGGAGAATGACAATTAAGGTTTTCCTTTTCTTTCCCTTTTCCTTCCTTCCTAGAGTAGGTTAATCATCTTTCTGCACTTGTGGGGAAAGTCTCTATGGGCCATTGAAAACCTATTACACTGTTAACACAGTGTGGGATAAAATCTTTTGTAGCATAACCATATACATTTTTATCCATATGAGTCAAATCAGAGGATAAAAAAGTGTGCACTATTAAAAATTACTCTAGAACTACAAACAAAAACTGGGGCTGTCTTGGGGAAAGCTAGGACATGCAGTCACCAAGGTTATCGACCATACCCATGAAAAGTGCCCTGCACCTACTCATTTCTAATAAATAAATAAACAAAAAATATGGCATGGTTATGGGATATTTGGATCCTCAGGACTTCAATCATTTTGACAGAAAAAAAAAATCACAAAAGAAATAATTTCCCCAGAGTCACTTGCATTTTGAATATATTCTTTAAGTTTATCCATAATAGCAAACAATTAAAAGGTAAATCACAACTAATAATAAATGGAGCCAATTTTTGAATAGCATAGAAAATTAATAAATTGTCTACTTCATCTTTTAATGTGGGAATCATGTGAATGTTACAAGGATTACAGAAAAGAGCAGGTGTTTAAGAGCAGCAGAATGACTAGGACTATTTCAGTTCCCTTTCTACCAACTAATCTGAGTTGAATAATCCATTATAGTTAAAACAAAAATATATTATATTAACTAAAACTTCACCTCATGGCAAAGCTGTCCACATCCTGTGGATTATTAGAGTGGGAGTTTGAAGGTTTCTTTCATTTAAACACCCAAGCCCTAAACAAAATGTCTGGAACAGTTCTTCATGCAACTCACCTAAGGTCTGTATTCTGTTAATCTAGAGCCTCTCCTTGAGCACAGAGGATACCTTGTTTTTTATGGTCCTCTAGCTGTTTGCAGGCTGGAAAAGCAAGAGGGAAAATCCTATTACATGGTCAGCAGCTGCCGATCAATCACACACCTGAATCTGAAATGTTTGTGTTCTGGGAGAGAACGTAATAATACTATAGCCTCTGTGATCTTCATTTGGTTCACAATATCATCCCTATTAATGAATAGGACTGAAAGAAAAAACTAAATGAAAATTCTCACTCAAATCCATAAATTAAAAAGTCTAATGTTGATAACACTCATTGCTATTCACTTGTTCGATCAAAAATTGTTTATTGGACCCTAAAATTCTGCAGGCACTGTTCTAGGTTCTGGGTGTATAAAAGTCAACCACAGAAAGCCTCACTGTCCTCATGAATGTTTTGTTATAATATGGAGGGCGTGCATATGATAAACAAATACACAGGTCTCAATTATGATATCAGGTAGAGATAAGTGCATTGAAATAAAATAAATGAGACAAGGGGTTAGAAAGGGACTCAGGAAGAAAGGGTGTTATTGAAGGTGGTCAACAAAGGCCTTTCTGAGGAGGTGACATTTAACTAGAGCAAAGGTACATATGAGGGAAAAGGCACGCCTGTATCCGGGCAGAATAAAGCGCCTGTTAAATAGTTCTAGTGTTCCATGGACCCACAGAGGGGAACAACAGACACTGGAACCTGTCAGAGCATCAGAGCATGGGGGGTGGGAGGAGGGAGAGGATCAGGAAAAATAACTAGTGGGGACTAGGCTAATATCTGGGTGACAATCTGTACAATAAATCCCCGTGACATAAGTTTACCTATATAACAAAGCTGCACATGTACCCCTGAACTTAAAATAAAAGTTAAAAATAAAAAAACCAAAAATTTAAAAAATTTTAAAAATTCTAATGTTCTATGCCACTGTAGGGTGACCATAGTTAACAATAATATTTTATATAGTTTCCAGTGGCTAGAGAGAGAATATTGAATGCTCCCAACACAAAGAATTGAAAAACGTTTGACATGATGAATATGTTAATTACCCTGATCAGATCACTATATATTACATATATGTAAATATCACTATGTACACCCCGCTAACATATACAATTTATGGTCTCTCAATTCAAAAAAATATAATAAAATGAAGAGCTGACTCAATTTCTGGTAACTCCCTTTACAGTTCAGGCTTTGAAACTGACAGCTCACCAGCAGGAGATCCATCTTTTCTTTCCAGATTCTCTTCTTGGTCCTCTGCCTCTGGAAGCAGGTTAGTTTACCTTCTAGAACTTCAGTACTCTCATTCATAAATTAGTTGGGTAGACACCATCGGTTTTGGCTGAGTTCCCAGGGCAGTTCTGAGTTCAATATCACCCTTCTTTCCCACACCAGCATATTCAAGTAACAGACATACTTTTATTTCCTATGTGTGTATCTGTAAATAACTCATGTGTATCTAAACAAATGTATTTAAGAGGAAACATTGTATTATTGTTATGCAAACTTTCTCATGGCATGGAAGATAACTGTACAAATAAATACATGGAAAGAAAATAACTTTATTAAATTCTTACTAGACACATTTGCTGCTGAAGACTTTAAGCTTGAGATCTTATTTCCATTTCAAAAAAGGGGATTTTATAGTGGTTAGACATTTAATCCCAAACTGGGTCTTATCTCATCAGAATGAATAATAAAAATTTTGCCAATACCTCTTGGGGATCCACAATTATTTACCAAGCATCTACAACATATCAGGCTCTGTACTAGGCTCTGGGGTACCTTGTAAAAAGAAATGTCTTTGCTCCTAATGGCCCTCATTCTAAATAGAAAAATAGATTGAAAATAAAACATGGAAAAGAGAAGAAATCACAAACAAAAAAATACATACTTGGCAAATAATAATAGAAGAGCAATATGGCAGACAGGGATTAGGGGGCTGCTTCAAATTGGATGGTCAGAGAAACAGCCAGCTAAGAGGGAAGGAATTTCAAACAGAGGGACAACTCTGCGCACATCACACTCTTAGTATTTCAAAGAGAATGCCTTTGTCCTTTTAAAATGTATTCTTATTTAACATCACTTAAAACTACCTCTTCTAACCACCAGAGATGCAGAAATTTGTATTTCAAACTTGGAAAATACTAGACTACAGGGATCAAGGTTCCTCATAGTCTAGAACTTTGAGGAATGACTGTTTCGAAGCTCCTGATGACAATGTAGTGAAATCCCCTAGGTTAGGCTGGGAGAACCCCTTGGGTCACAGTCCTTACACAACAAAGATGCAATATCTATCTTTTAGATATTATTATATTTTAGATGTAGTTTAAGGCCTATCCTGGGGCTACTAGATAAAAGTCTTCAAAGGAGAAGCCGAAAGGTACCTTAATTTCACTTTTGGATCTGAGGCTCTCTTCTAAGTCATTTGCGGATCCAGTTTACAGTAGGAAAAGTATAAGTAACAGCAAAAACAGCAACAATAAACTCATTCATTTGTGCAGCTAGTTATATATTTACTTTTATTTTCCTATTCTAGGTCAATAATTTCTAGCATTCCAATCAGAGATTACATATGTCCACCATATGGATAAAGAAAATGAGACACACAAAGAAGATGACCTTTCCAATGCTAGCAAGTCATACAGATTATCTGATGCCACTTTCATGATTTGCTTAGTGCATTGGGCCCCGATTTGATCTGAGGGTGTGCTGGGTGACTATCAAGGTAGGATATCTAATCATGTGAAATCTAAATCCGATGCATTATCATGGTCTTATCAAAACATTGGGAGGTGGAGGGAGGGAAGGTGCCCAGGTGAATTCTCACTTATAGATTTCTAGTAGTTTAGAATGCTGTAATGCCTAGGACGTGAATTTCCCTTTACTCATCTGACGCTGTTGTCTTGCCCCTAACATTTACTCAGTACCTATTTTTGGCTGGGAAACTAAAGTTAAAAAAGGGAAGAGATTGGTGTCTTTGGGAAAAGCCCATTTGTAATTCTAGAGACCCTGGACTAGTTTTTAGGTAAGCAGTATCAAATGGACAATGTCTTTACTAATTCTTAAGAGTAAGTCATTTGAAAATTACATTTCTAAACACTACTATTTCTTTAATATCTTACTTAATGTTGGCGGAAAGGGAGAAGGAGGAAGAAAATTATCATAGCATAAAATAATTTCCAATTTCCTGAGTTCTTACTGATTTAAAAATAGTGATTAAACTAAGCTCATTCTAATTGTTATATAAAAAGGAATATTCTAATGAAATTATATGCCTTCAAACATCAATATTTTCAGAGAAGAGATGTGTCTGAAAAAAAGAAGAAGCACCATTGCTTGAACAAATTAGCAAAAATATATCAAACATGAAATTCCTTATATTGGAAGAGTACAAGTTTGTTCAGGTCTTGACACACTCATCCCAATTTCAAATATTATTTCATAATATCTTCTATCCAATTATATATAAAACTCATAATTATGTAAACTTGTCTTCTGAAAAAGAAACATTAAAAGCTATTTTACCTGTTGCTTTGCCAATATTATGCTGCATATTTTAGTCAAATATAAGTAAATTCAATAAATTCACTAGACAGATAATTAATCTTTATTTTTAATATTTGGAGTAGGTAAATTGTCAATCAGTTCTCTTCCTAAACTATAGTGTGTGAAGACATCTATGCTCTACTGTTGGCTCAGGAGAGAGGAAAATCAGAGTAGATTGATTTCTGAAGAAACAAGTCAAATAAAACAGAAGGCATAAGGTGGTAAATTCTTCCCTTCTATTATTCTGAAGCCTGGAATTGAGAAAATAATACAAACAGTAACAATATAATTGCTACCTTCTAGTGTTTTTCCTGTCCTAGGAATGGTTAGTGGCTGCAGAAATGTGAATTCATCTATTCTTCACCACTGCTGGCAATGTAGGAATTATTGCTTCCATTGTACACTTGTGGAAAATGAAGTTCAGTGAGGTCAAGACTCCCCCTTGCTGCCCTATATTTTTAATCCCATGAATAAGGTGAAATATCAAACTTCTCTGTGAAACATAATAAAAATAGCTGCAAAATGCCTAATTGGTTTCTTATATATTTGATTTCCAAAATTCATAGTGTAGAAGGATGTAAACCCCAGCAGAAAATTTTACAATTCTGATCCTTGTGCCATTTTGGACTTGGAAGAGTCTAAGCATTCAGAGATATGATTACATCCTCTCGTCAAACTATGTGGTGAATGGTTGCTCAAAGTAATAACCTGAACACCTGGAGGCTGGGGGTTTCCATCTCCTTCCAAGTTCTCACTGCCAATGGCTTAGCTGAGTTATTGATTGTGAGGGACAGTCCTTGCTGTTGGCTTCTTTATCCTAAGTTTAAAGGGTACATCTCCTGACCCAAAGTGGGAGAAATGGTATTTTCTCCCATCGAGCTTTGACATCATTTCCTGTGTAGCTTTGGAGAGACACTTAACCTCTCTGGTCCACAATTTTCTTCAGTGTAATGAAGGGATTGTAGCATATACTTTGTCTTCTCATAGAAACAGAATGTGTTACACATGTTTAGTACATGACCTCCATACAGTATAAGCTCAAGAAAGGCTAATTAAAGAGAAGAATGATTGAATTAATAACCCCTTCCTATTTTTCAAAGCATTTGACACACAAGGATAAGGTTTATGCTTACTAATTACCCTTATTAATAAAACTAAACTCAGCCTTACTCTTCATACCAGAGGGATTTTACCATTAAAATACCCTTTTAAATTTGAAAGAGAACAGTGAAAACCCAATTAGAAAAATGCTGTCACTCCTAAGGCTTCAGCTCACATTTGATGACTCTTACACTCCATGTCCAGGCCCTACTTCTACAATGAGCGAACTGAAAATCCATACTTCTGATGACTTACTTGAAAGTCCATCCAGTTGTCACACAAACACCTCCCATTTACAATCCCAACCCAAACTCAATTCAATTTATTTTCCCCAAACCCACTTCCTTTCAATTTACCAATCCTAGGTACTAAGATCACAGTTGACACAATTTTTCAGATAAGGATGCTTAAAATCACACTGGCAACCTCTAATCACTCATCAAATCCTGATAAATCTGCCTCATCAGTATATTTGCTTTCATTCAATAGATATTTATTGTGTACCTGTTATGTTTCAGGCACTGTGTAAAGAACTGAGTATACAATGGTAAACAAGAAAGCAAGATTCCCTGCCCTCATGGAGCTTACATTCTAGTGGGGCAGTCAGTCCCACCCACCCACACACATACATAAAGCCAAAAAGCAAAATAAGTTTAAAGAGTTGTCATCGATACAAAATAACAAGGGTGACCTGCTTTCCATGGAAAAGGAACGTGTTTTTTTTTGTATCAGGAACCGAAAGATGGCCAGTGTGGCTGGAGCATCGTGCACTGAAAGGAGGATGGAGTGGAATGACACTGGAGAGGTTCGCAGGGCCCTGTTCATGTAAAGCAATAAAATAAAGGCATCAGAATTCATTTTAAGTCTTTGGGAAGCCAGTGAAGAGGTTTAAGTTACGAAGTCATGTGATCTGGGTTGTGTGTTAAAAGTATCCCTCTGGCTTCTTTGTGAAGAGGAGGTTGGGAGGCAGAGGGTGAGCCAAGAGGTGGGGTCAGTCTTCCGGGTCAGAGATGACCATGGCCCAGACCAGGCTGATGGCAGTGCAAGAGCAGAGAAGTCTTTCCTCTTCTCCATCTCCAAATTACTGAATTATTTCAGGCCCTCATTCTATCTCATATTGACCTTTGCAAAAGCCCTCCTGGGGCACACCTCTGGGTTTATATGCTCCTAATCTGTCCTCCACACTGCCTGCCAAATAAATTTTGCCCCTCTTCTGCTCAGAGACTCCAACTGCCCAGCCCCCATTCACCCCCATTGTCTTATAAAGTTTCTCAAAAAGATGTGAAGGATATGTCACAATGACCCAGGAGCAGTTTCAAATACTCCTGACCTGGTTCCACCTGACATACAGAGCCATGATCTCTATATTTTTAAGCAATTCTCCAAGAGGTGCAAATAAACTACTCTTTTATCTTCCCTGTCACCCCCAGAAACCCAGGCCTAAAAGAAATAACTTAGCTAAACCCAAGATCTGTCCAGAATTGCCACAGCTGGCCTAATTTCCGCTCACACTCTATATCTCACCATCTCCTTCCTGTTATATCTTTTATGTTCTTCCTTCAATTTGGAAGGAGAGAAAATATCTTCTTGCATTTTCTAGGAGGGCAAATAGGTAAATAGGTGATTATAAGACAACAAGGTGGATACTTTGGTACAGGGCTGAATTATCAAAAGATGTCAGAAAAGGTAGTAAGATTCATTCTGAATCCTCCAGTAAGTGGAACAGGGTTTATAAAATAAGATTTTGATGAATTAATGAATGAATCAATGAATGAATGATGACTAGAAACAATAACCATTACTTGAGGAAAAGAACAGAAGCATGTTCCTTCTTTTAGCTGCATAGATGGTATAAAACAGTGATTACTTTAGAATAAGGAAGGACCGTTTAAATTAAGACTTCTTTTAAGGCAATGTGCTCCAAATGAAAAAGGACTCCACTAGTTGGGAAAGACATTTTATTTCCAAGTTTCTAAGAGTGTTCTACAAACAATAGAGGCTTAACGAAAAAATAAAAGGTAAAAAAAAAAAAAAAAAAGAAAAAGAAAAACAAGTATTCTTAACTACTGAAAAGTAAACAGCCTTTTTAAAAAAGACTTCAACATAAAAATGCGAAAATGTAGTTGTCATCTCTAATCCAAATACATTCCTAGAGAAAAGGATCATCCATGGTGACAGGGTTACTTACAGCTGTATACTTATTTAAATGCTATTCATATTCCTTTTGAGTTATTTCTTCATTGCAAATTCAATTGGAGATCTGTGCAAATCTAGCAAAATATTCTTTGGATTACAAAAACTATATAAAAAAATGAACACAACCTGCAATTATGGAAGTATTGAGAATGTGTAATCCTTCACTGAGATGAAAGATTCTAAAGTGACATTGTCCACAAAATGTATTCCATTGAAGTGTTCAGCCCAATTTGATTTCAATGCAAAGTAAAATGGAAGTGAGCACTTCATAAAAAACATTTCTTTGTATGCATGTTGACTAAATCATAAAAATAGTACATAACATGATATCAAGAAATGCTTGAAACAAACTTTCACAATAAAGTCAGAAAAAAACTGTAAAAATTGTCTGCAATCCAAGAAAAAGCACGTGCCCTGTGTGTAGGGGGAAAGAGGGAAAGCACTTGCAGTGTGACTTTATGTGGTCTTTCCCCAAGTATTGCTACGTTTTGACCTTTGGCCCAACTGAACAGGTGAAATGCCCTTCACATAAGTTTCAATCCCCAAGAAACTAGCTGGAATGCAGGGGACTGTAGACACACTCCTGGACCAAATGGCATCGACTCTCAGAATCCAAAATGGTCCCTGCCCTCATTCTGAGCTTACGGCCCCAAGCATATTCTAAACAAAGCTTTTTTAAATGAATCGCCCATTCTCATTAAAACATAAAATGCCACATCATTTTACAATTAGTTAAAATTACAGGAGGAAAAATAAGCAGTTTCAACTATCAAGAGTCTTACAATAGCCTGGTAAGTTCAACAGAAGAAAAAATAGAATAACATTAGAGTCTGGGCAAATTTATATTTTTGACTCTAGTCCCCCAGTTCCCCAGTGCTCAGTGTGGGGCATAGAATGTATACCTGGAACATTAGAGTTCTGATAGCTCCATTCCCTCATGGATTCATCTCTCATAACCATCAAATTACTGATATACAAGATAAATGCATACTATATAACACATATTGCAAAGTCATAGACTGACCTAGTTCTTTCACATCCTTCTTTTTTAGAAGATGTGTGTGAAGAGAAGCCAGGAGGTTAACACCAAGAATGTACAAAAAAGCTTTACATGATGTTACAGAATCTTGTCTGAAAAAACATTTGTAAAACATATTTGATTTTAAATAAACAATAAAAGCAGCAGACAGACAACAACAGATCATAAATAGGGTTATTAAAAGATCACAATTAAATTAGAAATATAAATGGATCATTAGAAATACTTAACGTTTGTTTCAATGTTAAGAATCAAACCCAGAATTAAAAAAAAATCTTTTTTTATTTCAAAGATTGCTTCTTATATTGAAGCTCATATTAAAGCAACAGTACAATGTTCATAAAATATAAGTGTGATGCCGTAACATTTTCTTACATGTCAGAATACTGATATTTATACGTATACTAAAATAAGAACTTTAAAATTGTACAAATAGATACATTAAAAATGACATAGAAATAGGGCGTCTCTCACTGAAACAAGACAGTTATATCTGGCACGTATTAGTTTAAGATGAAAGTAGAAGCAAAAAGATTTACAAGAATCAGCAGTAACAAGATTGATGCTCAAGAGACATAATTGTACATTGTATTGTACATACATTGTATGGGTTTAAGCTGGCTGAATATTATATATTTCAAGTTTAAAAATGCACTACATATAGAGTGTCCAGAGTTTAAGGCGAAATTACAGCTCAGAACTGTTGTCCTTTCTAATTTTGTGGAAGCTTCTTTGACAACTTAAAAAAGAAGAAAGACTTGGATGTTCATAACACATAAACAATTTCCCTTCATTGTCAGTTCAGCGTTAGACTTCTCCTTCACTTAAATATTTTGTATGCCAAGTGTTTTTTTTTTCTAGCGAAGTTGATAAACAACTTCAATATTTGCCTTTTTGTGAGAAAAGGTATTTCACAGTATTTACCACTTTGATGTCCTCGCAGTTTTATTAAATGTATCCTCTCTGTAAAACTTTGCCTGTTTTAAATGAGCCTTTCCTTGATTTAAAAAAATACCTGTTTACACATCTTCTAGATTCTTGAGAACGCCAGACACAGTTCTTAAGGCCAAATTTGTATCGTTATTGTTAAGAATCGTCATCAAAAGTGTCTTTGGAACCATACAAATCTGCTAGTTTCTTAAAACGAGGTCCCCAGTTCTGTAGATAATCATAGTCCAAGTCTGAATCTGTGGTGGCCGACTCTAGGGAGCTCAGGGACCCGGCCACTGAGCCCCTGCCTTCATAACCGTAGATTTGAATGGAGTCATAAGGAGGAGCCGTGGGGTCATTGTCTGCCTCCTGTATTCTCGTGTTGATGAAGTCATCGACATCCACGCTGTTGGGCGCTGGCCGGAGCCCAGGTCTAGGCATGTACTGATACTCAGGTTTGATGTCTTTGCGGGGGATAAATCCATTGATACCATCAGGATTCTGGAGGGTGGCAATATCAAAGGCTTCTGTGTCTTCTTCCCCACCCCCTTCATCATCATAAGTAATGATGTTCTCACGGACATCTTCTTCCTCAAAGACAATGAGTGGTTCTTTCTTTTGCCTTCTCAGGGTCACAAACAATACTACAATGACTGGAGGGAAAGAAAAAGAAGGTAAGCATTCGTTAAGTCCAGTATTCCTGGGTTCTTCTGCCAGAGGAACTCTGATTACCATAAACCATGAGGTATAAATGCTCAGAACAGGAAACAGTATAGGAAATGAGAGCTTTGCCTGGAATCCCTAAGGATGTGTAAAATTGACCCCTGCCTGGCTCTTCCTCTACAAATGCTGCCATGAAAACATTACACCCAACAACTTGGCAGGTTGGGACAATTTTGAACTTTTAACAAATGAATCCAGACACCATTTAGGAGTCATCTTCCTAAGAACTAGGAAGATTCTAAATATGTTGGTCTGTAGTCTCTTAGAAGTGGCTAATGCCAATTTCTCTTTGCAAAGGAAGGTAGCTGTTTTTCCAAGGTTTAAAAATGAGGACATGCAGAGCCCTTAGGGCCTACCATCTTATAGGGGGTGATGGCTAGCTTCTGCCAATGTCTGAGAAAGAGTATTGGTCCTATACTAACTTAATGGGAAGTCTTACCGTAAGTGTGGTTGGACTCTCTGTAGCCACCACATAGAGGAAAGGAAGTTTTATAAAGACCCCCAGAAGACAAAATCTTCTGTTTACTTTAACATAGGAAAATAGCATCAGCTGGAAGCCCAGATAAAGCAATCTCATGTCTTCCCTGGGAGAGGGGGGTTCCATTAAGCTTGGGCAACCTAGGAGGGGTGATCAGAGTCATTTATAAGGAAAGTTCAGGCACAGTTTAATTCTTCATTGATTCCCTCTTTTCCCCAAGAGGCTTCTACAATATTCCATTAGAAGGCTCTCCCATACACCCAGCAAGGCTGAAGAAAATGTTTGTGGCTGAATCTTGCACTCCAGCTGAGCGCCCCTCTGGCTCCACTACTGCTCTGAGAAGAAGGAATGAGAGATTGTACTTGCCCTGGACTTCGTGTGGCTCCCAAAGCTCTGTGCTTTTTTCTTGTGGGCACTTTCACTCACACAGACCACTCCTTTTCACTTTCTCTGCTTAGCGGACTCTTTTTTTCTTTCATCATGGATACACTTCCTGGCCTGCCATCCTGACACCAGACAGGACTACTGGCACCTTTTTCATGCACCAGCCTGGCCCCGTTCTTATCCTTATTATAATATTTATCACATGGTTTACACATCTGTTTCCACTTCTATTAACTTTTTAGGGCTTTTGTATTTTACTTCCTCTGTTTGAAATATTCATTTATCCAAGCCTCTGTCCTCAGCTGGACAACTCTCAGCAGCCAACCTGTATGTCACATCCTCCAGGAAGATTTCTTTGACCTTCCCAGGCAATGTTAGGTGCCTTTTTTTTTTCTTTTTTTTTTTTTTTTTTGAGACAGAGTTTTGCTCTTGTTGCCCAGGCTGAAGTGCAACGGCGCCATCTTGGCTCACCGCAACCTTTGCCTCCTGGGTTCAAGCGATTCTCCTGCCTCAGCCTCCCAAGTAGCTGGGATTACAGGCATGCACCAACACACCTGAATAATTTTGTATTTTTAGTAGAGACGGGGTTTCTCCATGTTGTTCAGGCTGGTCTTGAACTCCCAACTTCAGGTGATCAGCCTGCCTCCGCCTCCCAAAGTGCTGGGATTACAGGCGTGAGCTACTGCGCCTGGCCCATGTCAGGTGCTTTCTACTCTGTCCTCCAACCATCTTGTGTTCATGTCCCTATTACAGCACCCACCGTGTGCCTCTTCATGCATACTTTCCTTGACATTCTGTGAACCTGTCGAGCACAGAGATCTCATAGACTTCTTCTCTTTATCCCCCAGGACCTAACATAGGGCCCGTTGCCCAGAGAATACCCAGTAACTATTTGCTGAATTGAATTCACTGGCTTTTTCCTATGGAGTAAAGCTCCATGAATTCATTCGAGGTAGGACCAAGCATCATGGCAAAAGTGTAGGTTTGGTGTCAGACATGCATAGGTTTGAATCCTGATTTGGTCAGTCACTAGTTCTGAGACTTTGGGATAAAATGATCTTCCTGAGGCCCAGCAATGGCATATGTTCTGAGTACCAGCACATGGCTTTTCTACAGAATAAACCACAGGTAAGACAGAAGTGCAGAAGAAGAGCACCTAAGCAGGGGTAGGTGCAGGAAAAGCTTCCAAGGGGTACCCATGAGCTGAGGTGTTAGAACAGATGTTATATATGATAATTAGTGGAGGGGTTAGAGTCCTGCTTCTTCCTTCTTCCAGTTCCCGAGTCCTTCCTATGCTGTGTTTTGCTCCTTCTTATGGGCCTAATGTCCCTAAGCCTTATTCTTTCTCTTGTGGGACAAAACCATTGCTAATACACCATGTTTCTGCCCAAATTCCTCTTATGCCAAACCTTCTCTGATGTCCCTGAAGCCCCCTAGTGGCTCCTGCTATACAGCCCTGTGATGGCCCGGCAAAATGCTCATCATGACCTTCCCTGTTCTCTGCTGGAACTCAGTTGTCTGCTCCCTGCAATATTCCATCAAATGCAAGAGGCAGACATCCCCCACCTCGCCCCCACAACGCCCACCCCGCCCCCGTACCCCACTTCTTTTCTTGAACTGTGTCGACAGTCATAACAGGGTCCTGGTTACCAGCCTGTATTTGAGAAGCATGTGTTTCAAGGAGGGGCATCCGGTTGCCTGGCCCTTCCTGCAGGGGACCAGGAAGCGCCCTTACCCAGGAGAATGACGATGCAGGCGAGGATGGCGATCAGGGCGCCTGTGCTCAGGCCGGCGTTCAGAATGTAGGCCTCTGCGTTGCAGGAGAGCAGTGCCCCGTTCACGTCGCACCCGCAGACTTTGATGGTGAGGGTGTTGGTGCTACTCATGGGCGGGATGCCGCCATCGCTGATCACTATGGGCAGAAGGTACAAGTCCTGCTTCTGCCGACTGAACCCTCCACGCCGGGCGTACACGCCTGCTGTGTTATCTGCAGAAAGAGGGGAGACAGGCCGTGCGCCCAGTCAAGACCATTGGAATCACAGCGGCTCTCTGCTCGGCAGATTTGAGGGCACTCTCTTATCATAAAGGTTAACCGCCAGAATCGTTCTTACTTGTTCTTTCATCTAAGTATCTGCGGAAGCCACAGCCGTTTGGCATGATCACGAAACAAGCTATCTGCATTTTGGAATAAATCTCAGAAACAGGCTCTTTGGATTTGGTAGGGAATTTCCATTGAAGAATGGGCAAGAGCAAAGCAGAAAATGATGTGGCCGGCTTGCCAGTGAAGGGATTTCCCCCAACACCCTCAGCCACCCGGTTAAACATGTCATTCCTCCTGCTTAGAATGATTTGAAGTTTGTTGCTCACATGACCCAGCGCACTTCTGCCTGCATAGTGGACGATCAGATATTATTTCCCTAACCTAGACTTCACTTTGCTTTCCAGGCTCACACCCTACGTTTTCTCACCGAAAATGGTGCGGCAGGCTTGCCACTGAAGGAAATTCCCTTTAAAGGCAAGCCTGTCACACCATTTTCTGCTGGGCTATTAGCTTCAGCAATCTACTCTATGTTAGCACACGAAATATTAATAATTAAATATTCAAGTGTGTGTGAGAAAAAGTTTTTTCCTATGTGCAGACTTCCTACTTTATGACAAGGGTTTAGCCAATTTTTGTTTGTATATATTTTTAAAAAAGAAATTCCAAGTCCACCTTCAAACCTTATGCAAACTATGAATCCACTCATTAGTCATGTAAATATACATGCTTTAAAGAGAGGAACTATTTTATAACCCTTGCAGGAGATTTATGGTTTCTTTAAAACCCCAACACCATCAGCCACCCAATTAAACATGTCACTCCTCCTGCTTAGAATGATTTGAAGTTTGTTGCTCACATAACAAAACACAGCGCACCTCTGCCAGCATGGTGGAGGATCAGATATTATTTCCCTAACCTAGATTTCACCTTGCTTCCCAGGCTCACCTCCTACTTTTTCCACATGGACCAGTTCAGCCTGACATCAAGAATTCAGTTCTGTCCCCCAAGAATGCCACACTCTTCTGTGTGCCTGGTCTTTTTATCCACTACTGTCTTGCTCAAAATAACTGTTCCTTTTATCATAACAGTTGTACTTCTCAGGCCTCAAAATATAATTCAAAAGTCATCTCTTCAGGGAGACCATCCAAGACCTCTCCCATCATCTCTTGTGTGACCCACCACACTGTATATTTGTATAGAAATACATAACCTACTCTTCTGTCATGATTTGTTGACATAACCACTTTGACCTCTGTGGGACTGTGAACTTCTTGAGAATAGGGGATTTTTGTCTGATTCATCTCAGTCTCTCCAAGGCCAGAAACACAGCAGACATTCAATAAATATTTGTTGAACAAATGGCATAACTGTGTTCTGGGAAGGATTTAACCAAAATTCCAGATGTTGGCTTTTCTGTATTTCCCAATCTTTTGTAGCCTCTGCCCCCAAAATATTTCCTCATCATGTTTTCTCTACCAGCCTCAACTAATTTTCTAAGATTTATTTTCTAGTGGGAAAGCATTGGTATTATAAAACAGTAGAAATTTTTAATATGTTCCATCAAATTACACATACATGCATACACACATACACACACACATACACACACACACTCACACTGAACTTCTGGTATGGTCTGCCTCTGTTTGTGGGTTAAGAATCAGAGTTTATAGCAATATGAATATTATGACTAGCATCATGGCCCAATAGCTGGTAGGCTTTAAATAGGTTGACAGGATTTTGAATTAGCTCCTGTAGTAGGGAAAAAAAATCTCAGAATTTCAAAATTATTTAATATATTTTAGGTTAAAGAAAATGTATAATCTTCCCTTGGTATCTGCCGGGAATTGGTTATAGGACCCTCCCCTGAATACCAAAATCCAAGGATGTTCAAAGTCCTTATATACAATGGCACAGTCTTTGCATATAACCTACACACATTCTCCCATATGTGTTAAATGATCTCTAAATTACTTATAATACCCAATACCATGTAACAGCCATGTAAATAGTTATGATACTGTAGTTTCAAATTTTGTATTATTTTGCATTGTTGTATTACAATTTTTTGTTGTTTTCTGTTTTTCTCCCCAAATATATTTGATGTTTGGTTGGCTGAATTCACAAATGTGGAACCCATGAATATGGAAGGCCTACTACAATTTATTTTCCGTTAGATATCTATATCTATATATAGATATATATATATGTATGTATATACACACACATATATATATATATGGCAGATTCAGTCTTATTTAGGGATGGGCAGAAATTCTGAATATTGCAGATGGTGAGGTTTTGTACTTTCTGGCTCTAGTAGACCTGATATGACCAATTCTCTGTCCTTCACTGCCAACATTTCATCCAAAACAACACAGAACAGCCAGCCCTCAATTCTGTATTTTCTGAATTTTGTATGATTGGCATACATTTCTCTTATCACTGGGGAAAATTATAAAAACATTGCATATACTATGAAATAGGATGAAAAAAATAAAAGTAAGCTAGTCAAGTAAAATAGTAACTGAAAATGCAGTCACCTGACTAGGCTTTACACACCATTGTTCCATACTTAGCAATTACAATAAAAATTACATATCTATAATAAATTAATTCAAAATATATTTTCTCTTCTTGTATATGTTTTCATAGTTAAATTAGACTCTCACAAATTGAAAGTTACAATATCTACTCCATTTTAATGATCTGAAATGTCCATGTCATCATGGATAAAAATGAATGTTAAAAATTTAATTGAATTTCTAGGTCAAAGAAAACTCTTTGATATGGGTGACATGCCCAGCAGATGACTTGCTTGGTTTACACATTTGGTCCTACTCTGTTACCCATAGTGTTATGGCTGGAGGGTATGGGAACAGAATATTTTTATTTTTATAAACTTGTGGAAGTCATAATTTAAAATCTATTCTTCAATGTGCCATCCAGGCAGACCTGCACTTCCAGATCACAGCAGGTTGGGTTATGGAGGAAGGTAATTGAAACTCAAACACCAATGGAAAACATGGATCTGGGCATGACATTGGCACATGAATTCAAGATGTTTCATATTCTGAACAAGTGAGTCCTCTCCGACACACAGAAACCACTACGTAAAAGCTCATCAAAGCACCCAGCTGACCAAACCATTTAAAATCTCTGAGTGATAGATCAGTAGGATCGCAAGAACTTTTCAAACCTCTGCTATTAAAACATGCTTCACATATAGATTTTAAGCAGTTCAAGAAGTGGGAAAGAAATGGACTAAGGCTTTCTTCCTGGGTGAATACTAATTATCTGCTTTCAATTGGGTAACTTTTCCCATCTAGAGCCCCATTTGTTCATCTTTAAAATTAGGAGACTGATTGATAGCAAGCATGCCTCATGGGGTTGTTAAGCAACTAAATAACATGATAGAAATCAGTGTTTATCCTCTGTGCTGTGCTTCCAGAAGGCTCAGGGGATCCTTCTACCAGAAAACTTAACACACATTACTGAGATCCTCCAGGGCTGGTGAGCTGGTAAAGGTGAACACAGTGGGTAGGAGACGTGTCTAGCAGCCTGGTTTGGCATTTAGGTGGTCTGTGTTGCTTGAGTCAATAAAATATTCGCCCTTTAGATCCAGGTTGTTCCAGGACCAATGGGAGTGCGAGCCTTCTCTCAGAAGTGGCATTTCTGAGTGGCATTTCAGTATCACGGCCTGTCCTTCTTGTGATCCACTCTGATCACTGATCAAAAATAAGTCACTATGGCCTGGCATGGTGGCTCATGCCTGTAATCCCAGCACTTGGGAGAACCAGGTGGGCAGATGACTTGAGGCCAGGAGTTCAAGACCAGCCTGGCCAAAATAGTAAAACCCTCTCTCTACTAAAAAATAAAAAAAAAAAAAAAAGGCCAGGCACAGTGGCTTACGCCTGTAATCCCAGCACTTTGGGAGGCCGAGGCAGGCGGATCACGAGGTCAGGAGATCAAGACCATACTGGCTAATGCGGTGAAACACCGTCTCTACTAAAAATACAAAAAATTAGCTGGGCTTGGTGGTGGGTGCCTGTAATCCCAGCTACTCGGGAGGCTGAGGCAGGAGAATGGCATGAACCCGGGAGGCAGAGCTTGCAGTGAGCCGAGATCACGCTACTGTACTCCAGCCTGGGTGACAGAGCAAGACTCTGTCTCAAAAAAACAAAAATAAAAACAACAACAACAAAAAGAAACAAAACAAATTAGCTGGGTGTGGTGGCGCATGCCTATAATTCCAGTTATTCAGGAGGCTGAGACAAAAGAACCTGGGAGGTGGAAGTTGCAGTGAGCCGAGATTGTGCCACTGCACTCCAACCTGGGAGACAGAATGAGACTCTGAATCAAAAAGAAAAAAAAAATCCACTAGGGGTTGGTATGGTGGTTCACACCTGTAATCTCGACACTTTGGGAGGCTGAGGTGGGAGAATTGTTTAAAGCCAGGAGTTCTAGACCAGCCTGGGCAACATAGCGAGACCTTGTCTCTAAAAAAATAAAAAGTTAAACAATTATCCAGGTGGGGTGACCAGCAACTATAGTCCCATCTCCTTAGGAGACTGACACCAGAGGATTGCTTGAGCCCAGGAGTTCAAGGCTACAGTGAGCTATAATAGTACCACTGCACTACACCATGGCTGACAGAATGAGACCCTGTCTCTAAAAAGAAGGAAAAAAAATAGCTACTATGGTCAGGAACTTCATGAAAAACAAATCTGGACACACAAATAGAAATATAAACAAACTAAAAACAATAACGAAACCCCTTTACTAGACACCAATTTTTCACCCTATATTTGACTACATATTAGCTTTCAATCCATCTTTGAGTGGGTCCCCTTGCATTGGACATATGCATTACCAAGGTTTATGGATAACCCAAGAAAAAAAGAGGTTCAGTGAGGACATATTTCCAGGAAAGTGTCAGATTGGCTCCAGGTTACTAAGATGAAACAGAAAAGACAAATATTCCATCAATTTTAAAATTTCCATAGAGACTTCCTAGATCTTTTTCTTATATAAAGATTCTAAGAAGCAAAAAACTCAATCTTTGGGGTCAAACAGACCTGGGTTTGAATCTTGAATCTTGTACATATTAATTGCCTGACTTTAAACATATTATCTAGGTGTCTTGATTTTCCATATTGTCATCTGTGAAACTAATAATTTTAGGTTAAATTTGATTCCATTCATAAAGCTACTTAGCACAGTTGCCAGCCTGTTGGCGATGCTCAGTAAATATTAATTCTTTTCTGGAAGTTCTTCTCTTTGAGCAGTAGACTAATGAGGAAGAGAAACTCATTGGCAAAGGAGGAAAGTGAATTCTTGGAAATGTCATTGTAGCTCTGAATGTAATTGCCTATGCAGAAGGACTCTTCATTCAAAGGTAAGAAAATATTTCATATTCTTCAGTCCTGGACAATATATTTCCCATGACAAGAAAATGTTTTTCAAGCATCTTGGTTTTTGATCTTGACACCAGTGTTCTCATCCTTGGCCACAGATATGTAACCAGTTGCATGTTTTCCCCCACTTAGGCCAAAACTTGCAAATAGGGCCATTAATTACCAGAATATGTCATGCACAAAGTGTAGTGTTTCTATTAATGGAAAAACAAATTCAGGCTTCTAAGTTTTAGTCCAACCTGGACTCCTAATTGCATGCTGCTTTTACTTGTACACTTTTTCATTATACTAATACAATATAAAAGTTCCTAATAATGATGATCTCCATGGTACCAGTTGGGGAATACCAATATAGGGGTTAGATGATGATGTAGCCCAATGAGGAAATATATGAGACTGGCAATCAAGGGGAACATTAAGATGGAGAGAGAAAGAAGACCTTGATAGATAGACTGCACTTGGTGACAACCCTGCATTAGCCAAAAAAATAAAAATAAAAAAGGAAAAAATTAAAAGCAGATCAAAGTGGGCAATATATGGACCAGCTCCTGCATATTGAAAACTTGAAAACAGGAAGCACCAAAGCAAAGGACCAGGACCCTCTGCCCTCATCATGGTGTCAGGAGAGAGGCTTATCCCAGGGCAACGGCATCAGTCACTCAGCAGCTTCCCTAAGGCTCTGCAGATGCTCTTCCTTACCAATCCTTTTCCTCTGTCCATCTCTTCTCTGAAGCTAAACAATCCTCACAGCTTGACCTGATCAGAGACATTCTATCTTATGAAAAAGGCCACAGGGCACTTCAGTCTGAGGATCCTCTCTGCAGACTGTTGGAAAACCGAGAATGTAGGCCAAGACTTGCTCCCAGGGAGGTATTTTGTTCACTGCTGACCCAAATCTGCCTACTCTACGTTTCTTCCCAAACCTCAGAGAGGAAGTAGATCTATCTACCACATGAAAAGCTCCCACACACTTGAAGACAGGTATTCAGTCACTAGCAGAATAAACATTATTTGATTACTTTGCTCTGGCCTACACTGCTTTCCTTAGAAATGTGGCAATAGCTCTGCCAAGATAATGGAAAAAATATTTCTGTGCCCACACATGCCCGTGCACACACACACACACACACACACACACACACACCCATCCATATATATATATATACATATATATACGCATAAATAAGCACATACATAAAATTTATATATAGTGTGTGACTAAAATTTCTTAGTAGAGTTATAAGCTTCAATAATTTCAGAAGTATAGATGACACACAACTACAAAAGGCATCATTTGAGCATTTAGTTATTTCGATTTCTTTACACTCATTTACATTTGTGAATTTTGAAAAATTAATTTTAAGTTTTGATGTCAGTCAATGTTTACCATCTTCAATCCAAGGGACTGAAATAATGGAAATTTCATAGAACATTTTTAGAAGTTTGTGACAATACACTCCTGATGTTACTACTGATCAATGATGAACTTACTAGTCTGTGTGTACACCTCTATTTTCTTGCCTTTCTGAATACCCTGTGAGCTCTCTACCTACCTGTACACATTACTGCATAGTTTGTACATTTCACAGCCCATCGTGACTGAATGTCTGACCTCTTCACCAGACAATAACCTCCTTGAGGGAAGGGGCCTTGTCTTATTTAGCTTTTCAGTCGTCTTTGTGCATTTAGGCATTTAGCACTGTTGTGTGTGTTGACAGAATAAATGGCTGAATGCTGTGCTTTCCAATGAATCTCATATCAGTCTGACTTTTCCACACAGTCAGAGTTTACTGATTCATTATCTCATGGTCCATTTCTAGTTTCCATATTCTCCAACTCCTTCTAATGTTGCTTATATTTATATTGCAGATTTTGCTTTTGCTAAATATCTTCATCTTGCTATCTTATTATTCTGTTATTATTATTTAAATTGAAGCAAATTTAACTAAGCAACATTGATTGAACTGCTAATATGGGCAAACGCTGTTGTTTGTTACTTTTACATACATTATCCCAGACAATTTTTCAAACTGTGCAAAGATTATAATATCCCATATCTTATAAGAAACAAAACTGAGAAACTAAGAGGGAAGCAATTTCTCACAAGCACATGGAAAATAACAGAACTAGAATTTGAAGTCCTCTAGGTTTCATTGAATTTTATAAGCACATAACTGACCCTGGAACACTGACATTATTGCATTCTAATTAAACTAGTTTATTTTAATATCCACAATAGGTTGGTTAATTAGTTGAATTCCATCATAGCCTATAATTAGACAAAAAAAAGAAAAACTCAGTTTCTAGACTCAGTTTCTAGATAAAAGAACAGTTCTTAGAAACCTAAGATTTTTTGTGGCAAAGAGACCCACAAACAATCAGGGGTACTCATTCAACAGCTGTTCCCATAGCATTTCCAGACACAGACATACACACGCAAACATACACCCTTCACAAACAAACCAATGTGAAGGAGGCAAGAAGAAACCTATTACTTTCCCAATATTTTGGAATAAAAGATATGCTACAATGATGCAAATTCTATAAATGATGAGCCTTAACGTACTAATGAAAATAATTTACCAAGACTCTGATGGCTATAATGTCTCCTAACTGAATTAGGGAGCTACACACCACTGTTCTTCCAATTATTGCCTTTTGTACTGAGGAATCTGCAAAACAAGAAGTACAATAAAGAGTAACATGATAGAAATACTTGCCTGTGTGCATGTGAAATTCAAGCATGTGTGTATGAGATATCGAAGTATGCAGTTTGTTAGCATTAAGAGACTTTTCATTGTCACATTTAATCACATTTCTTAAAATCAACTCTGCTTTCACTTATGTTTGATAGTAATTTTCTCCTTGTTGGTAGGGTAAATGGAGAGAAAAGAACATACTGCCCACGTACTTCTTAGTTTAAGACAAAGAAAACTACCAAGAGATTCAGGGGGATATTGACATTTAGGGTCTTTAAGCTAACTAGTTAAGTCAGTGACCACGTGCAACCTTGAAAGAGTGATGTCTGATCTACCAAGAAGATCTATTTATTTTTTTGTTGTTGTTGGATTGAGGAGAGAGCGGGTTCAAAGATAAACTCTGTTCTGTGTGAGACAAACTGCAGCAATGAATTTTAGGCAGAAAAGAAACATGATTATTTACACAAGTGAAAATGGCAGGGCATTAAAAGACATCTGCCATTTTGATCTCCCAACAGAGCATCTTCCATATTGGAGCAATTAAGGGCGAAAAATACATCCTACAGAAATCTGTTTGGCTATCTTTAAATTATGAAAGTGAAAAATCAGAAGCATATTTGCATGCTAGTTTGTGCTGCTCATAAAAAATGTCCTTAGTTCGGGGGGAAAACAGAAAGAAAGGCATTTATTTGCCAATTGATTTAATCTGAGTGAATCTGTCTTGGCTATCCTTACTAAACCAACATTGCTTTCCACGCAAACATTTTGTTGTTTATTTATGTCTTTGCTTGCCTGCTTTCTTATTTTTATTTTTGTTTAAGCAGTGCAAACTCAACTCTGAATGTTTCAGTGCTCATTGATCTGCCACATGGCACAACTTGGATATTACATTTGCAAAACTAATACATTAGAGGGTCATCTCATTCTTCCCCCTAACCCTAGGTCTCCAATATAATTTTGTGGAAAAGTAAATGACTGAATGGATGAAAGAATGCAAGGGCTGGGTGATGGGGTACTGACTTCTTTAGAATATTCTGGCATCAAATGATTTGTTCTCTTTTTCATCCTGGAGCTTATTTCATGACAGATTCATTCTTTCCATAATAATAACTAATTCTTAAAATTTTTGAAGAAGATTATATGTTATGAAGTGTTTTCTCAACCACTCCTTCACTTTTAATTTATGCATTTAGTCAACCCACTTTTCTTAAGTGTTGGGATACTGGCCTCACAGAGCTCAGATTCTAGTGGGAGACAAGGAAATGTGTTATACGGTTAGAATTCAGAGTGATAAGAAAAATTGAGGTTAGGGCAGTATTCCTGGAGCACTAGGACAAGGCAGCCCAAATGTTCTGAGATGTTAGGCCAGATGTCACCTGGGAGATGTCTTTATGTACAGTGAGACTTAAAGGAGGAGGGATAGACAGGGGGAGTAAATTCCCTGCACATGGACATGTGAGAGCATGGCATATTTCAGAAACTTGACATGGTTTCAAGTTTCTGAATCTTAAGATTTAAGGTAGCAAGAGAAAGGACATGGTAGAGGTAAAGTGTACAAGGAGTAAAGCATGGAATGTCTTGCTCACTAAGCTATGGAGTTTCAGTTAAATACATAGGAAATGGAGAGGCAGGAAAGAATTTAAAAAAGAGAGAGAGAGAGGCATTGTCCAGTTTGTTTATTGAGGGCTGAGTGAAGTGGGGGCAAGGATGGAGTCAGACAGACCTGTTTGTAGGTCACCATGTAGTTACAGCTTCTCTGTGGGTAACTCTATTCATGATAACTATCAAAATTAGTTGTGCTTTCACAATATAACTAATTTTGCTGGATGTGCTTTTGGGGATTCCCTGACATCAGATTTATATTCACTGTGAAAGCCTTCTTTTAGGACGCTTCCTGGCACTCATTTTTTCATCTTTTCATGATTACAGAAGGATGGAAAGAAGAGGCTATCATAGGGAATCTAAGAAATATCTAGAATTTGATGAAAGC
This sequence comes from Homo sapiens, assembly GCF_000001405.40. Taxonomy (NCBI): domain Eukaryota; kingdom Metazoa; phylum Chordata; class Mammalia; order Primates; family Hominidae; genus Homo; species Homo sapiens. The sequence goes on from NC_000016.10 coordinate 64,961,179, forward strand.
CACACTGACACTAACTAGAGAAGAAGCATCAAGGACGGAGAAGGCCAAATCAAACAGGGAAGAGGCTTCATGGTTTACAAAAGGCTACTCTTAAAATTGATTTACTTGAAAATCTCGAGTATTTTTGTTGTCGTTATAATAGAAACTCATTGAAAACTCCTAAAATTTTCCTTGGCTGCTCAAGTGACAGAAAAACCTTCTGATAGCCATGTAACCCCATGATCTGATAAACCTTCAATTCTAATTGAGATGGCCCATTGTAAAGCTTGTAGCCCTGGGGTTCTGAGATCCCGGGATGCATTCCAATTTTGATACCAGTTTTTAGTATGTCAGTGCCTTTATCTCTCAAATTGGCAGCTCAATTCATATAGTGTAATAATTTACAACTGTTTTATAAATTATTATTAGGATTATATATCAAATATTCAGATATTAATATTAAAATTGTTCTCCCTTTAGAGATGAAGAGCAAAGCCAAGCCTTTAATCTCTAGGCCTTGCCTTTTCCTCTGTACCTTATCAAATGATTGTTGTTTGGAATAAGAGGGTTGAAAATTAAAATTATGAAGTTAATATTAGAATATTGTATTTATAATTACCAGGTCACTAGGCCAGCAGACAAAACTATATTATCTTCTTGTTAGAATCAAAAAATTGTAATAAAATTAAACATTTATTTTTTAGTAACACAACAATGTAAAGGAAGTTCTGTCTCTCTCACACACACACCCCCCAAAACACAAATCTTAATTTTAATCTAATACCCAGTATGATGTTTAATGATGAAACTCAAGAACTAATTTCCCTATTAAAGTAATAAGTAAACCAAGAATGGCCATTACTGTTGTTATGATATAGCACATATTTGAAAAGTGTAAATCTATGCAATTAGATGAAAAACAAGTATTTTAAAAGGTGAAACAAATTGCCATTAATTTTTATGTAGTTATTGCTCTAGAAAACCCAGGAAAATCAGGTAAGTTATATCACTTTGCAATGCCCAATAGTAAATAAATTAAAACAGTTATAACTTATACTAAAAATAGTGACTAAGAAAATAAAATTAGAACAGATTCAGTCCAGTCTGATACATAAGAAGCTTGGAAGTCACCTCTCCATCCAAATAAAAAAACAAACAAACTAGAATATTAACAACTTTTCCTAGATTCATAAGAGAATTGAGTTTACAGGGCAAAGAGCCGTCCCCAGATTGGAGACAGACAAGTAGATACAGAGAATCGAACTTACTAGATTAGGAACCAACAAGCAAAAACTTCCTCAGGAACCAGTGCTGGGGTAGAAAAACCTGAACTGTAATTGACAAATTGATGGAGGCCCAGTGTGGAGAAGTTAAAATCTCTAGGGGAACCCAGTCACAGGACCTCTCCCGTGACCCCCTACCACACACATGCACATACACACTTGTGTGATTTTTACCTCCAGGAACTCTACCTGGTTCTCACAGTGAATATTAGAGAAAAATTCCCTCATGCTATCAGTAGGAGGAGGGAAAAAGGAACCATTTTGAAATACGCCAGAGCATTCTGTTCTTAACAAGGCCTGATCTTAGAAAAAACTTTTAAAGGAAGCCTAATCTTCTGGGATTTTATCAGAGACTAACTGACCTGGGGAAAAGAAACTTCCAACTCTAGGCCATCCCAGGTATCCTGTCCCAGCAAAGGAGGGAGAAAAAAACAACTAAGGAGCACTTGTGAAGTTTACAGTTCAGAGGCACAAGCTTACTAAAAACTGAGGCCCAGTCATAGGACTATGGAATGCTAGCCCTTCTTTAACTTACTATCCACATTGTTAAAGGCTTATTTATAGCAGTTCCTGTTACCCACAACACCATTTCCGTTATGAAGAAAAAAATTACAAGGCATACTAAAGGCAGAACAAAAAATCCTACAATTTGAAGAGACAGAGAAAATATCAAAACCAGGCACGCATATGACAGAGATGTTGGAATTATCCAGCTGGAAATTTAGAACAACTGTGATTAATATGCTAAGGTCTTTAATGGATAAAGTGGACAACATTCAAGAACAGATGGGCAATGTAAGCAGAGAGATGGAAATTCTAAGAAAGAACCAAAAGAAACACTAGAGATAAAAAACATCAACAGAAATAGAGAATGCCTTCAAAGGGCTCCTTAGTAGACTGGACACAGCTGAGGAAAGAATCTCTGAGCTTGAGAATAGATCAGCAAAAACCTCTAAAACTATAAAGCAAAGAGACAAAAGACTGAAAAAATAATACCCCAGAATATCCAAGAACTGTGAAACTATAAAAGGTGTAATATATATGTGATGATAATACCAGAAACAGAAGAGAGAAAGAAACAGAAGAACTATTTGAAACAGTTATGACAGAATTTCTCCAAATTAATGTCAGATACCAAACCACAGATGCAGAAAGCTCAGAGAACATCAAGCTGTATCAATGCCAAAAAGGAAGTCCCTACACCTAGTCATATCATATTCAAACTACAGAAAAATCAAAGATTTTTTAAAAATGCTGAAAGAGGTCAGGAGAAAAAAACCCACCTTACCCGTAGAGGAATAAAGATAAGAATTACATCCACCTTCTCAGAAATCATGCCAGCAAAAAGAGAATAAAGTGAAATAATTAAAGTATTGAGAGAAAAAAACATACCAACCTAGAATTCTCTAACTACCAGAATTATCCTTTAAAAGTGAAGGAGAAATAGTTTTTCAGACTAGCAAAAATGGAAAAAAAAATTGTTGCCAGTAGGCCTGCCTTGTAAGAAATGTTAGAATAAGTTCTTTAGAGGGAAGAACATGGGTCAGAAATCTGGATATACAGAGAGAAAAGAAGAGCGTGGAAGAAGGAATAAGTGATGAAGAAACAGACACTTTTATTTTTCTTATATTTTAATTGACCTAACACAATAATTTGTTCACAGTAATAATTGCAACAATGTATTTGATTAGGTATGGTTATTCATATATACCGTCATGAGTTGCTTAGTGACAGGGAAGCATCCTGAGAAATGCATTGTTAGGAGATTTCCTCCTGTAAACGTAGTGTATTTAAACAAACACAGATGGTTTAGCTTATTACATCTACCCTATATGGCACAGCCTATTGCTCCTAGGCTACAATCCTATACAGTATGTTACTCTGTTGAATACTGTAGGCAATTATAACACAGGAGCAAATATTTGTGTGTTGAAACATAGAAAAAGTACAGTAAAAATATGGCATAAAAGATAAAAAATGTTATGCCTGTATAGGGTACTTAGCATGAATGGAGTGTTCAGGACAGGAAGTGGGTGAGTCACTGAGTGAGTGAATGTGAAGGCCTAGGACGTTACCTTACACTACTGTAGACTTATTTATTTATTTATTTATTTATTTATTATTTTGAGACGGAGTCTTGCTCTGTCACCCAGGCTGGAGTGCAGTGGCCCCATCTCGGCTCACTGCAAGCTCCGCCTCCCGGGTTCACGTCATTCTCCTGCCTCAGCCTCCCGAGTAGCTGGGACTACAGGCACCCGCCACCACACCCGGATAATTTTTTGTATTTTTAGTAGAGACGGGGTTTCATCATGTTAGCCAGGATGGTCTCGATTTCCTGACCTCGTGATCCACCCGCCTCGGCCTCCCAGAGTGCTGGGATTACAGGCTTGAGCCACTGCGCCCAGCCCTGTAGACTTTATAAACACTGTACATTTAGGCTACACTAAACTTATAAAAATTTATTTTTTTATTATACTTTAAGTTCTAGGGTACATGTGCACAACGTGCAGGTTTGTTACATATGTATACATGTGTCATGTTGGTGTGCTGCACCCATTAACTCATCATTTACGTTAGGCATAAATCAACCTTAATTTTTATTATTATTATTTTTTAACCTTTTAAATATTTTTGTTGGCCAGGCATGGTGGCTCACGTCTGAAATCCTAGCACTTTGGGAGGCTGAGGCAGGTGGATTACCTGAGGTCAGGAGTTCCAGACCAGCCTGGCCAACATGGTGAAACCCCATCTCTACTAAAAATACCAAAAAAAAAAAAAAAAAAAAAAAAAAATTAGCCGGGTGTGCTGGCGGGCGCCTGTAATCCCAGCTACCTGGGAGTCTGAGGCAGGAGAATTGCTAAAATACGCGAGGTGGAGGCTACAGTGAGCCGAGATTGCACCACTGCACTCCAGCCTGGGCAACAGAGCAAGACTCCATCTCGAAAAAAAACCTTTTTGCTAAAAACTAAGATGTAAACCCACACATTAGCCTGTGCCTACACAGGATCAGGATTATCAGTATCACAGTCTTCCACCTCCACATCTTGTCTCACTGTAGGGTTTTTCAGGGGTAGTAACACACATGGAGCTGTTGTCTTCTATGGTAACAATGCCTTCTTCTGGAATACCTCCCAAAGGACCTACCTGAAGCTGTTTTAAAGTGAACTTTATTTTTGATAAATAGAATGAGTACACTCTAAAATAATGTTTAAAAGTGTAGTTATGGTAAATCCTAGGTGATAGGCATTTTTCAGGTCCATTATAATCTTACTGGATCATCTTTTTATATGTGGTCTGCTGCTGTCCAAGACATTGTTATGCGGTGCATGAAACACACACACACACACACACACACACACACACACACACACACACACAAGCTTATTTATAAGTGAAATAAGTGACAGCAATGATATAAGGAACAAGAGGGAGAAATTAGGATTAATTTCTTATTATAAGGTACTTGTACTACCTGTGAAGTGGTATAGTGTTATTTGATAGCAGACTTGGATTAATTGTAAATGTATAGCTCAAACTCTAGGTCAACCCATTAAAAAGTAAAAAGAAAAAAAAAGAAGTACAGTGGCAGTGGTATGCTTAAAAAGGACAGAAAATAGAATCACATAAAATACTGAGTTGAAACCTCAAAAGCCAGAAAAATGATAGAAAATATTATTTAAAAATTACTTTATAATATCTTCCAAAATGTAAAGTAGCTAACCATAAACTTAATAAGAAATGCATGATACAAAAATGAAGAAAACTACAATGACTTCCTGAGGGTAATAAAAGGAGAATTGATTCAATGGAAAGTCAGACCATGGTTTTGGACAGGAAAAGTATTTTTAAAATTTTAGTTCTTCTTAAATTGATCCATAAATTTAAGATAAGCTCAATAAGATTCACAAAAGTACTTGTAGGGCACCTGAAAAATAATTCTAAATTATATCAGAAAGAATAAAAAAAGCAAGATTTGTAAAATAGTAATAAAATAAAAATAATGCGGAGAAAGCATCTGTCAGGTTTCAACATATATATGTATAAAATTATTAAAGAAAAATATGATACCAGTAAATAGACAGAATGGGAAGAATAGAAAGTTAAAAAAATCTAATCATAAAAAATGTAGAAGACAATAAAGATACCCTTACAAAGCAGTGAGACATGACTAAATATTTCATAAATAATATTTTTAAAATGCCCAACAGGTGGGGGAAAAAGATATATAAGAAAGAAGAAAAGATAAGTTAATGTTGATATCAATTTTGGGTGAGGAACATCTTGCTAAGGATAATAGTAAATAGACAAAAACTGATACAAAAAGTGTAACATCTCTACTTAAGACTACAGCAGAGTCAGAATTAAAAGAACATTAAAACATTAGGAAAATCTATGCAGTAGGTATGGTAGGTCAAAGGTGAATAGCATTAATAGATGAACAGACTTTACAAATCAATTGCAAACTGACAAATATATAATTTAAGAGGTGGGCAAAGGACATAAATAGCCAACTTATAAGAACAAAAGAAGAACTGATTAATAATTATTAAAAACACCTGGCTTTAAATGATGAAAGTAACTGGAACTTAAAATGTTACATTTAACTTACCAAATTGCCAATGATTAAAAAGAGTAATACTAACTAGAATTGACCTGGATGTGAGAAAATAAAACCTCACCTGTTTTACCAATGGTATTAAAAATGGTATAACATTTCTGATGATCAGTTTATTAATTAAGTAGCAATAGCTTTTGATCCAGTAATTCCACTCTAGGAGTTTTGTTTGTTTGTTTGTTTGTTGCACTCCAGACTGTTGCCCAGGCTGGAGTGCAGTGGCGTGATCTCAGCTCACTGCAACCTCCACCTCCCGGGTTCAAGCAATTCTCTTGCCTCAGCCTCCCGAGTAGCTGGGGCTGCAGGTGCACACCGGCCAAGCCCAGCTAATTTTTTTGTGTTTTAGTAGAGAAGGGGTTTCACCGTATTGCCCAGGCTGGTCTTGAACTCCTGAGCTCAGGCAATCCATCTGCCTCAGCCTTCCAAAACACTATAGGAATTTATCCTAAAAGAATAATTAGATATTTGGCGAAGGTGTGGAAAACAATGTACGTACTTACAGTCAACTGATATTATATATCCTCATAGTTGAAGGTAGAAAGACAACTTGAAAATATTGACATACATATATTGATTTGTATTACATACTATTAAGTGGGAAAATTAGTGGACATATATTTCACAGTTGCTTTTCTTTTTTTTTTAAGAAAAGAAATGTATGCAAAGAAAGGATACACAAATAGCAGTGACTATTTCTGGGTAGCCTATTATCAAGTTATTTTAATGTTTTAATACCATTTTTGTTGGTTTGTATTTTCCAATTTTCCTTCAAGAAATAGGCATTAATTTTGTAATAGAAGCAAATTATAAACTTCTTTGCAAATATATTTTACTACAATTATTATGGCTGTGATTAAAGTGAAAATTGAAGAACCTTGTCCTGTTCTGTTCACACATTCCCTGGAACCCTAGATTAATCCATAAATTAAATTTCAGAATTTGCCTCTTCTGAGGATTGTTATTATTGACAATAGGATAAACAAAGACTTTTGAAATGAATTAACTAGAAGAGACACGAGCTTTATATTCATTTTACAGTGTGCCATGTACAACCAACAGGGCCCTCCAAATATTTAAATTTAGTTTTTGCACTTATTGCTGTGTGACCTTGGGCAAATCACTGACCCTTCTGATGTCTCATATTCTTTCTTTATCTGAAAATTGGATAAAAATATACCACCTGCCTGCCCTATGCGACTGTTTGAAGAATTAGGTGAAACAATGACATGAGAAGGTTTTATAAACCAGTTAAGAGCTACATAGAGGAGAGATATTATCTCAGTCTTTTTTTTTTCTTTGCACTTTTCTCATCCATTACATATTTCTTGTGATTTAAGAGATGCCACATGCCTGGTATTTTCAAAGTAAATGCATCTCAAAACCTGGGCAGACATGCTCTTCATCTGCCCAAATAGCACCATTCCTGATATTAACAGCCCAAGATGGACTTAAATGTTGAAGAATCATCCAGTGTTCTATTTTCCTGCTGCCTGCTGAGTCGGCTTTGAAGCTCGGGCTGCAGAACGGAATAAGATAAAATGAAATAAAAAGCTTGTGTGTATTAAGATGGCTTTTCCTCTTATATTTCTAAAAACGCTGAATGCTTATGCCGGAGTTTAGGCAAACACAATACTGATTATTTACATGGCATAATGGAAGTAAACACTCAAGGAGAAAGAGACTTGATGCTTTTACTCAGCATGATATAAACCATTATCTCATGTTTTCTATGGAAAGCAGTCTCAGCCGAGAAATTTGGTAACTCAGTAGGCTATTAATAGGATATGGAATGTGATTACTCCTTTTGGATTACTTCAATATGTAATTACTTTTAGGAGCTAGTAGAAAGAAAGTCTATTAAATGATAATTATAGGACTGTATTTGCTTTAAGTTTCTGTAATAGCTTTAAACATGGGAGTTTTCATTAACTGTTTGCCATAGTTAATAAAGTAATTTTTCTTAAAAAGTAGCAATTTCCTGCAAAAATAGTAGCTCAACAGTGGTATTAGTCTCTTATAGGAGAGGGCAGGGGAGATGAATTGTTCAGTAAATTGGCTCATCTAGGGTTATATAATCTCCTTGAAAAATATAGATGGTATCCGCAAAGTATTGTGACAAAGTAAAATACTTATAACTCCCTAGAGAACAATGTGTCTTAGTATAATGTTTTCAGAGGTTAACAGCAACTAAATATGATTGCACATATAAAAAGAAAATGTACAGGGCAGGTGATGGAGGCAAAGTTATCACAGCAGGGAAAGCTTAGTAAAGGTCCTGTTTGTAGGTGTCCCATGATAAACAGTAATATTGCTAGGAATACAGCCCCAGGAGTTAGACCTCCAGTGTAAGTTGAGAATTGCATCAACACAGATAGAAGATTGACCACAAATATTTGAGAAGCTAGACAAAAGATGGTGGCTAATAGTCATATGAGAACATCTGAGTTTTCTGGGCAACCGAATCAATCTCTTCACTATTGTTAAAACTAAATCCATTATGCAATATATTGTTACAAGCATTTCTTTGTCAGAAAACTGATATAAGCCTAAGCTGAAAAAATATAGCAGTCTGTCAATTCAAGGTGAAACTGGAAACAAATTTGAGAATGCAGAAAATTCTAAGAGTGAACACAGGGCTTTTCATAAATTCAAATACAGATGTATACGTATCTTAGAAAGCATTATGCAAACACTATTTGTGCCACCCTGTTCAATTCAGCTCAGTACACATTTTTAAATGTTCACTATGTGCCTGAGTTTCCTTGTTTTGGAGAAAACTATCATTACAAAATGAATTCCTGTATTACATATGTGTGTCCCATGAGGGTTGTGTGTTTCTGGTTGAGAACTATCCATTTACATTAGTGCTTTGCAGAATTATCTCTTTCAGAGACTTACAAGTGCACATTCACCAAAGACAAAAGGTAAAAGAAAAATCCTAGTGTAAATACAAACTTAAAGAGTGTTAAGTAACGTTTTGTTTTAAAATGATGGGAATCATTTACAAATTGAAACAGGGGTTGTTTCGTAGGCTTCTTTAAAAACACGTTTTTCTACATATAACTTCCTTCACACTTCAGTTCTTAAGAGCAAGTTCATTATAGAAAGCAAGGCATTGGGAGAGAAAAGGCTGTCATAACACCTAGGGCATTTTGCCTCATTGTCTCATTTGGCATGTGCTTGATTTATAAGGCCCATAATTAAATACTCACATAAGTTCAAGAAATAATAAGGTAAATCAAATCATAGACCCTCAAAATCCAAGCAGCATGGGGAGCGCCTGTCTGCTTTAATCATCAGCACGAAAGGATTCAGTGGTTAAGGCTATAGCATCTGGCCTCTGAGAGCCTGGGTTTAAACCCAGCCGTAACTTTTATTTGGTTGATTGATTTGAGACGAGTTATTTAATGATTCTGTGCCTCATTTTTCTCATCTGTGGAATAGGGGTGACAATAATGCCTACCTATGGTGGTGTTAAGAAAATTAAGTGGACAGAGTGTGGAAAGGATCTTGGCATGGGTCGTGGAACACAGCAACTGGTATTTATGGTACTGATGATAGTGATAACAGTAATGGGGAAAGTGATAATACTTACTAGAAAGTTTAAGATCCTCTAAGCCTGTTCTCAGTCGCAGGGAAAGCAATCAACCTATGGCCTAGTACCTGGTTAGCATGGATTGCATGAATATAGCAATCTGTATTCCTCCTTTTGCTCCCATGTTAAATGGTGGCATTTGTCTCCCTGTTTTCACAGGCCTGCACCTTCACAAACTTAAATGGGCAATTTCACTACCAAGTAATGGACAGAGAAAAACAGTGTGGATGAGAGTAAAAAATATATACATATATTCATCTTTCCTGGCTCTGCTACCAACTTTATCTAGGGACTGCATCAGGTCTGGGACTACAAAAACAAAAACATCTATTTCTAATAATCTGCAAGTCTAGAACCTCCTTAACTAATGAAAGGGGAAGCAGAAATAGTATTAAATTTTGCCGTTTTTATAATGGACAAACAATGCTTTGTTTCATGCCCTTCAGGCAACAATTCTGCAACTACTTTTAGATATTGAGCTCTGTACCCAGCCACACTGCATTAAAACTGTACTTGGAAAGGAAGGCCAGCTGAAAGATTAAATTGCCTTACAAAGTTGAACTAATCTCTTTTAATGCTTTACTTGATATCAATATTCATAAAGCTATCCTTCCCCCAAGGGTTTATCAACCTCTTGAAAAAAAAGATAAATGGAGTTGTTTGCATATTGACCCTGTAAGCTTCCCCACTTAGTTTTCCCACTGCTTCATGAATATCAAAGCCAAAAAATGTAAATAAAATTAGACTCACTTATTCGCATGCATCAAATGAGCCCATGTTTCAGAACAGAGGTGGCATTATTATTTCCGGTTTCTTCTTCAACAGGAAGACATTATAAAGATTAGTGAAAATACTTGTGCTATGCAATGTAAACGCCATTTGTTTTCCAGTTCTACTTCTCTGAATGCGTAGGAACCTTAGTACAAACCTCGGTTGTCTCTGACTGTGAAATTTGGATTGTGAATGATTTCAGGGGGTAGGCTGAAGATAAATCTTGGTCCATTGGCCGTGTCATCCTTGTCATCTGCACTAATTGTAACAATTGGCTGAAAGAGAAAGGTGGCCCATAAATAAATCATGCTGACATTGGCACATCATTTATTCAAAAATTTCTGGCTGGCTAGAAAGCCTGATTTTAATTAGAGAACATAACTTCAGAACAAAACTATGGCTCTGAAACCTTTTTGGGCAGTGGTTGGTATCTCCAAGTGATGGTTTAAAAAACACACTCTATTTCCAAGTGCATTGTTCCTAGCCAAGAATAGGGAAAGCAGGATTACCTGGTTGGAAAGTGGCTTGGTCTGATCACTCTCACAGATGAAACCTTCATAAGGGGCAGCAAACTTGGGAGCATTATCGTTGACATCAAGGACCCTAATGGCCACTGGGACTTTGGCTTCCTGATGCCGATTGTCTGGGAAGACAGAATGCAGACAGTCAAGAAAGGTCAAGGAGAAATACACATTGGTCCAGGCATATTCTTGGGAAAGAGTAAGCTCCAGCCACCTATCTGGGCAGTGCAGGGAAAGATGTTCTTGTCACAGAATCGATTTAAGAGCTGAAGGGTGCTGTTAGTGGGAGAGGCATATCCTAGAATAAATGTCAATATTAAGACCAGTAAGAACTAAAACACTTTTCCACATCTGCTGACTTTGATGCTGAGCTTTAATTCTAAAGGCCTATCATGGAGCCTGATCCCCAGAGAGATGTCTATCAAAGTGGTTCTTAAATGTGGGAGTCTAGAGAGAAGCATTAAAACCATCTGGGAACTTGTTGGAAGCAAAAATTCTCAGGCCCTATCCCAGACCTACTGAATCAGAGTCTCTGGGGCAGGGTCCAGAAATCAAGCTTGATGACTGATCAACCTGATGCATGATCAAGTTTGAGTTGTTGTCTATAGATAAACAAGAACCCACAAACCTTGGGCCTAAGGACTTTGCTTTTCTGGGTTCAGTGAAGACTAGTGACTGGATGGAGTGGGAAATCTTTCAGTGATGGTTATGAGTTTCAAACTCCTGAGGGCTACTGGCTCTCTTGCCAAGTCTATACCCAGTTCTGTCAGAGAAAACAAGAACATTTCCCTTTGCCTATATGTACTCCTAGAAAGATAACCGAAAACACATTTTAAAGACTGAAAAATCTGTTTAAGACCAAAAAAGTTAGTCTATCTCAGCTATTTTACTTTCCAGAATATAGAGTCTGAAGCGATAATACTTGGTAAAGTAGAATCAAAACCATGAGGAGAATACTTACGGATTTCTGCTGCAAAGACAGTGATGTTGAGCCAGGCTGTTTCCTCTCTATCCAGAGGTTTTGTAGTTTTAATAAAACCATCCTCTGGATTAATAGTGAAAAATCTGTCGAGGTCAGTGTGACGATCGATGGAATACCTAAGCAGAATGCAAATGAGGCAATTAGACCAAGACATTCAGAGCAGCTTAATATTTGAATATTTTCTCCATGCTATATTTAAATCAAGCTTCTCAATGAATTACTTAAGCTAGATTTTCTTTCTAATCAAATTTACTTTTGAAACTTTGTACACGATTCTTTTATAGAAATAACTTTGCCACATTGGAATTCCTTATTCAGTACAATGAATGAAAGAGTTGTTTAGCATATTTGATTGAGAAGTACAATAATGTGGTGCATATTTCTCCATATTTACTACAATCACCCATCCTCTGAATATTTATGAAACTGCATTTGGAAAGTGAGTTTGCCTTGCTCCCAAACTACTCAGAAAGTCACAAATGTATCAAACCTTTGCCAGATTTTTGCATATGAAATTTTAAATCCGTTCAAGTGTATTTAAATTTATCAAGATCATGTATAGACCTAAAAATCAGTTTGTCTTATTTAAAGAAAAATGCAGCCTGGTGCAGTGTCTCACTCCTGTAATCCCAGCACTTTGGGAGGCCAAGGCGGATGGATCATTTGAGGCCAGGAGTTCAGGACCAGCCTGACCAACATGGTGAAATCGCATCTCTACTAAAAAATACAAAAACTAGCTGGGGATGGTGGCACACACCTATAATCCCAGTTACTCGGGAGGCTGAGGCATGAGAATCATTGAATCCGGGAAGCGGAGGCTGCAGTTAGCCAAGATCATGCCACTGCACTCCAGCGTGGGTGACAGAGAAAGACTCTGTCTCAGGAAAAAAAAAAGACAAAAGAAAAATGTTCACTACATTTTAGTAAATCTGTTTAGTTCATTTAGTTTCAGGGGTTCTCAGTTAGCTTGGCTCTGAGTTCCAGCGTGTAATGTACAAAGTAAGCTTGGCCATTTACTTGTAGGGCATTTTCCCATATTTTAATGACTCCAGGCTGTGCAAAACAGCACAGCTTGAAGATTTTAGTTACTCCCACCCACTAAGTTAACTTTTTACTAATAACGGATAAAAAAACCACATAATATTATTGGGCTGTATTTGTGGCAAAGTGAGGTGGGAGATGGCGGAAGAATGGCATTTACTGAGTTGTAGTAAGGTAAAATAACTTGCCCAGGATACAGTCTTGTTTTAATGGGTCTGTTGAACTCCAAACCCCTTCCCTTTCCACTCCCTTATACTAACTCCAAAATAGAAAAGAACAAAAATGGGTTATGTTAATTCAGGTAGTACGCTGAGCTTCATAAGTGTGTGGTTTTCTGCTCTTAGAGGTCTAAGCTATGATTTCCCAAAATTTACAAAATGAGTATGTCAGAAGGCATTCAGTGATGGTCAAAAATCAAAGAATATTAGAGATAGCAGAGGCCATGAATATCGGAAGGTTTAATTGCCTGGATTTACAAAAGATGAAACTTGGCCTATGTCTAGTTTCTGGAAGAGACAATATTGGAAGCCAGATCTTCTAATCCCAGATCATGTTCTTTTCAGGAAAGAGGGACCCCCCACTGAGCGGCACTTCACAGTATACAAACATGAGCTCATTCATGATGTCACTTAACTTCACAGCTCCCCATAGGAATAGAATAATGAGTCCCCTTGCACAGTGACAAAACCAAAGATATTCATACACCTCCTCAATGTCAGGAGAGGCTCAGCAACTGAGCCCTCAGCAGATAACACTATGTGGAAAGGAGTCAAAAAAATAATCAAAGACTTTTTTTCCTTCCATGAAGGAGCTCACTATTTAGTTGACATGACAACACACATGTGGGAAGAAAGATCATTAATAATTCAAGGTATTATTCCACAGAAATGAAGGGCATGAGTTTTGGGTTTTGGAAGTCCTAAGTACAACTTCATAATCTGCTACATATAAGCTAGATGATATTGGAAAAGCCACTTAAGTTCTTTGAGCCTTAGCATATTTATCTTCTAAAATGGAATGCGTATTTTTTTTCCCAAACAGAATCTCACTATGTGGCCCCAGCTTGTCTTGAACAGCTGGGCTCAAGTCATCCTTCTGCCTCAGGCTCCTGGGTAGCTGGGATTGTAGGAACCTGGCTGAACTGGAATATTAATAGTACCTAACTTTTATGTTATCTGTGAGAATTCAATAAAATAATAAATGTTTAAGATACATAATTTAGTGACTCACACATTGCAACCAACAGTAACTGCTATTATTTTTGTTGTTGATGCTGCTGTTACACACTGAGAACAAACTGTGGAAGCTCTCATATGTAAGAGTGTGACCTTCATCCTAGAGCCAGTGAGAAATCATGGAAGGCTTTGAGCAGAGGAGCAAATAAAAGAACGCAAGCTCTCAAGGAGATCAATAACGCATGATGGGCAAGATGGTCTGAGGAAGTGAGAGTAGAAGAAGGAGCAGAGGAAACTTAAGGATTTGATTTTGTTTTTAAATACATGAGGTGATGAGAGTGAAGTACAGGGGTAACAGAGGAAATGGAATCCTAGATGATGATGAAAGCCCAAGTAGGATTTAGTGGATATTTGGGCATCTAGGGGAGGCTGAGAGAGTCCCAGGTAGCTTCTCACCTGAGTGTCTGAGAGAGGGAGATTTAAAGACATTGAAAAAGAACATGCTTGCTATTGTGAATAGTGCTGTGATGAACAGTTGAGTGCTTGTGTGTTTTTATTTTCCTCTGGATATATATTTTTAAATAAATTTTTATAAAGTTGATTTTCCTTTGGATATATGCCCTGTAATGAGACAGGATCAATCATACCCCCAACCTCAGCACTACACAATATAACCATTAACTAACCTACACATGTACCCCCTGAATCAAAAATAACTGTTGAAATTATTTAAAAAATTAAAAAGAAAAAGAGGAAAAATCAATTACCAGGAAGGAAAGGTTGACATTTAATTAAGGATATGTCAAAATGCTCAGAAAGAAAAGACTCAACTCTATTGCAGGCTTCAGGAAGTCAGGGGTGGAAACAGCTGTTTTTGTTTTAAAGTATGTCACAATAATTACAAGATCAAAAATATGTCTTGGATAAATGAGTGAGCCAGTGAAAGAAAAAGCAAATGGGTAAAAATGCACAACAGACAGTATCATAAATGCAGAGTTAGAGTTGGGGAGAAAGATCAGCCTAGGAGCAGGAAATCTGAAGCATCCACTTAGGTCAATTACGGCTTGGGTAAAAGCCCTATAGGTGAGTGGACACAGAGAGAAGGACCAAGTCAATGCCTGGACAGGGATCAAAGACTAGTGAAGACATCAGGTACAGTGTTATCTGAGGCATAACAGGTTAGTGCCAAGAAAACTAAAGGGAGATAATATTTCAGAAAGGAAATTCTGAACAAAAATGTGTCTAATGCTACAGTCTGAGACAAAAAAAAACAAAAACAAAAAACTGCAGAATGTCCAAGAAGTTAAGAGTTATGGTGATATTGCAAGGCCTCCATTATATGTCCAAAGACTCAAATGTCCTCAAAGTTGAAGAGAAACAACCAGGAAATTAGGAAGGGAAGATAAAAGACCCATTAGATAAAAAGTTTGGAGGCCTTGCCTGATGGCTCAAGCCTGTAATCCCAGCACTTTGGGAGGCCAAGGTGGGCGGATCACCAGAGGTCAGGAGTTCAAGATTAGCCTGGTTAACATGGTGAAACCTGTCTCTATTTATACTAAATATACAAAATTAGCTGGGCATGGTGGCACACACCTATAATCCCAGCTACTTGGGAGAGAATTGCTTGAACCCAGGAGGCGGAGGTTGCAGTGAGCTGGGATCACGCCACTGCACTCCAGCCTGGGCAACAGAGTGAGACTCGGTCTCCAAAAACCAACCAACCAACCAACCAACCAACCAACCAACCAACCAACAAAAAAGCTTTGAATAGACTAGGTGCAGTGGTTCATGCCTGAAATCCCAGCATTTTGGGGAGCTGAGCCAGGAGGATCACTTAAGCCCAGGAGTTTGAGACCAGCATGGGCAACATAGTGAGAACCCCCTCTCTACAAAAACAAAACAAAAAAAATTAGGCAGGCACAGTGGCATGCACCTGCAGTCCCAGTTACTTGGGAGGCTGATGTGGGAGGTTCACCTGAGCGCAGGGAGCTCAAGTCTTCAGTGAACCATGATGACACCACTGCACTCCAGGCTGGGTGACAGAGTGAGACCCTGTCTCAAAAACAAATATAAAAGCTTTGAATATTCTCTTAAAATTTGTCTGGTATTTCTAAATAACAAAGACCCAAGTAGGTGGGAGTGGGCGGTTGGTTCAAGTGTGGTATTGAGCATCCTTGGATAATTATAGACATGGAAATTGCCTACATGCACAGAACAGCTACCATTTGAAAACATGACCCAAATAATCAATTGCAGATGTGAATCCTTGGAGACAATGAGGTGCAGAGGAAATGAGTGAGTGTTTTTACGTCACAGTCACTGCTCTTCTAAAAAGTTTCTAATGCACCTCGATATTCTAGGCCAGAGATAACTCATTTAAACTTCACACTGTGAAGATTTTTAAGTCATTTAAAGGTGTTAGAAGGGTCCATAGTCATTATGTAACATATCTTTCTGCACAAAGAGAATATAGTAATCAAACCTTCTTGGGAAATCTTTCCATTAGTGGCTGCTGGGTTAAAGTAAAAAGCTCAAAATGAACTCAAGACAGATCTGGGCTGAAATCCAGTGTTCAATACTGACTGTCCACGTGACTTTAAAGAAGTCTCATCATTGCTCTGAGCCTCACTCTTCCCACCTGTTCAATTCTAGAGCAGTCATAGCCACAAAGGATGTCAGTGAGAACTGACTGAAATAACTTTGTAAAACCTGTTGTATGAGGCTGAAAAGATGCTCAGTAAATGTTAATTATCTCTCTTTTCCTCAGAAGAATCAGTGTTCAAAGATCCAAAAGCAACCCAACACCACTTATAGTTGGGAATTCCTTCTTTCCTGCCACTATTTTCTTTGATATAAATGGACAAATTCCATTGTCCGTGTAATTTCCTTTCATATTTAGATCCATTTACTTTTTCATAAGTAAATTCATTAGTGCCTCCCTAGGTATATTGGGAACCCCCAGTGTGTGCTCAATGAAGGTTTGTCAAATAAATGTGTGAATAAGATGTCATCACTTCTATCACGCCTCCTGTTTTACACTCAAAAACTGTGAGCTTGACCTTCCAAGCCAAATCAGGAGTTATTTTATTTATTTATTCAATAAATATTTGTTAGACATCGAATTTGGGCCATGTACTCTGTTTAGTGGAAGGCGCAGTGATGATCTATAACAGGGGCCAGCAAACTTGTTCTGCAAGGGCCAGCCAGCAAATGTTTAGCTTGTGCAGAAATTAGAATCTCTGTTTCAACTACTCAACTCTGCCCTTGCAGCAGGAAAGAAGACATAGATAATATGCAAACAAATGATGTGACTATCTTCCCATATAACATTATCTACAAAAATAGGTGGTGAGAAAAAAGATGAAGAACTCACAGTTCCTGATTTCAAAACATAGTACAAAGTTATGGTTATGAAGGCTATGTGGTACTGCTGTATGGATAGACATATAATTAATGCAATGTAATCAACAGTACAAAACAATCCTGGTTTCTATGACTATGAATGGTCAATTTTCAACCTGAATGCCAAGATCATTCAATTAAGACAAAATAGTATTTTCAACAAATAGTGCTGGAATAATTGGATATGCACATGCAAAATAATAAAGTTGGACCCCTTCCTGACAACATACATAAAATTATACTCAAAACTGATAAAAATCTAAATGTGAAAGCTAAAAGCATAAAGTTTATTTTTAAAAAATGTGTAAATCATTCATGACTTTAGATTAGACAATTATTTCATCATAGACATTAAAAAAAAAGAATAGACCCACTAGAATTCCTCAAAATTAAAACTTTTATGCCTCAAAGGACACTATTAAGAAACTGAAAAGATATCCCATGGAATGAGAAAAAAATGCAAATCATATACCTGATAAGGCCCTACCATTCAGAATACATAAAGAGCTCTTACAACAACAGTAAAAAGACAAATAATCCACTTATGAAATGGGCAAAATTCTTGAATAGATATTTCTCCCAAGAAGACATACAAATGGCTAATAAGCACATAAAAAGATGCTCAGGCCAGGTGCAGTGGCTCATGCGTGTAATTCCAGCACTTTGGAAGGCAGAAACAGGTGGATCATTTGAGGCCAGGAATTTGAGACCAGCGTGGCCAACATGGCAAAACCCTGTCTCTATTTTTTTAAAAAATAGCTGGGCCTGGTGGTGTGCACCTGTAGTCCCAGCTACTTGGGGGACTGAAGCACAAGACTCGCCCGAGCCTGGGAAGCATAGGTTGGAGTGAGCTGAGATCGTGCCACTGCACTCCAGCCTGGGCGACAGAGTGAAACTATGTCTCAGTAGCAAATAAATAAATAAATAAAAGATGCTTGGTGTCACTAGTCATTATGAAAATACAAATCAAAACTATAATGATATATCATTTCATACCCACTATGATAGCTATAATGAAAAGAGGCAAAAAAGTGTTGGTGAGAATGTGGAGAAACTGGAACTCTCATATATTGTTGATAAGAAAGTAAAATGGTACAGCCACTGTGGAAAACACTTTGGCAGCTCCTCAGAAAGTTAAACATAGAGTTACCATGTAATCCAGCAATTCCACTCCTAGGTATATGCCCAGGAAAGAGGAAAACATGTTTAGGCTAAGACATGTCCAGGAATGTTCAGCATTATCTGTCATAGCCAAGTTTGGAAACAACTCAAACATGTATCCAAATGATAAATGAGCAAATAAAATGTGGTGCACCCATACAATGAAAAATTACTTCAGAGATAAAAAGAAATGAATTAGTGATGCACTCTGCAACATGTATGAACCTCAAAATCATTATGCTACATGCAAAAATTCAGTTACATAAGACCACATGTTGTATTATTCCATTTATATGAAATGTCCAGAATAGGCAAACATACAGACACAAAATAAGTTAATTGTTACAGGAGGCTGGGAAGCAGGAGAAACGGGGAGTGACTGCTAATGGACATAGGATTTCTTTTGTGGGGGGGATCAATAAAAATATTCTGGAATTAGACAGTGGTAATGGTTGAACATCTTCATGAAATATACTAAAAACCAATAAATTGTACAAGTTGAACAGGTAAAGTTCATGCTTCATGATATGTAAATTTTTTTCACAACAGAAAAAAAAAAGAGAGTGAGACAGAAAAGCAAATGGCAGCCAGATTTGGCCTATGGGCTATAGTTTGCCAAGGCCTAAACTAGACAGACATCCAGCTCTTTGAGACTATCCTCTAGTGAGGACCTCACATAACCTAAGTGTCCCTGTGATGTAGCCTGGGGGGTGAGGTAGGGAGGAGCAAGAGGAAGGACATCCGATACATCTCTAGGGAGCCCTGGAAGAATTCCTATAGGAGATAACACCTAAGTGGAGATGGAGAAAATGAGTCCAATGTGGTAACTTGGAAAGGCAAGGGCTACCAGCTAGAAGGAGGAACATGTGAAGTCCAGGGATTAGGAGACAGCAGGAGAGCTTCAAAGAATGAGATGGAGGTAGAGGGGTGCAAAGAAGTTTTTTAAACTAAGTGAATGAGGTTAGATTATTTTGAAGAGGGAGACAACAGGGAACCATTTAATCATTAATTTTTTCTTGTGTTTTAACTAAGGTAAGATGTGATGTTTGGATGTGCATTGTATGAGGGTCACTCTGGCTGCAGAGTCAGGATTCATGCAGAGAGGTAAATGAAAGACTGAGGGTTGGGAGACCCTGTGGAGGCATATAAAGAAATCCAAGCAAGAAGGAAATGAGAGGAGTGGCTGTGGGAAAAGAAACCCCTGCTAGAATCCGGTCCAGGGGAAATTCCAGGGCACTATCAACTTCCACTCTGTAAACGTGTGATTCAAGCCCCTTCTCCACCTCCTTCTTATCACCCTCTCATTTTTGTCATTAGCTTCATCAGTCATTAGCTCAGGATGAAGAGGAAAGTGGAGAAGCAGAGTTTTGGATCACTTTTTCTTTCTTTCTTTCTTTTTTTTTTTTTTTTTTTTTTTTTTGAGACAGGGTCTCACTCTGCCACCCAGGCTAGAATGCAGTGGCTTGATCTCGGCTTACTGCAACCTCTGCCTCTCGGGTTCAAGCGATTGTCCTGCCTCAGCCTCCTGAGGAGCTGGAATTACAGGTGCATGCCACCATGCCCAGCTAAATTTTGTATTTTTAGTAGAGGCAGGGTTTCATTACATTGTAAAGGCTGGGTTCGAACTCCTTACCTTAGGTGATCCACCCGCCTTAGCCTTCCCAAAGTGATGAGATTACAGATGTGAGCCACGGTGCCCAGCCACAGTTCTGGATCACATTTTTTTTGTCACAAAAAAAGGTATTCATAATAATAAAATCACCTGAAATTTATTTGGACACTTTACTACTTTTACAAAGTACTCAGCAGCAGTTAGACAGAGCTGGCTTTCCTTGCCTCCTGCTCGGTGGCTGTATCATTCCAGGCAAGTCACTTTGTCTTGCATTGCCTCCAATTTCCTCTCATTTTAAGGACTAGCAATTTATACATCGATTAAGTTGAGGGGATTGATTAGATCACATACCTAACCTCCTCATAGAGTAACCAGAGAATGGGAAGGTATTTAATAAATTGCAATTACTATAATTATTTCACAATAATTATTTATATTTCCCCACAGTCCCCTGAGGCAGACAGGCCCAGCTCAGGGCTCCGTCACCTAGTATGCCTGGGGGAATCTGCTCCAGAGCAAAGTCATGTAGCTTGAACAATCCTATCCAAAAAGTCAGGAACAGAGGTGAAGGGAAGCTCATGTCTTCTAAATCTTAATCTTGTTTACATTCTATTGAACCTGATAAACTTGAACCCTTTTTGAAATTGAAAAACGTGGTTCCTACAGGGCTTTCCCAGAACCTCTTGACTCTAAAATTCCCCATCCAAGCTCTTAAAATAAATCCGTCTGTACCTTATCGGGCTGTTGGCAGCATCAGGGTCTTTGGCATGCACTCTCCCAACCACGGTGCCAGCAGCTGCATTTTCTTGGACTTCGTGGATGTAACTTGGGGCCAAGAACATAGGGGGCTCATCAGCATCTTCTACTGAGATCTTGACGGTCACAGTGTCCTTGAAAGGGCCATTGCTGATAAACTTCGGGTCGATGTGCACGTTGGCTGCCTCTACCTTCAAGCTATAGGCTCTTTTGGTTTCAAAATCTACAGGCTGGCAAGAATGAAGAGAAGATTGACAACCAATTCCTTGAAAGAATAATGGAAGAGAAAGACCCGATTGTTTTATAGGGACGAGTGAATATTCCTCAAAGAGAGAAAATCAGAGTCTACTCAATTTCCAATTACCTGAGCCATTTGGTCAGAAAATCACACAAATCAATTGCTGAAACCTAGAATGTGCTTAATGGGTCATTCGAAGAGCACAACAGACACAGAAAGACCACGTCATCTAAAATGAAACTTATTCTATATAGCAACACTAATGTTGCCCAAATAAGTCACTAAGAATTACCTAAGGAAGGGAATTAAAACATTGCAAAAATACATTTGGTACCTCATTCTGAAAACTAAGAATCCTGGTAACAAAAATACCACTGAATTTCAGCCAAAAAGCATGTCTTGTTTGATGACTGCTTCATACCTCTCCCACCCGCAACCATCCAGCTTGATCATATTGAAAGCTTCATGTTGAAAGTTTCTGACCACGTTGTTTCCCAATGTCTGGGACTCTTACCAGCAGTGGCCCATAAGATGACATAGGGTGGTTTATAGGTAATTTGATAGGTGAGGTTGTCAAATGATATTAACTCACATAGTGAGATAATTCTTTCTTTTCCAAGTCTTTAAATCCTTGACACACCAAGTAGAACATCTCCGTTTTAACACATCTGCTCTGCTTCACAATCTCTTTTGTGAGATATTATGATACAACTCTAGCTAGAATGTAATGGCATCGTTTTGGTTTGATTGCATTTATTTTTAAGTTACCTTCTATTTTTGGCAAGTGACAAGATAATAAGGGAAATGTTTCCTTTTTTAAAATGCTTCTTTTTTTAAAAAAAAAAAGAATGCATATATATTAAAGATGGTCTATTTAAAGAAAAACAAATGAAAGCAGTAAAATTTTACACAAATATGAAAGAAAAAAAATGAGTAGTAGCATTTGAATGGCTGTAGTTATAGGGAAATTGATAGTAAACACTGCCTAATTTTGAATGAGAGGAGTTACAGTGAATCAGTCAGCAAAGGATGGAAAGTAACATTGTAGCAGAGAAACAAGCCCGGCTGCCTGGGAAACAACTTTCTAATTAGTGCTCTGGATGTTGCTGAACTACCAAATGTTTGGAAAGAGTTTCATCTTTTAAGGCGAGCATCTGCCTGCCATGCTGTTGTCATTTGCCTGGCAAACGCTTATTCTGAATGGGCATATAGTCATGGGGCTTATTCCTGATCTAATTTTGCAGTACTCTACACTAAAGCTGATGATCCCAGTTTCAACAGGGTTAAGCAAGTTCAATATCCTTGATACTTTTTCTATCATCTTCCCACCTCCATCTTCCCAGAGTCAGGAAACACTACCTTTTCCTAAATCTAAATCTGCCCCCAGCCTTTCCATCATCCTGGGACCCAGCAGTTCCTTTATCCTTGGCTAGGTTACTGAGCAGCAGAAAGGAATGATATTTATAGGCTGAACATACAAGATTGCTGCAACTTCTAAAAAATCCTTTCAAATATTAGATAGCATTAAACACTGGAATATGATAGTTCTGAGACTGGGTAATTTATAATCAGAAAAGTGGAAATTTTCTAATATCACATAGTCTGTTGATCTTGCTAGAGCAGAAACTTTTGTACTTGGTTTAGGCATATGCCTGAGAACCTGGAGCTATTTTCCCACTGGGAAGCCCTGTGGGTGTTGAGGATAATATCCTCATGCTGCAGTTTCACATCCCAAGCTAGGCTCTCCAGGCCTTTGCAGAGGTTTATGTGGGATGTACTTTCCCAGTTTGGCGAGATTCCAAGTCTGGTAGTCAGTTCAAGCCTCATTGCCTTGTGAAGTCCTCCTCAACAGCCCCAGATAGATTTGTGTGGCCCCCTAGTGGCCCTTTGGCAGCCCTTCATTTCCCTCCCCAGCGAGGTGGGGGTTGGAGTGGAATGGAGGGGAGCATCCCTTAGAAGTCTACTGAGTCTTACTGCTCTTTGCTGATCTTTGTCCCACAGTAGGCAAGAATGACTGTACCAAGTGATCATATGCATCCATCATTTTGACTGAATGAAGAGTGGGGCTGATAGATGCTTAACATTTAGACATTTGCCTACAATTTATTCCCTTCCTCCCTCCAAAACAAGATGTGAGGTAGTTTCCCATGTGAACATTTATATCCATGTTATGAGTAGTTGAAATAAAGCTAAATGAGGCAACACATTGCATAAGCCATAAAATTCTTAATACCCCGTAGTTTACTAATCCCACCTCTGAAAATCTTCCCTGAGGG
Source organism: Homo sapiens (assembly GCF_000001405.40). NCBI lineage: Eukaryota > Metazoa > Chordata > Mammalia > Primates > Hominidae > Homo > Homo sapiens. Next base: position 64,984,586 of record NC_000016.10, read on the forward strand.
ATTAATTCAACAGAAAACCAAAACAAACAATATTCAAAAATGCATGATATTTGTTAGATATAATAGAAGGTTATATCTAATCTGTGGAAATGTACACACAAAACACCAAATCCAACTGTGAGATTTTATTAAGGACATAATGATTCGTCAATAGGATGGGATGTTATGTAGTCATTAAAAATGATTATGTACATTATATAACAGCATGTAAAATGTTTATGATGTGACATTAAGTTAACAAATCAGATCACCCTCTGATTGCAACCGTGTTAAATGTTATGTATCCACATCTATATACGTGCGGACAAAGAATATAAAGAAAAATCAAACATAAAAAGAGTTTTATTAAAACAGGGAATATTAAAAATGCCTTATAATTCTGCTCTGACACTGCTTTTCAAGGAGTTTATCTGGTTGAAAATAAATAGCTCAGACACTGTGCGGTGATTTCTCTGAGATAGATGGGATTCCCATTTAGTCAAAGGTGCTGCGTGAACAGATTGGATTTTCCCCTCTAAGTCCACGAAGCCACCTAAAACCTCATCTTTATTTGACCCTGGTTCTTCCTCAGCTAACCACACAGAGATTGTCCAAATACCCCAAGGGTAGTTTCTCTCTTTCCTGTGCACTATTAAACTAAGACACAGTCAGAACTCAAGAGGTATTTATTGTTTTCTAAAATATTCAATAAATGAATGATTCTATCTAGTAATTATTTCTTGAATTCTTCTCCTTCACTACTATCTCACTACCTCTTCTACCTTCTTCAATTCTTTGTAACATCTCCCTTGAATTTTAACAAGTTTGTTTGTTGGTTTTACCGTATATATCTTAAGATTCTCAAGATTGAAGGTATTGCAGTTTCTTAAATGTGTCCTGTTTCCATTGATACTAGCCCATCATGAGTTATTTTTTCTGCCTTTTCTGTCCTTAACTATCCAGCAAATTTCTCCTCATCTATCAAGACTCAGCTTGAGAACTGCCCCCACAAGAAGTCATTCATGTCCCATGTGCATAGGCCTTATCACACTATTGCAGTCAATTTTCAACTGGGGAGTGATTTTGCTCCCAGTTACTCCAGGGCTATTAGGCAATGTCTAGAGTAATTATTTTTATTATTATTATCAGGACTGTTGGGTGGGGTAGAGCACGTGCTTAATGACCTTTAGTGAGGGGAAGCCTGGGATACTAGATACTACCAAATATCCTACAATGCGCAGAACAGCCTCCTACAACAAAGAATTATCCAGCCCTAGACATCAACACTGCTAAGGCTGAGAAAACCCTCTCGGTTTTAATTATTGTATCACTTCACTGTCCTGTTAAATTGTGAACTCCCTGTGGTCAAGACTCTGCCTCTTCAACTTTAGATTTCCAGCCTCTGGCAAAGGGCCTGCCTGACAAATAGTAAGAACTCAATAACTCTTGGTGGAAAAATGGGTGAATAAATTAGGAAATAAATAAAAACACTAAGTTAAAAAATACTTTAAAATGCAGAAATATTGCCATAATGTCTCTATAGACTTTTACAGTATTAAATTGCATGGAATGACTTTCACAAGGAGTCATATTTTTACTCTGTTAAATTCATCTATAATTTTTCTTTTTTTTCCCCCGGTGGACATTTGGAACTTTGTGCTAGAAGTTTGAGCAAATGTTCTTTTACAAATGCAATAACATCTTACACTATTTAAAACCTAAGCATCAGTGCTTTATAGAAGATTATTCCTTTGCCTAGAATAAACACACTGAATTGGAGGCAAATGTGCAAATTAATCATATGCAGAGAGCTCATTTGCGACGTGTGAGTTCCATGGGGGTGATTTAAATGTTTCAGGATTTCAGAGATACAGTGTGTGTTTATGCCCTGAATACACTAAAAACAGGTGACAACCTTAGCATAACCAACTACCCAATTACATGAACAGCAAAGGATGGGAGGCAGGAATTGCTGATGTCAATGTTCATATGTCAGTGTCAAGCAGAAGAGATAGTAATATTAATTAACGAAGTAAGTTGACAGCTCTAGGCAACACACAATTCACACAGCTACTTTTCCAGAGGAGAAACCAGAATTAGTGACTGCCCTAGCTCCCTGTGGTTGATAATTAGGCTTCCTCGGTCCTACCATTCATCCATTAATGTAGACTTTTCCAAGTATCCAAATTTCACCCCAATTTCCATATCCTTCATTTTCTTTCTTTTTTTATAACAATCACCCCCTACCTTTTCTTTGTTTTGTGCTCTATAATATTTTCCCCAACCCCAACATACTTTAAAAGTCTGTGAAAGGTCAGTTTCTTAGCACAGGTCACTCCTTGCTCCCCCACCTGAAAGATTCCTTTCAGGACCTGTCTTCCCCCACTGGTCCTTCCCTCCTCTTTAGCTACTGGCCTCTTTATTGATGCTTCAAATTAATTTTCTATCAGTGTTAGAGTCCAGTCTTTTCCATCGCACCAAGGAGTTTAATATTCATGCTATAAAACTAAGTTGAAAATGAACGCTTGATTAAAACCAAGGTAATCCCATCTTCCAATTCCGATTTAATGCTCCATACACTTTCATGATGGAGAGGTGTTGATTTCTCAAGTGGTAAATCACGGGGGGAAACCTTTTTAGAATGTACGGGAATTATTTCTTCACTTGGAAGTGAATCTTATCTGGCTCTTCTTTACAAACGCTTTCCAGGCCAGCTGTTTTCAAAATGTCTTGAGAGGGAAGTTGTTCTAGAATAACTAAGGTGTGAATTCCAGGTCGGCATGCCTGAGCTATATGACAGTGACTGGGTCAAATGATTTCATCTGTCTGAGCCCCAATCTCCTCAAAATTAAGTTGAGGTCTCTTTGCCCATTGGGATAACACTACCTACTTCATACTTTTGTTTGTTTTTGTGAAAAGTAAATGAAATGATGTTTGTAAGAGGATGGTGCTGTGTCTGGCCAGTAGTCAGTATTGAGCGCATGTAAAAAAGAAGAAACACTAAACTTCTCTTTGTAATAAATTAATTCCAGATACATGTTTTTGGAGACTGACTATGAGGGGAGGTCCACAGGCTCTTTGACTAGGGGAGAAGGTCCATTATTGTTGCTTCTCCAGGTTCACTTGAGATAAAAACAAGTAGAGAAGGCTTCAGTTTCACAGAGGGTCCAGCAATGCAGTGAATCTTGAATGTTGAAACAGTAAGAGTTCTGAACAGCTTATCTAACAGATTCAGTGTGGCAGAGCTAAGGGGGGAATTCCATGCATGCTCAGGGCTGCTTCTTCAAAATCTAGATTTATCTCATTGTCCTTCCCTCCATGGGAGAACTGTGCTTCCCTCCATCGGAAAACATTTAAGAACTAACTAGCAATCTCAGGCAGGTATCACCAGCCCCTTTGTCAGCTTCTCTGCAGTAACAGAAAGGAATACAATTCTGTGATCTTCCAGAGCTCAGAGCTCAACTACAAAGTCAGGTCAGCCCCTGGTTTCGCAAATTCTCATTTCTTAACCGTCGCCTCCCTGTTTCTTGCAGTGTTGCCTTGGCAGAGCAGGCCATACCACTGACACGTCTGATTCCTTACCCTAACTCACCTTTTTCAGCTTTATCACCCCCTCCTGTGTTTCATAGTCCGTTGTGATTTCAAACGATTCCATACCATCTCCATCAACAATATTGTATGTGACTAAGCCATTTTCTCCAATGTCTGGATCTTTAGCTTTCACTCTTCCTACTTCCTCCCCAGGGACGGCTGCTTCTGACACAGACATCTGGTATACGCCTAGAAGAAGAAGACATCTATTTTTATTTTCTCTTTTATTTGGCAGCTGTAAGACTATAGATTTCATTGAATCCCAATAAATTTCTCAAAGGATTTGAAATTGAACTTTCTATTGACTGAAAACATGAAAGAAGTGAGTGGATGTGGGGAGGAGGATCCCACATGGCCTGCTTGTCAAAAGAATGTGTTCTACGAAGGGTGATAAAACAATATCTGGGTCCAGGTGAAATGCTGGGGTCACCTGCCACATGTAAGGGAGAAAAACAATGCTCTGTTACATTTCCCATCAGGTAATGATGGAGAACCATGCATGTCTTCATTTAGCAAAATAGCTGAAGCTTCTTTTCATGTCTTCAGGATGGTCCATGAGTTAACTCCAAGGCTCACTTATGGTATTGCGAAGAGCCCAGAAAAAAAAAATTCTCTGTTTAAAAGCCTTCCTTCAACAGCTCCATAGTTACTTTAAAAATGCAAACTTTAACATCCCTCCCTGTCTAACTCTATATTCGACACTCCCCTTATTTCACCTCCTTCGCAACTTGCCTGCTTCACAAGTTGGTCATGCGTTACCTTCTCCAGAAGGCTTTCCTGCAGTGTGACCCTCCTATATATTTATTTAATGTTTATTGGGAGCCTAATACTGTACATGGAGGTACTGTCCTAGTGCCAGGACACTGTTTTGTTTGCTTGTTTTGTTTACTACTAAACAAAACAGTCAAGATTCCTCTCTTAATGAGGCCGACTAAAGAGAAAAAATAAAAACAAATGTAAACACACTCTGATGTCACTGCAATGAAAAAGGAAAATAAAGTAGGGTAAAAGGGTGAGGGTTCTGAGAGTGGGTGTGTGGTTGTGGGTGTGTAAGTGCATGATTGTGTGTGAGGGTGAGGGGGTAAATGTGTGAGTGGCCATGAGTGATTGTGTGGGCATGAATCTGTTGTGTAAGAGTGTGAGTGTGTGTATGAATGTGAGCTATTTGTGAGTGAGTTTGTGTATGTGTATGAGTGTGATTGAACACGCATGCTTGTGTTAATAATGTGTGGGTGATAAGCAGAAAGAGGGAGAGATTGGTTTTGCGTAGTGTGGTAGGAGAAGACATTCTTTAGAAAAAGGAATCTAAAATGACTGAGGAAGACAATGACGTGCATATCTGCAGGATAAAAACTACCAGCCAGGTGATTAGCAAATGGCAAAAACCCTAAGGTGAGAAGATCCTGAATACTTGCAGAGGAGCAAGAGGAGGAGAGTGACTACAGCCTTCTGGTGAGAGAGAAGGGCTGTAAGGAAGTGGAGGCCAAATTGCGTAAAATAGACCATTGTGGGGAATGGAAAAGACTTCAGGTTTTGTTTAAACTTGGGGAAATCACTGGAAGGTTTGCACTAAGTAGCTAAGATTCAACATTATCTTATTTGCTTTTCACATTTAATACTCTGTGCAACACACAATATAGGGAAGCCAGGGTTGAAAATCTTTCCTCTATCATTTCCAAGCAAAGTGGTCTTGGGCAAGTTACTTCAGCTCATTATGTTTTAATTTCCCCTTACAGAGATTTCATCAGTTCTAATACTTTGTCTATATTTATCAATAGTATTTTGCTTTGCAACTTTCTTTTGGATTCATAATCTATTTAATCTCACCATGCCCTCTATATTAAAGGATGAGTGGGAAGTGGGAGTCCCTTGTAGATAATTACCAATTAATGTGAAGGTTTAAAAAAAAATGTCCTATGTGGATTTTGTCCAAATCTCATTCAAGTTCACGGCAGTGAAACCAGTAAAACCAGTACAGTAGCAATGTAACTTTACTATATGATTGTCTATGACCAAGGGCAGTAAAGGCTGCCTGCTAATAATTCTGCTTGACCTTTCTTTTCCAGCTCACCAGACAATCGTACAGTGTGGATAATGGAGCATGCAGCTCTTTGAATGTTATATGAGCCTCAGGCTTATTGAGGATGCTGAACTTGTGCCCGGCCAGGCAAAAGAGTCTTGTGTAGATTCTTGCTTTTGAATTCCTTTGAGTAACCACAGTGCCTTCCTGGGGCCACATTTAGTAGCCTTCCTTGTTATCTCATTTGCAAAATGTTCCATTTCTCTGATAGTAAGCTCACAGGCTCTAACTGAAAAAGACACTTTCATGATGAACCCCCCCATGCATTAGCAGCACCAGCAGCACCACAGTCATACTGTCCATTCATACACATCTGTACATACATAGACAGACTTGTGTTCAAACTCTGACTTTGCCACATTTCTAGGGCAACTTATGCACTTTTTACGGAAACCAGTTTTATCTGTAAAATGTAGGCTCCTGCAGAGATTTACAATAGTAGTGACTATTCATTAAATGATGGTAGTTGCTATAATTACAATTATTAATAATAACCTTTCAAAATCATTGTTTTTCATTTAATTCCCTCTGCAATTTTATAAATTTTGTAGAACAGCCATAATCCCCCAGATAACAATGGCTAGAATTTGTTGACGACTTATAGACAGTTGTCATTATAAGATTTTACACTAGCTCCTTTAGTTCAAACAGTAATCCTATTAATTAGGTACTGTGGAAGACTGTATTTTCCAAAACATGGCCAAAACAATATCTCCCATCCCACATGCTTTTCCTTCAACATGACTTTGACAGGTCTTCCATTGAAAGGTGGGGTCTACATGAACTCCCCTTAGATTTGTGAGCCTTATGACTCCAGTGGAAACATTTGGTGGCTTATGACTCCAGTTTCCAGTGGAAACTTCTGAAGCTAGTTAACAAAAGGCAAGACAATTTCTGCCTGGTGCCCTTGGGGATCACACTTTCCAAAACCAGCCCACGCAGAAAGGAAGCAGCAATCAACACAAACTTGCCAGCCATGCAAGTAAGCTGGTTTGGAAGTGGATCCTCCAACCCCAGTGGAGCTATCCCCAGTTGTTGCTATGGAGAACAGAGGCATGCTGTCTCCTCCAAGCCTTGCCCAAATTCCAGACACATGATAAAAACAAATTATTGTTATTATTTTTATTGTTTTAAACCACTAAGTTTTCCAGCAATTTGTTACACAGTAATTGATAACTGATTCAGGGACTGTTATATCCAGGTTAGAAATGAGGACACTGAGGCAGAAAAGGGTTAATTAATTACTAGATTGCATCACTACTACCAAGCAAAATACTTAGCAAAAACGATATTTTGTTTCCAGGGTTGTAGAACTTTTTACATCTTTTCATTCTCCTACTACCTCTACTCCCCGACATTGTTGTTGTTGTTGTTGTCTTGTTTTTGTGTTTTGTTTTTGTAAGAATGATATGAATTGCCCTTAGTTTTCTAGATTTTCTTTTTGATACCTCAGTAAAGCAGGAATAGGTTAGAGGAGGGAGAGAGCTGGCTGTGTCACCATGGAAAAGTGAAAGCCAAGTCCACCTACTTACTCTGCGGAAACTTTGGTGGGTTGTCATTGACATCGGTCAGTGTGATCGTCACTTTGGTTGTCCCTGAGAGTCCGCCCATATGTCCACCCATGTCCTTGGCCTGGATCACCACGTGGTACTCCTCCTTGGCCTCCCTGTCCATGTTGGGTAGGGCTGTTCTGATGATACCTGGACAGGTAAGCAGGCAACATCACAGATATTCGTTTATAACATTATGACAACAAGAAAGTTCTGAGCACTGAGGAAGCAATGCTGAATAAAATATCCCATGCCCTCAGCAAGAATCATTTCAACATGGTAATTACAACCAAAGGCAGCCATACTGAAGCATCATTATGTCTTTTCAAGCAAATCATAAAAATTACTATACAGCATTTGTATTTATGTTTTGTTGTACATTCAAGTAATAACCCTATTCTTCTCAGATATAAACACCCTAAAGACTGAAATACTTGAGTGGTCATTGCATGAATATCCATGACTAAACTCATACTTTTTGACTTCCAGCACAATCTTCTGTAAGTCTATTGCTACATACAATTCATGGAAATGTTTTGATGGTGCATATTAAGTTTAAAGCAGGAGGTGCATATTTCATGCAATACATTAAAGTGTAAATATTAATTTTTAAAAGAGTGAACCAAATCGGTTAAAATATATACAATGCTCATATAAGCACATACTGTCTATTATCACCTGTCACGGAAAACAATGATAAATTAATAACTGAATTCTGCATGATTGCTGGATATTGGCACATGAGTGCCATGCTCACTTAAATCTTTAGGAGACCTTTGGAAGCTTTTTCTCTCTGTAGATATGGCAACAGTTATGTGAGGAATATAGAGAGCACTGTGGAAGACTTAGTCCTTATTGCTCTCTTACTTCTGATATTAAAGTTGAGTTTTTAGATTATAGTTGTTATTGGGTCATCGTGAAATATGGGAAAACCAACAATAAATGTTTCATGGTGTACTAACTGTGTGATAGGCACAGGCCAAGTATCTAATCCTCACACTAACCCTATAGGGTAGCCCTCTGTATTCCTTTTTCATATTTGAGAAAACAGAGTATTAAATAAGTTCTGGTCAGGCCTGGGACTTCTTATTCACCATGTGTCACAAATCACAGTGACATTCCACAGTACCTGTCTGTGCTTCCACCGAAAAATAGGGTTGTCCTTCGAGGATACTGTACACTAACTTGGCGCTATTTCCATAAGTGGGGTCATCTGCATCTGAAGCTGTCACCTGGATTACTGACGTTCCTTAAAAGTGAAATAAATTAATTAGCAACATCTCCTCAGATTTTCAAATTATGTTCTTGTTTACAAAGTTTTATTCTAAAATTAACCCTGAAGAAGGCACCACAATTATTCAACATTCTCTCATTTTCCTGGAGTTGAGATGCAAAATAACCAGCCAACCAACCTTCCTTCCTTCCTTCCTTCCTTCCTTCCTTCCTTCCTGCTCTATAAAAATGGCCACAGTTTAAAAATGAACTTTCTGTATTTATAGTACATCCTACATTGGTTGGTGATTAAAATAATATTATAAATATTATTGCAAAAATATCTTACAACTCATGCACTTGAAATGTTCAGTATATCAAATAATTACATTAAAATCTTCCCAGAGTATAATAAATGATAATTAACGATAAATTGCTTTCAGGAAAGGACAGAGTGCAATCTTCCATCTGTAGCAGAACAATAAATACATCATTTTATTGTTGCTTTGCATGTAATAAAATTGCTGCTAATTCTACAATTTAATTAATTTATGGCCATAAATACTGAGCAGAATGCTGTTCCCTACTGGCATGAAAATTGCATCTTCCCACCTGTAGCTGGTCTGGTAGCCATATAACAGAAATCACCAGTAAACATCTGGTGAGAGGTAAGGGAAGCATTCATGGGTCAGAACGAAGGGAAACCAGGAAATTGAAGAAAGATGGGGTTCTGCTTTTCCTAAAAACAACCTTTGTTCCTGGCTGGTCACAAATAGCAAGTATCTGGGGCATGGCATGTTGGGCTTCAGAGTGGGGAGAGAGGAGCTGGAAGAAGAAAACCAGTAATTATCGAATTTCTCTGTGCCAGCATGATCTGGGGGCACATTCCATGTATTTTGCCAGCATTCCTCTGCTGGGCATTTTTTACATCTACTGTATTAGTGAGAAATTGAACTTGAGATATATGAAGCTTTGTAATCTATTTCACAAAGTTGGTAATTGCCAAAGTCTAACCCCAATCCAGCACACAACAAAACTCAAGTTATTTCTGTAACATTTTCAGCAGAGGGGCAAGGTTCTATGTGGGAGGCAAGGGAGCCAGTTTACACAGCCTATCACTACCTTTAATTTATAGGATTGTCAGTGATTTTTGTGTGGTGTACATCTCACTTTTTTCTAGTTACTCTTCTATAATTCATTATTTCATAGAAACAATCTCTTTGGAGCTCTTCCCATTTGTCAGTCACTATTCTAGGCAGGATAGATTTATAAAGGAAAATACCATCATGGTGTGGCTAGGGAAATTATTAATTTTAAATGCTTAATTTCCTTCTAGAACTCTGCTACATCCTTTACAATGGTTTTGTATTTCACATCTATTTCATTTAACCTTCAACATAGTTTATATTATCCTCATTTTATAGATGGCAAAATAAAAACTTAGAAAGGTATAATAGGTTGCCTGGGTTCGTAAGGCTGATTAGGAGTACAGCCATGATTCATAGTACTGTCTGACAACAACGACTGTACTGTCATATGCCATAATACAATGTCTGAGTTCTCAAAATAATAAGAGCAATCCATGACAAAGCCACATCCAGCATCACACTGAATGAGCAAAAGCTGGAAGCATTCTCCTTCAGAGCAGGAATAAGACAAGGATGCCCACTCTCACCAGTCCTATTCAACATAGTACTGGAAGTCCTAATCAGAGCAATGAGGCAAGAGCAAGAAATAAAAGACATCGAAATAGGAAAAGAAGAAGTCAAATTATTTCTCTTCACTAATGATATGATTCTATACCTAGAAAACTCTAAAGACTCTGCCAAAAGGCTCTTAGAACTGATCAACAACTTCAGTGAAGCTTCAGAATACAAAATCAAGGTACAAAAGTCAACGGCATTTCTATACATCAATAACACTCAAGCTGAGGACCAAATCAAGAATACAGTGCGATTCACAAGGGCCACAAAACAATAAAATCCTAGGAATACATCTAACCAAGGAGGTAAATGATCTGTACAAGGAGAATTTCGAAACACTGCTGAAAGAAATCATAGATGACACAAACAAATGGAATATTGATCCTTTCAATGATATTGATTCTTTCAACCCATGAGCATAGAATGTTTTCCCATTTGATATCATTAAAATGGCTACACTGCCCAAAGCAATCTACTGATTCAATGCTATTTCTATCAAACTAGCAACATCATTTTTTCACAGAATTAGAAAAAAAAACTGTTCTAAGACTCATATGGAACCAAAAAAGAGCCCGAATAGTCAAAGCAATCCTAAGCAAAAAGAAAAAAGTTGGAGGAGTCACCTTACCCAACTTCAAGCTATACTACAAGGCTACAGTAACCAAAATAGCATGTTGCTGGTGCAAAAACAGACACATAGACCAGTGGAACAGAATAGAGAACCCAGAAATAAAGCCACACACCTACAGCCATCTGATCATCAACAAAGTTGACAAAATTAAGCAATGAGGAAAGTACTCCTTAATCAATAAATAATGCTGGGATAGCTGGCTAGCCTCATGCAGAAGAGTGAAACTGGACCCCTACCTTTCCCCATATACAAAAATTAACTCAGGATGAATTAAAGATTTAAATGTAAGACCTCAAACTATAAATGCCCTAGAGAAAAAAACCCAGGAAACACCATTCTGGACATTGGCCTTGGGAGAGAATTTATGACTAGGTCCTCAAAAGAAATTGCAACAAAAATAAAAATTGACAAGCAGGACCTAATTACACTAAAGAGCTTCTGCACAACAAAGGGAAACTATAAACAGAGTAAAGAGACAACCTACAGAATGGGAGAAAATATTCACAAACTACACACCCAACAAAGGTCTAGTATCCAGAATCTATAAGGAATTTAAACAATTCAACAAGTAAAAAAACAATGTGGGCAAAAGTGGGCAAAAGACATGGATGGACACTTAGCAAAAGAAGATATGCAAATGGCTTACAAATATAAAAAAATTGGTCGTCATTAAACATCAGAGAAATGTAAATGAAACCCATAATGAGAAACCATCTCCCACTAGTTAGAATAGCTATGATTAAAAAGTCAAAAAATAACATGCTGGTGAGGATGTGGAGAAAAGGGAACACATATACACTGCTGGTTGGAATGTACATTAGGTCACTCTGAAAAGCAATTTGGAGAAGTCTCAAAAAAAACAGAATTACAATTCAAGGCTGGGCACGGTGGCTTATGCCTGTAATCCTAGCACTTTGGGAGGACGAGGTGAGCAGATCACCTGAGGTCTGGAGTTCCAGATCAGCCTGGCCAACATGGCAAAACCCCTGTGTACTAAAAATACAAAAAAATTAGCCAGTGTGGTGGCAGGCGCCTGTAATCCCAGCTACTCAGGAGGCTGAGGCAGGAGAATCGTTTGAACCCAGGAGGCAGAGATTGCAGTGAGCCGAGATCGTGCCACTGCACTGCAGCCTGGGCAACAGAGCGAGACTCTGTCTCAGAAAAAAAAAAAAAAAAGTATTACAATTCAACCCAGCAATCCCATTACTCTTTATAGACCCAAAGGAAAATAAATCGTTCTACAAGAAAAACGCCTGCACTTGTATATTTATTGCAGCACTATTCACAATAGCGAAGACATGGAGTCAACCAAGGTGCCCATCAACAGTGGATTGGATAAAGAATATGTGGTGTATATGTACCATGGAATACTATGCATGGTGGCATGAATAATATCATGCCTTTGCATCAACACGGATGCAGCTGGAGGCCATTATCCTGAGCAAATTGACACAGGAACAGAAAACCAAATACCACATGCTTTCATTTATAACTGGAGGTATAAATGAACCCAATGTTTACCCAGTGGGAATAATAAACACAGGATTACTAGAGTGGAGCCAGAGGACAAGTGCCGAAATCTGTTGGTTACTCTGTTCACTACCTGAGTGATGGGGTCATTCATACCACAAACCTCAGTGTTACACAGTATATTCATGTATATTCACTCAATAAACCTGCACATGGGCCGGGCACGGTGGCTCACGTCTGTAATCTCAGCACTTTGGGAGGCTGAGGTGGGTGGATCACTTGAGGTCAGGAGTTCAAGACCAGCCTGAACAACATGTGAAACCCCGTCCGTAATAAAAATACAAAGAAATTAGCCGGGCGTGGTGGCGCGCTCCTGTAATCCCAGTTACTCAGAAGGCTGAGGCAGGAGAATTGCTTGAAGCCGGGAGACAGAGGTTGTAGTGAGCCAAGATGGCATTACGGCACTCCAGCCTGAGTAACAGAGGGAGACTCTGTCTCAAAATAAATAAATAAATAAATAAATAAATAAATAAATAAACAAACCTGCACATGTACCCCCTGAATCTAAAATAAAAGTTGAAACTAAAAAAAAAAAAAAAGCCTGAATTTTATCCCTAAACATCAATGAGCCCGCAAAGGTGAGAATAATGAAAATTTTCCTGGATTATATATTTTGATGATTTGCCTTTCCACCCCATCCCCACCCTTGACACTCAGTTGCTGACACTGCTGTTTCCTCTGTATGGATTTATTTGATATTTGTTGTTTCTCATTATAATACACAGGCTAAACACCAAGAGGCTGAAGGACTGGGCAGGGAAAATGGAAGAGACAAAGGTGGGAAATGGTTCAGGCTGGCTTTTGATAAGTACTTGACTTTTCCTGGTGGAGAAGGAATATACCATTTTCTGGCATAAAAAGCTCTGTATGCACAGTGGAAGGATCTTAGCGTTCTAGAGTCAAACCTATCTTTCTTAAGTAGGTTGATTCCTATACTTGCTGGATTTTCTCATCTGTAAAATGTTCCTGAATTCATTTGAGCTCTAAAACTCTTTTAAGCAGACTCACTCCCTGATTAGAACAGTTCTACTCACTGTTTGAAAGACAAACCTTTCTTAATATGAGGAATGTTTCTCAAAAGAAACATTATGCAAATGTTTCATTATGTGCATGTTATAAAGAAGGCTATTGCCAGAAGGTGGCTAATTCTTTGAATAAATCCTTTAAAAAATTATCCTTTAGCAACTTAATGTGTCTTCAAGCATGTTGAAAAGATATACGTACTTCTGAACATAGTGACATAGTGCTGTGGTTAAATGTGCATTTTAGATCCATTTAATAGCTCAAATGTCCCTACAGAAATTAGTTAGCTTGTTTCTGGCATGGGTTTCCTATCTGTGAAATACGGTGAGTTGGAATTACCTCATTGTAAAGATTAATCATTGCAAAAGCTAAATAAAATAGTGCATGTAAGTCATTAATTAGCACAATGTCTACAGGCAACAGATATTACCAGTGTCATTACCTATTAGACATCAATACGCACTAGCGACTGGATGTATATTATCTCTATTCCTACAAGACTAGAAATTGTTATTCCCATTTTACAGAGGAACAAAAGAATTTTTGTTCCTTTTGTTATTTTGCCATAAAAGATAAAGAAGAAGCTCTACTTCCTGATTTGGGAGAACGGGCTTCAGCCCACCCACCACAGAGACACCAGGCCTGGAAGCAGAGCAGGCCTCCCACACCGTACGCACCCACATTGGACCTCTCAGGCACGTTGGCATGATAGGTCTCGTGCAGGAACTCCGGAGGGTTGTCATTAATGTCCTGGACCTTGACAATGAATTCCGACGGTGGCTCCAGTGGCCGATTGGTGTCCCTGTCCACCGCCTGAGCCATCAACGTGTACTGGGCTCTCTCTTCTCGATCCAACGTCTTGGTGGCATGAATGTTCCCTGATTTGTCATCAATCACAAAAATGGTTCCAGCTCCTTCCCCTGAGAGAATGTATTTAATGTTCCCATCACCAGAGTCAATATCTGAATGAAGCTGGAAGAAAGAGAAATTGAGATTTTTAATTCCATGAGGAAAGCAGTGGGGAAACTCACTTACAAGTGATTGCAACAATCTGCTGCGCACACACACACGTCATGAAAGGGAGATGTTCTCATCTCCATTTTACAACAGGAGAAAGGCAATCTTAGAGAATATCATAGCCTTGGCCAAGGTCACACTGCAGAACAGTGAAGCCAGAGTTCAAATATATATATTTTTAATTCTAAGATTCATGCTCTCCTTTCACCTCTCTCCATATATATGCGCATATGCAAAATATAAAAACCTAAACGTATCTGTCAATAGTTTGAAATAAATGTATGTTTATTTTTAAAAATATATAAGCAAACATTCATGCAATAAGTAAGTCTTCCTCTCAGCTCTGACTCCCATTCCTTCATTTTCTCCTCTGTTCAGAGACAATCACTGTAACCAGTTTCTTGTGAATCCTATAAGAGATATTCTATTCTATGCATATGCAAGGAAATCTACACAGATACATATGTACCCTAGTTTATTGTTATACAATAAAGTTCCAGAGTACACACATCATTCTTCACTTCATCCTTTTCCTCTAACAATAAATTCAGGTGACTATTCCACATTTATAACTATAGATCTTCCTCATCTACTGTATGGAGGTTATTATTTTTTAAAAAATTTTTTGTTTTGGGTTTTTCTTTTTTTTTGAGGTGGAGTCTCACTCTGTTGCCCAGGCTGGAGCGCAATGGCATGATCTCGGCTCACTGCAGCCTCTGCCTCCCATGTTCAAGCGATTTCTCCTAAATCAGCCTCCCAAGTAGCTGGGATTACAGGCACATGCTACCATACCCAGCTCATTTTTGTATTTTTAGTAGAGACAGGGTTTTACCATGTTTCCCAGGCTGGTCTCGAACCCCTGACCTCAAGTGATCTGCCTGCCTTGGCCTCCCAAAGTGCTGGGATTACACACATGAGCCACCATGCCTGGCCAATGTTTTTGTTTGTTTGTTGTTCGTTTTAGCAGTCCTTTCTAAAGAACACTTAGCTTGTTTCCTGGCTTTTGTTACTACAAACAATTCAACTTATCAGACCTTTCCAGAAGACCTGCTTTGCGGTACACAGGGTATGAGGATCTGGGGATGTGGCCTGCCTGGAAGAAGTGTCCATTCTAATGCTAAAGGTAGGTAGGACTAGTGGCATGGGTTGATATGTATACAATTTCTTAGGTGTCAGAAAGAATCTTAAACATCCCCAAGTTTTTCTTCTTTGACAGAGCTTAGAGATAAGATGATATTTGCCTAAATTCACACTTGTCAGGTCCAAGAAATCAACTAGGTCTCTTAACTACCAATCATCTTCTGTTCTGCCCTCACTCTGCTCTGTGTTTTCAAACATGAAAGTCTCCCAAAAATCACATCTGGTTTTCCTGTAGCAAAAAACTCCTCACCCCGCCTTGTTGTTCAATCTCAATTTCTGCAGCTGTCTTTTAATCCGAGTTCCTTGGTCCTCATTCTGCCCTTTGTGGGAAAAAGTAAGCATTATTTTTACTGTTCTAGTGGGCTTCAAGAGCAGTCAAGTAGAGAAAAAGACCTTGGTTCTACCTACTAAATAAGAAAACCCTTTGTAAACTAGAGAGCTTTATTCAAATGACATTTAAAATAATAAAAAGAGGCCAGGCACATTGGCTCATGCCTGTAATCTCAGCACTTTGGGACGCTGAGGCAGGCAGATCACTTGAGGTCGGGGGTTCGAGACCAGCCTGGCCAACATGCTGGCCAAGATGCTGAAACCTCATCTCTAGAAGAAATACAAAAATTAACCAGGCATGATAGCTTGCACCTGTAATCCCAGCTACTTGGGAGGCCGAGGCAGGAGAATCGCTTGAAACCAGGAGGTGGAGGTTGCAGCGAGCTGAGATCTTACCACTGTACTCCAGCCTGGCAGACAGAGTGAGACTTTGTCTCAAAAATAAATAAATTAATTAATTAAATAAAATAATAAAAACTATGATTATTATCAATGCCATTTAATATTAACAATATTAATAGTATTATTTATTACTAATGCCATTTTCATATTTTTGTTAAAATTGGTATTTATTATTTTGATTTAAATTATTATTATGAGACTAAGGCCTAGAGACCTTAACTCATGATTATTATTATGAGACTAAGGCCTAGAGACCTTGCTTATAAAGCAAGGTTGAATACATAGATTTTAAAAAATTTTGTATTGTTTCAATATCCCCAAAGATATCTAATTGATTTGCAGCGCTTCAGTGAAACCCCAATTATTTCAGCTCGGGGGTTACCTGTAGGTATGAATTACAAAGACCATTTTGTTTTCAGTCCTCTTTGTTTCTAGGGGGAAAAAATAAACAGACTTTTCTTCAGCATTTGTTATTCATAACAATGTGTTGTCGTGAAATTATGGCTAACACATTTCTGATGAATAAGTCCATTTGACAGTAAAATACAAAGCTGTTTGATGGCCTATGACGGATGAACAGAATTGCCCCAATCTTCATTCAGCCAAGTTTCCTTAATGAAGGCAAAATTTCTGCCCCACACCGCCATCTTAGGGGAGGCTTACCTTTGTTCTTCTATTTACCCTGCTGCACACCTGGCAGAAGTTAAGGGCAAGGACATACGAATGAGGAACAAGAAAGTATAAATAAAATGCTGACTTTAATGGGAATGCCCAGACATTGAATCTTTCTAGAGGCCTTCATATATTACATGTGAATTTGGCAAGTTTCTTGAAAATTAAATGGATCTATTTCATGATCAGCCAAATAACTAAAAATTTAACAAAACATTTCCTATTATTTTTCTACTTTGTTTTCAGGTTGGAAAGTAGGACATAACTTCCCTTTTTTGTGTCTAACAAAGATGATTTATACAACTGACATGGATACTTACTAGGCTCCACACACACACAGACACACACACACATTAAAAAAAAAAACAAAAACCCAGTTTCAGAAACCATTCAGTGCTATCAAGGGATCCAGTTGCTGAGGCATACGCAGCCAATTCCTAACTCCAAAGATGAATGGCTTCCCTCTCTGCATAGCACAGCATGACACAGGCTGTATTTCCACAAGAAATCTGAAAGTCCATGGTTTACCAAATTTCACTTTTTCAGGGCATCTTAAGCACTCAACCTTGAATGTCATCAAATCAAAGGTTGTTAGGAAATAAACCATCTATTCCATCCCTCCTATTTCCAGGGAACTGTCTCAGCACATTTCAAAAGAAAGATTCACAGGACCAACCACTTTATTTATTTTTCCCCTATCCAACCGGACATCAGATTCATTCTCATGTACCTAGCTTTTGAAGGTCACACACCATGAATAATACTAGTTTTCCTTTCCCCTCTTTTTTTTCTATATTTTCTTCTAGTAGGCATGACAATTGCTTACTCCAGAGATGCTGAAATGACTCTCCAGATCCTGTTTCTTCTGCAACCCCCAATCTGAACACACACACTGCTTCCCATTGAGAAAGTCCCCAAAGCAGAAGGTTCTATTCATATCTCAGAATGATTCATGCACAGCCCTTCACAACATTTAAGCTCCACATCCCTTGTCATGGCTGAAATCTCTTTTTCCTCTCTGGCACACAGCCCATCTCCTCTACTTAGGGAATTCCATATGCCAATTATTTCCATTTCCATTTCTCACGTCAACTTCCACATATTTCCATTTGGGATATAAATGAATGAAATTCCTTTGGTACATCTCTTCAAGAAGAAATTTTTCCAAACTTACACAATGTCATTGAGATTCTAACATTAATCTCCTTCAAGTATGTCAATTATGTGAACATGAAGTGCTGTTCTCATGTAAAAGAACAATTAAGATAACTTCGTAGAAATCAGTAGGGTTCAGAAACCCCTCAAACCTATTCTCTTTCCCCTTTACCTTCCACTGGATAATTCCTGTTCATCTTTTAGGTTACAGGTTATTCCCATGTTGTCCTTGAAACCTTCCTTTGACATCCCTCCCAAATATTACCATGTAAATTCATAATCATTTACATTGAATGTCCTCATTATTCTATTATTCATTTTCTTTTTTTCTTTTTTTTTTTTTAATTGCTTAGGTAACTGTCTCTTTTCCACTAGACCTCTTTGAGGTTAGGAGCTATCTTAATCTAGTTTACATTTTGCCTAGCACGGCAGCTGCTCCACATGATAGGATTTCAGTTCTTATGTATCTAAGGATCTATCTTTGTTTTTTTTTTTTTTGAGATGGAGGCCTTTGTCTCATAATAATAATTTAAACTTAAATAATAAAAATACTTTAACAAAAATGAGAAAATGGCATTAGTAATAAATAATACTATTAATATTGTTAATATTAACTGGCATTGTTAATAATCATCTTTTTTATTATTTATTTATTTATTTATTCATTCATTTTTTGAGACAGAGTCTCACTCTGTCTCCCAGGCTGGAGTACAGTGGCACATCTTGGCTTACTGCAACAACTCCTTCCCATGTTCAAGCGATTCCCCTGCCTCAGCCTCTGGAGTAGTTGGGATTACAGGCACTCACCACCACGCCTGGCTAATATTTGTGTTGTTAGTAGAGACGGGGTTTCACCATACTGGGCAGGCTGGTCTTGAACTCCTGACATCCCGTGATTCACCTGCCTCAGCCTCCCAGAGAACTAGGATTACAGGTGTGAGCCACTGTGCTGGCCGCACATATCTTTTTGCAGTTTTAATGTCACTATCATCTGAAAGATAACTGTACATTTTACTCAAATGCTAGTGGGTAGGTAATTTTCCAAACTCTCTTGAATTTGTATTTTGGACCCTCTTTCTACACTTGCACTTTTCTGGAAGGGATACACAGAGACCACAGAGCCTGGAATGGGAAGTCATCTCACTGGGTTTTACCATGCCTGTGGAAACAGGGATAAAACCACACCCAAGCTTCTGGTACATATTCATTCAGCTCTTCAAAGCTGGGTCTAGCATCAGGACATAAGTACACAAGGATGACACTGCCCTTGACACAAAGTAGCTTGAAGTCTAGTGAAGTAGACAGATTAATAAGTAGATACACTGAATACAAAAAGCAAAGCTATGATAAAGGGTCCAAAGGAGGAGCATTCAAGTTGGGATTAGGGTGTGGTCAGGGAAATGCCTCCAGCTGGAAAATGGTTAAATAAATTATGGCTATGTGCATTTAATGGGCTATTATGCAGCCATTCAAAATGGAGTTTGAGCCTGGCGTAGTGGCTCAGGCCTGCAGTCCCAGCACTTTGGGAGGCTGATGAGGGAGGATCACTTAGGTCAGAGGTTTGAAGCCAACCTGGGCAACACAGCAAGACCTTTTCTCTAAAAAAATGAAATAAAATACAGATTAGCCAGGCATGGTGGCATGAACCTGTAGTCCCAGCTACTCAGGAGGCTAAAGCAGGAGGATCCCTTGAGCCCAGGAGTTTGAGATTACAGTGAGCTATGATCACACTACTGCATGCCAGTCTGGGCAACAGAGAGAGACCCCATATCTAAATAATATGGTAAATGAGTTTTATGATATAACTCCCTAAAACTAAATGGAAAAACCTAAGAAGTATTCTCAACATGGATAAGTCTATTATTTTTTTTAAAAGTCTGGAATAACATATTATGTACAATATTTGGGTGGTTTTACTGGCTCTTCAAGCCATTGGTGTTTTCTCTCTTAGATGCCTGTGGGCCTTTTGCTTCTTTCTGGCCACAGACGACTATTCCAATGGTGGGTTGGAAAGCTCAGGATTGAGGGAAGGCAGCCTTACCCTGCCCACAAGCACGGGGTCAGGCCCGGTGTACTCCTCTATCACGAAGAACTGGTTCCAGACCCAGCCACGCTTGGAGCGCTGTAGCACCTGCCCCTCCTTGCCCTTCTCATGGTGCCCATGGAAGGAGGGCCGCAGGTGCCCCCGCCGCTCTGGGGCAAAGGCATGGCTGTGGCACAGCATGCCCAGGCACACCAGGGCGGCTTGTAAACAGTAGTTCTCCTTCATTTTTGGTTACGTGGTAGGCACAGGAGAATGCAGCTGTCACCCCTTCCACCAACTGTACGGTGGTCTTGCTGAGGGTGGCCTCCCGGACGCGTCACGCAGACCTCTCTTGGGATGGAATGTCTCTGCTGGTTGAGCTCATCACGTCAGGGCTGCCCACGTCCCCAGTTAGCTTCTGCAAGCAGAGAGAGGTTGGATTAACTGCAGGCCAAATCCCCACTTCATTTCCATTCCTTTCAGTAAGCCTTCAGGACTGGGCATGAGTTTATCACGTGGGAGCTACGGGCTTTGGGGAAGCTCACTGACTGCTTTGAGCTCAGCTTGCTCATTTATGAAGTGGGGATAAGAGTGTACCCAGTACAAAGCTGTCACTGGGATTCACTGAGTAATGCATATAAGTCTCTTAGCACAATGCCTGGTACATAGTAAGCACTCCATATTTATCTGTTATAATTGATCAAAATTGTGCTTAGATATGATTTTGTAATAAGAAAACGGGGAATTAAAGGAGTCCAGATGAGGAACATATAATCCACACTGGGGTTCAGTTTAGGGAGAGGACAGATGGCTGGACTCAATCCTTTAGTGAGGTTGCTGTAATAAGAAAGGAGAGTGTGGGATTCCATGCAGAAGGAACATCACATCCAAAAGCACAGTGTGCTCCAAGATGTTCAGCATGCCTGGAGGTAGTAACGAAGAAGGCGGGCAGGCAATGGATCCTGTTAGGGAAGGGATGTAGGGGAAGATCCCAAGAAACCATTGATGGTTACTGAAATATTTACAGGAGAAATAATGGATTAAGGTCTCTTTGGTAAATCAGTTAAGGGTATAGTGTCAATTCAAGGAGGAAGATTTGCTTTTGTCTGGCAAAGATCCATCCACGAAGCCAAAGATCCTACCTTGCTTAGCCTGGAAGTCTCAGAAAGGATATTTTACAAGCTTTCACTAACTAGGAGAAGGAAAATAAAACAAAACAGTATATCCAACCAACCAGCCCAAGGTCATGTTCCCAGCACCCAGCCATGACTCAGCTACTCAACACCAGTGAGGATAAGCCAGTAATGCCTTTCACCTTTCTACACTCCTCACAGGTTTCTGAGCCACAGTCACTCTTGTCCTCTCTCCAGCACTCTGGTTCTTATTGCCAGTCCTTAACTTCTGCCTTGGGTTCTGGACTTCTTCATTGGACTTTCTCATGCTGAAAACTTATTCTTCTCTAAGGAATTCCCCTTGCTTGTTCTCCTCTCTTAGAACCATACATTTGTTTTCTGGAGAATCACCTTCTCTCTCTGGAGTGCCACCCAGACTCCAGAGAGAGAATCAGATGAGTTCACCACCAATGTGAGGGAATCTGAGAAAGTTCTTGTGCAGGAGGATGATACATTGATATTGAGGATAACATTCTGTTTCAGCACCTGGGTCTAAATGAAACTGGAAAACTTACTGAGCATTGTAGGAATCACTGTCATCACCTAATTTTTTGTTGTCTTCTTTGGGTGAAATGGTTCAGGGAAGAAGGGAGCAAGAAGGAAACAGCATGAATCTTGGCATAGTGGAAGGTACATAGACTTGGAGATCAGATGCATCTGGATCAGAATACCACTTCCATATTTTACAATCTGGGTTACTCTGGGCATGCCAATCAATCACTCTGAACCTCCATGTTTTCATGTGAATAATGAGGATGACAAGAATTGTTGCACCCATACAGGCCTGAACACAGAGTTGGGAACTGGACATGCAATAGGTTCCTTCTTCTTTTCCCAGAGTGTCACAACATAGGGGAAGATCTCAAGAAACCACTGATGGTTACTGAAATATTTACAGGAAAAATAATGGGTCAAGGTCTGATATGGTTTAGCTGTGTCCCCACCCAAATCTCATCTTGAATTCAACATGTGTTGTGGGAGGGACCCAGCGGGAGGCAATTGAATCATGGTTGCAGGTCTTTGCCATGCTGTTCTCATGATAGTAAATAAGTCTCAGGAGATCTGACAGGTTTATAAAGGGGAGTTTCCCTGCACAAGCTCTCTCTCTTTTCCTGCTGCCATCCACGTAAGATATGACTTGCTCCTCCTCGCCTTCAACTATAATTGTGAGGCTTCCCCAGCCATGTGGAACTCTAAGGGTACCCATGCCTTGAACATGGAGATGCCCCCAAGAGGGTGATGAGGTGCTTTCTCCAAGATGCGAATTGAGAACAAATAAGTTACTTGGGATACCATAGCCATCTGACCTCAGCAACCTAGAAAATAAAAGAATTGGTGAAATTATAATTTGTAGATACAGATCCATTCCATTTTGATGAACTTTGACTTTGCCATCCCAAGTCTTTCTGTTTCCTTTGTAATCTGGCAAAGTGGTATCTGGGAGGCCACAGATGTGCAGTTAAAGCCTGGTGACTGTCACTTTTCTCAATAACACTTTGGGATGGTATTATGTTAGTCTTTATTCAAGGAATAGGGGACTTGAAACTCTTAATATTGGTTGTAAACAGACACTTTGGGATATGTAAAAGGCTACGTGGGAGAGAGAGAAAGATGGAAAAGGCAGCGTCATCATTTAACAACTTCATCCTTACATTCAGGCACTTTAATAATACATCAGATGCTGTTTCTAGAAAGCCAAACCGACTGTTTGGAAAGAGCACAAAGAAGGCCCCAGAGGACGGGTTAGATGCTAAAATGAGGCTGTATGAAACAACAGAAAGATTTCTGAGCAGAAGTCATGAAACTCAAGATTTGGTGGAGAATCTGGCACTAATTTGCCATGGAACTTCATTGATTCTACTCGCAGAGGTTCTGTCTCACTCTGTAAACTGAAGCCTGTGTAAAATTTTCTTCAAGTGGCTTCATATTCATGATTAGAGTTTCAGTGAGCTAGTGAGGGGCATTTCTTCTGATTCATACCTTGTCTCCTTACTAGACTGGAAACTTCTGAATGGATGGGATTATATCTTATTCACATTTATATGTCTGACACCTGAACACAAAGCAGGCCGTCAATACAATTTTAATATATGATTTGAATCTCACATTTCAACTCTAAACTTGACATTGTCTCTGTGGAAACTCAAGAAGAAGAAAGAAAGAAAAAGAAAACAGCATATGGTGAGGCAAGATCCTTGCCCATCTTGCACCATGCCAAGTATTAAATGCTCATTCACAGAGTGATAAATTATTCTTGCATATAAGCCATGAAGTGTATTAGAAAGAAAGGGTTTAATTAAAGTTGATATTTCTTCACCTTTTTCTTCTGGCTGCCATTTTGCTGCAAAGCACAATTATTTCTAACACTAGAAGTGTTGAAACAAGATGACAACTTTTTTCTTTTATAAAAAATGTCTAGCTTAATACTAATGAATTTAAGAGTTTCCACATGATCAATAAACAATAACATTCAATCTGTTAAAAAGGTGAAATTATCTCTTTTCTTCTTTTGGAAAGAATACTGAATCAATTTGCTTTTAAGAGCAATGGTCCACCATTTTAAATGCTTATATGACTATATGTGATACAGAAAGTTATTTTAATGGTTAATCTTAGGTATGTATAAGACTGATTTTAAGACATAATTTAAAAAAAAGATTCACTTTCAGAATGAAAATTTATGTAGCAAGTTCTTTTCCTTAGCTACTGTTCTAAAAGCTTTACAAATAGTAACTCATCTATTAATTTCTATAACAACCTTATGAATAGGAGCCATGAATATTCTTCTCTTAAAGGATGAGGAAACTGAGTTCCAGACACATTAAACAACTTATGCAGACTTACGCTTCTAGTAAATACCAGACCTGAGATTTGAACCCATGGCTTCAGGCCCTAGAATCCATGTTCTTAACCAGTAAACAATCACAACTCTTGCCATTTGTTTGAGTTTGAAGTTCATAAGGAAATTATACGGACGTTGTGATAAAAAGCAGTTACCTAGAAGCCAGCTAAATGTGGGAAGTAAATTACTATTGGAACTCAGTGTATACTAATAACAGGACTAGAATGAAAATACTAATATAGTTAAAATTTACCGGGTGTTATCCGCCTAACATTCTTGGACATGTTTTCCATGAGTTGAGTCATCAAATCTTCACAAAAACCCTAAAACGTAGCATTATTGCTATTCCCATTTTACAGGCAAGTAGTCTGAGGCACATCAAAATTAAGTAATTTGTCCAAGGTTACAGAGCCAGCAAGTAAAGGACCTGGGATTGAACTCTGAATGTTTGGTTTGAGGACTTGTATTCCTACCCTCTACAATTTTACCTAAGAGAAGGCTGCAGGTCAAATTTAGGCACACTAATACAAATACACACAATAGCCTTAACATGATGATAATTTAAATTTTGGTAGCATGGAGAAGTAGACTATAATAAAAAAAAATTATCCAAACCAAAAAGAAAGAAAAAGCATTTTATATCAATGACCAAAGTGAAGATGAACAAGAGGTAATTACATCAGTCCATCAATAACCATCAATAACATAGTATAACCAGGTCTTTAAACAACATATGACACAAAATTTGATCTTTGGTTTTTATTTTAAATACCTGTTTCAGAATTTCTAAATGTGTAGGTTACAAAAGTGTATTCAGAGTTGTTTCAGTTTTTTGTTTTGTTTTGTTTTGTTTTATGAAATATTTCTAGAATTGAGAGAACTGATTGATGTATTCAGTGGTAGGGACTTAGTAGGAATCTCCCATGAAAATTAATAGGAGGCTGCCCTCCTAAGGAGACCTTGATGTTGGTAATAATTAGGGAAATATATCAATGTTCTAATTGGTTTTAATAAAGACCCCCAAGGTAGTTCTTGAACAATCCATTAAAACACTTTTTAGCAGTATGCCAGGATGCCTAAGCATTGGGATTCTACTAAAACATATAGGAGGACTTTATTTTATGATGGGAGCATATTGCTTGGAGGGAAAAATAAATGTTGTTGAAAGTCACAGCAGTAATAACATGACAGGAAAATAGATGTGCAAAGCCACCAGCTCGAAAGGGAAGGATCACCCCTCTATCTTGAGAGCAGATAGCCCGTCAGAAGCCACCGTGCCTTGAGCATAAAACTCTCTTGCTGTGCCTGCTTTTGTCTCCGTTAAAGAAAATGACATATACGGGTGTTTAAGTATATTTGGACTCCTGCTGGAAATTGTTATTGGGTGGAGAATGAAAGACGAAAGCGCTTAGCAGAAAGCAAGCAGATTTGGTTTTTCAGCTGTCCCCTCCCCACAGAGCTGGAAGGATCAGACAGGCTGACCTGTTTTTTCATTTCCAGGTAGCTAATTTATAGTTAGAGACAGGTTATTATTACATTAAGAATATTACCACGGCCCACACCAGAGCTCAAAACCCCATTCTGTATCTGCAAAGTCCCCTTGTTGGTGAGCTAAGGGGCTCTGGTATCCCTTTCAACAAACACAGCTTTGTAACCAATCCAATTCTATTATGCAAATTAATTCAAGCATATTTTATTCCCCGTTCAGATCTCATCACTCAGCACTGAGCTGGTCTCTCATTTCACATCAAATCACAGGAATTATGCCATGTCTGTGGAAATCACAGAGAATAGGGGAGAAGAAGTATTACAAGAATTATTGAGTCACACTTCTCAATAATTCTTCTCCCCTGATTTCTAGACTTGGAGCAAGGCATAAGCTTGGGGTAATCACTTCTTCTCAGGTGCAAAGTACACAGCAGAGACTGCAAAAAGGTTATGGTATATGCTGCTCCAATTTCTAATACCAAATTCAAATGTTAAAGTAGGCAGCAAATAAGGCCCCTTATCAAAGACCCCAGCGCTCTGCAAAGGTGAGTGGAAATTTTAAAACTGCTTCAGTGGAGATCTGAGTCTCTGCTTCTGGAGAAATAGAGAATGACAGAAGTTCTGCTTTGAAAGTGGAAAGATCATTCACTACCTATGTGTCAGGTTCAAATCCTGGTTCCATCACTCATGATTTACATTAAATTGTCATAAAAGTAGATACTATCCTTGGTCAGGTGCTTGATTTTTCTAGTGCTGGACAGTATGCTCAGGGCTTGGTACATATTATTTTATTGCATTTTCACCACAACTGCATATATATGTGTGACATATATATATATATGTGTTTATATATATATATATACACACACATATGTATATGTATATATATGTGTATATATATACACACATATGTATATGTATATATGTATATATATCATGTGTATATATGTATATATACACACACATATTTTTTATATATATATATATACATACACACACACACACACATATATCACTCAGACTTTATCTAGGAGGAAAGTGAGGCTTAGTGTCCTTATGTAACCCACCCAAGTACACCCTGAATCATTGACAATGTTGTAATTCTAATGCAAGTTTACAGGACTGCAGAAGCCAGGCTTGACTTTGGACTATTTTAACTGGCTATCAATGTCTGAAAGTCCAGGTCCCCAATCTTGAATACAAGAAGATTGCATGACCAACTCCAAGGATCATCTCAGCTTCAAAAATTGTATTTGTTATACAAAATAATCTTTGTTAGATGTGACTTCCACTTATTTTTTAAGTAAATACAATCAGACTTTACATTCTTAGGGTCTCATGGCCACAAAATATTACAGGAATCCAATGTAAGGCCCCAGACCTAAAACTTGTATAGTCATTCAGTGATTATTTATCTCTTTAAGTAACTAAATCATCTTCAAATGATAACATGATTAAGTACAATGTGTGCAATGAAGAACTTATTATTTGTACTCTATTCTGTCCTTAAGACAGCCTTTTTATTGGTGTAATATTTTTAAATGTTGATCATTAAGATGAATAACATATATCAACACATAAAGGAAATAACGCTATCTGCAGTGTCATCTCTGACTATGAATAAATACTCTATATGAATGTGTGGAAAGAGAAATAGATTTTATTTTCATTTGTTCTTTTGTATGAGCTAAGATACCTGAGGGAAGATTAGAGCAAAGTGGTGATGATAAACTGATGCTTAACATAATGTAATGTCATTTGTGGTATCAAAGGCCTGTATGTAAACCTCCCTTTGTCTCCAAGCAGTAAATATGCATCAAGCTTTTTTTATTTGTCTGTTCCTTCACTTGGTAATAACTTTTCAATGGCTCTAGGCCTAGGTTGAACTCTGAGGATACACAGGCATCAATATACCTCCAATATGTAGACTGTTCTCAAACAATACTGAGACTGTTGTCTAAGCAGATGAGTGATGGTATGATGTGTTCAGTACAGATAGGACTATGTACAAGAGCACAAAGGAATCAATGACTACACTTCTACAGACAAATTTGTAAAGTATCGGTCCTGTATTTCAATACTTGCCTAGTCAAACCTCTTGTAAATAAACTTCCATATCCACAACTTCCAATGCCTGGAGCTTCCATTCCCACTTTGGGCCATGGCTCATTAAACAACACCCAGTTCAGTGACAACTAAATCATAAACCAACCATTGATTGTTTCAGCCTAGTTCAAAACGAGGAGGTGGGTGAATCAGATTTCTTTGGGAACTTCAATGAAAGAAAACAAGAACCTTCTGCAGTGAGTGAGGGAACTAAAATAGGAAGGTTACAAGGCACTTGAGAAATGGAGTAGCTACCAAGTGACATCTCATGACTAATGTTTCAATGAAATCAAGGCTTAGAGCAAACCAGTCACAAATTAAAGAGAAACAAATGTGACCTCTGTCTCTGAGTCATTTAAATAGCAGAACACAAGGCATCTGAAGATCTTGGCAATTAAGGACTCTCTCAGCAGCTGTCTTCATGGAGCCCACCCTACTGATCTGTTCCTGAATTTCTGTGAGATCACTTGCAATGCTCTTGAATGACAGCAAGCTTCCTGTATGTAAACTCACTTGAGTGATTTCTTTTGTTATCAAAACAGCAAACCTAGTATCAAGAGGAAAAAAGTTTGGTGATTCTTCTAGTCAAAGCTAAAATAATGTAGCTGTATGAATCACTTGTTCAGATATAGACAATGCCTTCTTCTCTGAATTTCTAAGAAGACTGAGACAAGAAAAATAACTCTAGACCAAAAGTCAAGATTCTAGTGATCTAGCTTAGGTTCTGCTATTGAACCATAGTGCAAACTTAGAAAAAATAC
Source organism: Homo sapiens (assembly GCF_000001405.40). Lineage (NCBI taxonomy): Eukaryota > Metazoa > Chordata > Mammalia > Primates > Hominidae > Homo > Homo sapiens. The sequence goes on from NC_000016.10 coordinate 65,012,993, forward strand.
TTTTCCCTGTGTGTTGACTAAGTATCTCCTTCTATAAAATAGGAGGTTGGAAATAGCCTATAAATGGTCTCCCATGCATATCTGCAGGGGCTTGTGAGTCTGTGCTGAGAATAAGTGACTTTGCCTAGACGGATGTTTTCATCTCATTTTGAAGGTCTAGGTCCTAGCTGGCAGGGATGCTCTGTATACAACTTGAGGCCCCAGTGACCTACAGCATCATGGGAATCGTGCCTTCTGGGGCTAGACAATGCAGAGGCCCTGCTACTGTGACAGGTCTTTAGATTCCAGTATTAGGAATCAGGACTTTACTGGATGGACAATGGGAATCCACTCGGAATTTCTAGTCGGGGTTGACAGGAGCCGAGCTGTCAGAGGTGTGCAGGAGAAATGGAGGTAAGGAGTGTCAGCTCTTACAAAACAGTTAAGAGGATGGGCTCAGGAATCAGAAGGAGTTGGAAGGTTAGAGCTCAAGAGTTACAACTCACTACACTAGAGGTGGAAATCAGCCTCTGCAAGTCTCCACACTGCCCTGTTAAAAATGGGAAAAACCCAGCCGGGCGCAGTGGCTCACACCTGTAATCCAGCACTTTGGAAGGCTGAGGTGGGAAGATCACAGGGTCAGGAGTTTGAGACCAGACTGGCCAACATGGTGAAACCCAGTTTCTACTAAAAAAATATACAAAAATTAGCCTGGCATGGTGGCGTGTGCCTGTAATCCCAGCTACTCGGGAGGCTGAGGCAGAAGAATTGCTTGAACCCAGGAGGTGGAGGTTGCAGTGAGCTAAGATCGCACCACTGCACTTCAGCCTGGGCAACAGAGCAAGACTCCATCTCAAAAAAAAAAAGAAAGAAAAAGGGAAAAACCCTAGGACCAGTCTCAAAGGGAGAGTGCCAAGAGAAAAAGAGACAATGTGTGTACTTTGTACAGTACCTGTCATATGGTAATCATTCACAAAATATAAAGTCTATGAAGGCGGGGACCTTTTCTTTGCTGCTCACTGCTGTAACACAGAACATGGCCTGGTCCACAGCAGGTAATTAAGAAGATGAGTTAAGAGTTTTGTTTATTCAACAAGAATGCGTAAATACATATTTTAACCCCTGGATACCATGCTCTAATCCAATAAAGAATAAGCCTCACGAAGGGGCTCTAGGAGTCCACTGTCTATTAAGGAGAAACAAGAAACCAATAATACAATAGAGATTGCTAAATGCAATAATAGGTATATGTGAGGAGATGAGATAAAGTAGACCAGGGTCGTTCAATAGAAACATAATGTCAGTCACGTGTAATTTTAAATTTTCTAGAAGCCATATATTTAAAAGTTCAAAAAATCAGTGAACTTAATTTTTACAATGTATTTTATTTAACCCAGCATGCCCCAAAATCGTATCATTTTAACATGGAATCAATATATACATTCTCAAGATATTTTATATTTTTTTGTCCTAAGCCTTCAAAACCGAATGTACATTTTATATTTAAAGGACCTCTCTGTTGGGACTAGCCACATTGCAAGAGCTTACTGGCCACGTGGGGCTAGTGGCCACCATCTAGGCAGCACAGGCATAGGGGATTCTTAAAGTTTCTTGAGAGAGGAGGGTGTGTAGTCAAGGAAGACTTTCTGGAGGCATTGCAATAGTTCAGGTGAGAGGTAATATGGTTCCAAACCAGAAAAAATAAGGCTTGAGTTGAGAAAAAGGGGCCATTCTTGAAACGACGCAGATGTAGACGGTTTTAGGAACTGAAAAGATTAGGTTAGAGAATGAAGCAGCAGTGAGGGGAGAGTTTGAAGACAGTGGTGCTATTCCTGGCCTTAACAGGAGAAGAGGCTGTTTGAGGAATAAAGAGCATTTGGTTTAAAACAATTTTTTTTTTTGAGATGGAGTTTCGCTCTTTTTGGCCAGGCTGGAGTGCAATGGCACGATCTCAGCTCACAGCAACCTCCACCTCCTGGGTTCAAGTGATTCTCCTGCCTCAGCCTCCTGAGATTACAGGCATAGGCCACCATGCCTGGCTAATTTATTATTATTATTATTATTATTATTATTATTATTATTGAGAGACTGGGTTTCTCCATGTTGGTCAGGCTGCTCTCGAACTCTTAGCCTCAGGTCATCCACCCGCCTCGGCCTCCCAGAGTGCTTGGATTACAACTGTGAGCCACTGCGCCTGGCCTAAAACATTTTAAGCTTTCAGAAACAGTGGAAAGATGTACAGGGGAAAAGTTCAGAGTAGAATTAGCTACCAATGTTCTTGCAAGAGTAAGTAATATCAATTCTACCATTTCTTTTCAAGTTTGGAGATTTTGCTGTATTATTAAATTCTAGAATCTCAGAGTTGAATGACACTCTAGAGACATTGAGCTATTAGTCCTTTAATTCAATAGACCAATGGGAAAACTGAGATACAGAGATGATAACTAACTTATTCAAAATAAAATAAAGAGTGAAAAAAAAAACAAAACCCAGAACCTAAACTCTTCATTTTATAGAGAAAAAGCAGAGAGGGCAGGGGAAGCATCAAGAGGAAAAAGATAATTTTTGTAGCATCTACCTTGCCCTCTCTTCCCTGATTTAAAAACAGTCCCCCCTTTAAACTATTTCTATGGAAACAACCAGTCCAGGTTCTATAAGGGGGAAAAATAAAGCACTCATAAGTAATGACCTGAGAGAGCTCTTTAAAGATTTGCAGTGGAGAACTGAACTAAGAATAACAATCTGCATATTCTCCCTGGAATCTAATGTCCTGCAGAGAACCACTCCCCATAGTCTGTTTTGTAAGGTATAAACAATGAGAGGAGGAATTGTCCCTAGGTGGCCTTAATAACAGACAAGGGCTTGATGTGGTCTTTTGAAATAATTGCTAAAGCCAGGGAAGAGTGCCTTAAATCACCACTGCCAAGAGCCTTTAGAATTCTGAGAAATCCATCCTGTGCCCATAATCCACCAGGGTCCCCATGTATCCATCCAGCTTAATCAGAGTATGTGGATGGAAGCCACTGAACATGCAGAAAGTCAAGCTGCTTCCAATGATCAGAAACTTGACTTTCACCAGCATGTGGGTGGGCTGTTCTGAAGGACTTCTTTCTAATGTACCTCACCAAACCACTCCATCACACTAAGATTAGACTAAACTCTGCCACATTTTTAAATGGCTTTTTCGTATATCTATATATACCACAGAGTGTTCCCACCCCTCTTCATTTTAAGAAAGCAGACATCAACAATAGCCTCATAATGATCTCATTGTTGTTTCAAATAATCCAATCTTTGAAACCTATTTCTTTCTTTTCAGATGTATTAGTGTCGTTTATCAAAAGTAATGGGATTTTTTTTTAAGTTAAGGGTAAAAGAAAAGTAATGGGATACAGCAAACTAGTCAAGTGCTTAGTACAAACGCAGAGCATTTTCTGAAGCATATGTGGAACACTTCTTAGACAGGCAGGACTTTCAAAGGCAATATTAAGTGTCTTTTGTGGGTCTCAGATAATATAGCTCACTTAATTAGATTTTCCATAATTCCAGGTAATCCTATTGTGAAATTACAGATGTGAATTTTGACTTGCCTGACAGAAATATCTATTGCTCCAAATGCATTTCTGGAAAAAGAATTCTTTATTTTTAAATCATTACCAGAATTTTCACAGGGCAAAACCCAAAAATGGGGTTCAGCCTGGGAGGCCACATGGGTTCTTGGCTTCACACAGGAAGGAATTCAAGAGCAATCCCAGACAGTAAAGTGAAAGTAAGCTTATTAAGAAGTAAATGAATCAAACAGTGGCTACTCCATAGACAGAGTAGCAGCATGGGCTGCTTGACTAAGTACACAAATGGTTATTTCTTGATTATATGCTAAACAAAGGGGGTATCATTCATAAGTTTTCCAGGAAAGGGCTAAGGAGTTCCCAGAACTGAGGGTTATTCCCCTTTATAGACCATATAGGGTAGCTTCCAGATGTTCCCATGGCATTTGTAAACTGTTGTGGCACTGCTGGGAGTGTCTTTAAGCAGAGGAATGCATTATAATTAGCAAATAATGAGCAATGAGGATGATCAGAGGTCTCTTTCATTGCCATCTTGGTTTTGGTGGACTTTGGCCAGCTTCTTTACTGCCTCTCCCTTTATCAGTAGGGTCTTTGTGATCTGTATCTTGTGAAATCAGTCCTGCTAACCTCCTATCTCATCCTGTAGTGAAGAATGCCTAACCTCCTGGCAATGCAGCCTACCATATCTCATTCTCATTTTACCTAGCCCCTACTCAAGATGGAGTCACTCTGGTTTGAATGCCTCTGACATATTTCCTCCATCCTTTTTGCAAGGGAACGCTTGCAACCTAGGGTTTGTAGAGGGATGAAGATCCATCTTTCATAACTTCTTCAGGCTGAATAGAAGCAATGATATTCCTGCCTAACTATTAGGGTCTCTTTTATTCAGAGTAGAGAGTAGCTCAGTCAGTGTCAGTATGGTGAGGGCCACTCATAACTGAATCTTGTAAAAAATGGAAATCTGAAAGATTAACAAGTGCTCAATATAAGAAAATGTTGAGTAAGTGTACCCTGTATTCCTACACAATGAGGACGACAGCAGTATTTTCCACAACAGTAAAGCAAAATAAAATTATCCCAAGTAAACTAAATAAGAAGGCTTTCCATGAACTGGACACTTGTTAGAACTAAGTTAATATGGAGTAGTCAGTTGATTCCAATATGTGCCCAGAATTAGAATACTCAACTAGATCTGTATGTTACCTATTCTTCTTGTTTCTTCTGATCAGCAGCCAGAGATCACTAGTTGGTTCACAAAAATAAGCAGTCAATCTAAATTGCAGAAAAAATCTCCAAAACAATAGACCAGACCAGAAGCTAATTACAGATGTACTATAGTTTTTGAAACAATTTTTCTCTCTGGTCCCCATTTTTATTAAAAACAAATCATGGTAGAACTGATTTGCTTGCAAAATAAGTTTTAGCCTTACTATACTTGGCCTGATTTTCTATATAAAGTGCAGAAAGAATAATTATTTGCCATATAGGCCCATTTTTAAAATTGGCTTTGATGGAACTTTGTTCAGTAAGGAATCTTAGATTAGACTTTTTAAAGCCTTAAGCTCAGTCATGAATTTATCTGTGCCTGCAAGTACTTGAATGAGTTTGGTGACTCCTTCTCCACTCAAGAACCCAAGATAACTTGGGGCTTCTGGTCCTGTCAGAAAGTGACAATCTTTACTTTCCACAGGTTAGGAACCCTGTGCAGGGACTCCATAGAGAAGGTATGAGGCCAATTTTCCCAAGTGGCTTTTATTGGCTCTATAAGTCAACTTTGATTCCTTAAAGCAGTCTGTTTGAATCTGAAAGCACATCATTTTAGTCAAAGCCTTGGAAAAATAAAGAGTTTCTTCAATTTTGTCTGGTTACAAAAAAATTTTAAAAAAAACAGACTCTCACTGCACTTATGGAAATAACTATATTGCCATAAGGTAAGAATACTCACATAGTTTCCAAATTCTGAAGAAATAGGGGAGAGAGAAAGAAACGTGCTCCAAATTTTGCTCACAGTAGTATACTTTTCTCAATTGCTAGAAGCTGTAAATAACTCAAAAGAAAAACATTTTATTGACTCTGAAATAAAAAACAGAAAGGATCAGCAATGTTTTAAGCAAAAAGTCATAAAGAGATTACTTCAGCCTTTTATTAGTTCAGTCTATGCAATTAATTCCTGTTTTGCTCAATATTTATGAACACAGTTTTCCAAGAGTGCTTTGGCAGTATGTTTCCTCTCTATTTTAATGGTACACTTTCCCAAATTATCAGAGACGTGCATTTAAAACTACTCATCAAAATCCTGTATCTGACTATAAACCATCTTTTGAAGAGGATGAAAGCAACACACCATTGTCTGTGGAGGACAAAAAGTCTTACAGCAGCCGCAGTCAAAGATGCAATTGACAAGGAAATCCAGTTACCTCTGTGGTACACAGCAATTTAACATAACAGTTATGGGTATTATTGTTCACATTCACTAATTCATGTCAAAATTATAGGAGTTTCACATAATTTGGAAACACATACAGATAACACATTTATACAAATAAAACCCAAAGAAAGCCAAACACCATTTTATATTTGACAATGTTTCCTCTATGATTTTAATATACCAAGAACCCAAATATGTCATTTTTGGACTTTAGGAGACTTAGTATTTAAAAAGATTAATAGGATAAGAAAACAATTTACAATTTGATTTTGGCAAGTTTGTCAAATATCAAAGGTGTGAAACATTTGAGAATTTAAGACAGAACTCCAGGTTGCCATAAATCATTTATTTATCTAAAACAATAACTCAAAATTTCAAAAATGCAATAACTTATTCATTGATAAAGTGGAGACTTAATTTTCCAAACAATCTGTCTCCTTTCTCTCCTTTCTTTTCCCATTGTTTATTCAAAAGACAAACATAAGTCTCTTATTATCTTTTAATATTACATGAAAATCTTGTTCAAGACAGAAAGCCAAATTTCACTTTTGCATTAGTGCATCGTTAACACTAAAGCTAATTTTAAATATAATATTATAAACACATTTATTCAAGTTTAATTCGTTTGACCATAGGTAAGATTTCCACAAACCTTTTATAACACTTATTAATTTCTATTAAGGAGCATATTAGTGTTCCAAAAAGCCTCATTATTCTGACATATGGGCCCAGATTTTGTATCAGTGTGCTTTTATTTCAATATTTAATTTATAGAAATATTGAATAATATCCTTTTAATTTTAGTCAATTTGCTCACACACAGAATTATTTACAAGGTTAATTTTTTATGAACCTTCCACAACTTGCTCAAGCCTTCAGCTTTAGCCTATCTCACTTAAAACAATTCTTTAACCCTCTAAACTAGGCCAAAAAAAAAAAAGTTTCCCATGCCTTATTATAATCTTTTACCAAAAACACATTCTACTTTCTTTACACACCTTGCATGTAAAACTCTTCCTTCAGTAGTTTCAATTATATATGTTACAATGTTAACTATTAGCAACTTTTATTTTTGGTAAAAAACCTGGTAAGTTATGTTAATTATGTACCAGGTGCAGAGCCTAGAACATCAGATAGAAGTACAAATAAGGTATGACTCTTTCCAGCAAAGCCGGGGACATGGCTAACAACCTATGTCCATCAGTAGGCCTTACATAGAATCTAATTGCTCCAAAGCAGGTAAGTTGAGAAATTATCAAAAGACAATGAAGCAGTTAATGTAGTTTAGTAAACATAGTATCTGACTTGCCTAATTTAGACCAAATGTATAAATGTATAAATTTTGAAGACATTTTTATTTTACCAGAAACTTTTTTTATTAAACATAGTCTCACTCTGTTGCCCAGGCTGAAGTGCAGTGGCATGATCTCAGCTCACTGCAACCTCCGCCTTCTGGGCTCAAGCAATTGTCCTGCCTCAGCCTCCCAAGTAGCTGGAATTACAAGAGCACACAACCACACCCAGCTAATTTTTTGTATTTTTAATAGATATGGGGTTTCACCATGTTGGCCAGGCTGGTCTTGAACTCCCGACCTCAAGTGATCCACCTGCCTTGGCTCTCAAAGTGTTGGGATTACAGGTGTGAGCCATGATGCCGAGCCCCAATAATCTTTAAAACTGTCTTTATTTCCTCAAAATTACTAAAGTCATATGAACTGAAAGGTATTATAATTTCCATTTTTTCCAATAAAGTATTTGATTTAACTGCTTATTTTTCTTTAAGTCAGTTAGATCTCTTTTCTATAAATAACACACACAACAAATACAAATAGACAGAAGAAGATCTAGTAGCTGTAAAATTTTTCATTTGTCAGTTTTTAGGTTTTTCTTACTTGGACTACTGGCTTCAAGATGGAACCCTTTCAGGAACATGGACAGGAAAGCATGCAATTTCTAGGGCTTAATAAGCAGGCACAGTTGGAAGGCAAAACACCAAAAAATCAAGAATTCCATTTTTTTTTTTTACCAAATCCTGGATCCCCAAAAAGGGAATCAGCCCATCCCCCATTGAAGTCTTACCCCTCATTGGGAGGTGGGGACATTTTTATACCTTCTAGATGACCAAGAGCATGCTTCTCTGATCCAAAAGTGCAAAGAGCAGAGTGCTTCCCCATAACTGCCATTAGCCATCACTGAAAGTATATTCCCTACATAGTTATTACACACCAAAGCTCTCTCATAATCCAAAGTAATTTCTGATACCTGCAAAAGTAAAAAACACCAGGTAACTGAATGCAAAACAGAACAGAGGCTTAGATTTTGGGAGGATCTATCCGTTTTCAATTCCTGGGATTCCATAAGGAAAATAGAGGTTTTTCCCAGAATGGGGTCTCTGGCACTTCCTCTGTTTTTCCCAAGGACTTCTAGAATGTTAGAAATTACCTTACATCCTCTCATATGAGTCTCAAGAGTGTTAAGAAGACAAAAGGGAGAAAAACAATTCAGTCATCTGAGAAGAAAAAAGCTTTTCTTATTTCAGAGAAACAAGATTCAAGAAGAGAAAAACAAACATAAAAGCCATTTAAATACACACACACACACATATATATATATATATATATTAGTTATCCATGTTTAATTAAGCTAACTCTCAACAATAGAGCTCTTTAAAAAAAAAAAAAATCCTTTTAGATCTCTTAATACCAGACTCTAGGCAGGACAAATAGCCAACACCTCTGGCTTTTAAGCTACTTTTTTTTGTTAGTTTGTTTTTCTGCAAAAGTATTTTCCCAAGTAAAACCAATAAGCCTTAACTAAGGTTATGGCTTAACCATGGACCCATGAGATGTCTCCAAATAGATGGCAAGCAGTTTTTACAAGATCTAGAATCACCCCTAAAGTAACTCAGAAAAAAAAAAAAAAAAAGAAAGAAAATTCAAGGCAGGAAATCAAAAGCTGTCCATGGAGGGGTAAAGTTTAAGTAAATGGCAAAAGTCCCATAAGAGTCAAACAGGAAAAAACTCATTCTCTAAGACAAAAATTGAATGCAGGCCTCCATCAAGTAAGAGCAAACTTTTACTCACTAAGCTACAGTATGAGGCAAGCACCATAATGCTTTTCCCAGAAGGAGTATAGAGCAGACATTTTTGAGCTTGCAAAGGATATATCTTTTCCAAGGAAAAGGGACAGATATAAATCTGAGAAACCTTAAAAGGAAACATATTTTAGAATTGATAGCCAATATTTCTTGCAATCTTACTGAAAGAAAACCAATTTAAAAAAAAAAAACTTGTTTTAAGATAGGGAACCAAAACTTAGTCCAATAGCTTTTACTTGGAACTCTAACCATGAAATAGTAACACAATTCACTATTTTATAAAAGATAGGTGGATCCAAATTATCTCTCTGACAAAACTGGGACTTGTCCATGTGGCTAAACTTTGCTAATCTGAATTTGCTCCAATTGCTTAAAATACACCATAGCAGTGAGTCCTTCAGTATTCACCATTGTCCTCACGTTTAACAAGGATCTCCACTAAATAGAAGTTTTTCTGAGTCTAGCGAAAGCCCAGTTTTCTTCCCCTGAAAATTCCCACCTTCTGTAGCAAAGTGTTAAAGTTACAATAAGTAAAGAAAATGGTGTTACAGAAAATGATAACTTTAGGACATAACAAGAAAAGGTAAGGCCAAGTTTCACCTTGGGTGGACCTCTAACCCATAATCCTAGAGGGAATGCCAATTCCAAACTCCTCTGAGTATCCCAGGTGGTGCTAGGAATCAGCCAACAATATCAAATGCTGAAAAAAACAGAGTACCCAAGTACTGGCCAGTGAGGGTCCCCACAGCAAACGCTGAAAATCCCAGAGCATCGGGGGGCAGCCAACAGTGAACCCCAAAGGCACAAGACCTAACGCAATTGGGGCCACAGAACAACATGACTCTGGTGTCCCAGGGTCAACACAACAGAGGACCTCATACAGCCAAATGACCTTCCTTAAACAATGGCCCAAAGAGCCAAAGCAAAGACTACAAATGTGACAAAGAAATAAGGATAAGCATGCATTTGGGCATTGAGAGAAAAAAGTAAAATGGTCAGTCATTGGAAACTAAAGCAAAAAAGGCCTGAGAGAAGGGGCAACAACAGGGGTTATAAAGGACTTGGCCAGCCAGGTGTGCTTCTGCCTGTCCAGGACTCCCAGAAAATGGGAGACTGCATCAGGCTACCAAGCCAAAGGCCTCAAAGCCACTTACCCATCTGTCCAAAATAAAGAACATAGGAAAGGACAGATGTGCCCAAATCAAAGGGAAATAAAAGTAGCGAGTTGAATCTGGACAAAGGGAGACTCACCCACCCACCATTCAGGTCTAAATGGTGCCCATGAGTCTTGATTTGGTGTCCCGATGGGAGTCTACATTGCCTCTTCATTGGTGGCCAGAAAAGATGTCACAGGGTGAATCCCAAAATTGAGGTTCAGCCCGGGAAGCCACCTGGGTTCTTGGCTTCTTGTAGGAAGAAGTTTAAGAGCAAGTCCACAGAGTAAAGTGAAAGCAAGTTTATTAAGAAAGTAAAGAAATAAAAGAGTGGCTACTCCATAGGCAGAGCAGTGGCATGGGCTACTTGACTGAGTATGTGTATGTTATTTCTTCATTTTATGCTAGACAAAGGTTTTCTAGGAAAGGGGTGGGGAGTTCCTAAAACTGAGGGTTCCACCCCTTTTTAGACCATATATGGTAGCTTTGGGACATTGCTATGCCATTTGTAAACTGTCATGGCACTGGTGGGAATGTCTTTTAGCATTGGAATGCATTACAATTAGCAAATAATGAGCAGTGAGGATGACCAGAGTTCGCTTTCATTGCCGTCTTGGTTTTGATGGGTTTTGGCCAGCTTCTTTATTCCATATCCCTTCATCAGCAGGGTCTTTGTGAACTGTATCTTGTGAAACGAGTCCTACCCAATCTCCTGTTTCATCCTGGGACTAAGGATGCCTGAACTCCTGGGGATGCAGCCCAGCAGGTTTCAGACTCAGGTTACCCAATCCCATTCAAGGTGGAGTCACTCTGGTTGGAATGCCTCTGACAGAATCATTACAGCAAGAAGACCACGCTGCTCTTTCCTCTCTCAGGTAGAAGTGAATATTGCCTTTCCTTTGGATGACACTGTACTTTTGTGAAATTTGATAAGGGCACTTTCTCAGTACTTTACCCCTGGTTATGTCTTCTGCTTCCTCAGGATATATTAAGTTCCCTGAGATTCTGGACAACAGCTAACTCCTCACTGAATTCCTTGTCACAGGAGTCAATAGAATATAAAGTTGACATGGTTTCTGCCCTCAGGGAGTCTCAAGATTTAGATTAATTTTCTCTCAAACTCAGCTGCACATTAGAATTAACCGGGAAACCTTAAAAATTCCATTACCCAGGCCTTACTCTAAACCAATTTAAACCCAGGAATCAGTATTTTTGAAGTTCTCTGTGTGATTCCATTGTACATCCAAAGTAAATAACCACTGGTTTAGAGCTACACTATCCAATAGGGTAGCAACTAGGCACATGTGGCTTTTAAAATTTAAATTAAATTTAAAAAGCAGTTCTTCAAAGTACTAATCCCATTTCAAATTCTCCAGGGCCATTTCAATCATTACAAAAAGTTCTATTAGTCAATGTTGGTCTCAGGTACTAAAAACCCTCATCTGAAGCATAAAACATCTGTTCAATGAATGACGGTGTGCAAAGAATATAGCGCTGGGCATTCAAAGACCTGCCACTAACTCATTGTGTAATGTCCAGTAATCTAGTTTTCCTGTCTGTGAAATGAAAAGCTGGGTAACATGAGTGGCTCTCCAGACAAGATCTTTGGAATATACTAGAAAACCAAGGGATCAGGGAACACAATGCCAGGAAGAGCTGAACCAACTGGCTCCACACTCCATAGTAAATAGAACAGATAGCTGAATTCCACACAATTTTTCTTTGAAAAGCAGCTCTGCTGCATTACAAAAAAAGAAAAAATGAAACCATGTCTGATATCTTGATAACCAACAGACTCCCTGTCTCAGTCCAGCAGCAGGTTAGTGAATTCCTGCTTCAGTGCTCATAATCTCATGGTACAGGGAGGAGGGCCCTGCTCAGGAGGCTGTGAGGTCACTGACAACTAACAACTCACTTCCCCTCTCTGAGTCTCTGTTTCCTTTTATGAAAAAAACAACAAATGATGCCTGACCTCCCTCATTCCTAAGTTAATTTGAAGGTCGAATGAGATAACAAATGGGGAAACCCTTTGTAAAAGCATAATTTGGGTTACACAGGTGGGCAGAAGGATGATCAAATGCTAACAGCAGTGGCAACTTACATTTATTTGGGTAGGTTTTTTTCCCCCTCTTTATGAGACAGAGTCTCGCTCTGCTGCCCAGGCTGGAGTGCAGTGGCGCGATCTTGGCTTCACTGCAACCTCTGCTCCGCCTCCCGGGTTCAAACGATTCTCCTGCCTCAGCCTCCTGAGTAGCTGGGACTAAAGGCACCCATCACCACACCCAGCTAATTTTTGTATTTTTAATAGAGACGATGTTTCACCATATTGGCCAGACTGGTCTTGAACTCCTGATCTTGTGATCTACCCACCTTGGCCTCCCAAAGTGCTGGGATGATAGGCATGAGCTACCACACCTGGCTGGGTGATTTTTAAAGTTCTGGCTTTTAACCTTTAGAAGTGTGGGTTGCAGATAAATTTAAATTACATTATTATTACAGAAAGGAGATGTGATTTCACTCCTTTTCTCTAATATGGATATAAAATCTGCCAGATCCTGCAGCAGGTTCATTTCAGGTACATAGGCATCCTTGTTTATCCCAGAACCCAAATGGGATTCTGTAGTGTTGACCTGTGAGTATGCTGACCTCAGCTGTAGCTCCTTGGCTAGGGGATGGTGCAGGTAGTGGGGAGAGGAGGGATAGCTGATCCCTGAAAGGAAATGAATGGGGATACAGGCCAGAAGTCTGTCCACAGAAACTCCTGGGCCTCTCAATTATCCATGATATGGGGTGAAAATGGAGCAATCATGGGGTGAACAAAGCTCCAGGGTGGATGGCATGGGTTCTTCTGGTCAGATGAGTCCCAGGAGTTCAGCATGTCAAATCATTTGTTCCATTAAACCCCTGCTTGCAACAGCCCAGCACATGGGTGGGCATGCCTTTTACTGAGTTACCATCTACTAATTAGCTTTTTTAATTGAGTGTCTACTATCTGACAGACACTGTGCTACATGCTTTGCATACATTTTCAGAAAAAAATTTTCTGCAGCATCTTGATGAGGTGGGTATTGCCTCCACTGCCCAGATAAGAAAATAAGGGTTTGGAGCCCTTTGGTCTGTATTTAGTTCATATGCCTAGCTAATGCCCAAAATGGAATTTGAAGCTATATATGACCCATTTGGAAGCTATTGCCCTTCTACCATTTGACATTGAACCAAGATCTACTTTACTATAATTCTTTCAAATTTTGCTTTCTGGAGATGCTCAGAATTCAGCTAGCTCTTCTTCCACATAGCCACCACTCAAGAAATATTTTTGGAGACAAGGATTTCTTCAATAGTTAAGTGATAAGAATTTAGTAAAACATGTTTTTTGCCCTCAAGGAATTCCAAGGTTCCTGGAATTTTTAGAGTAGGCATCTCCCTAAGGGTCTTCCAATTTCCACCTCAAACACCAGGGGTTCCTTTCATACTTCCTTAGGGGAACATCTCCCATTTTTCCCCAGATGTTCTCCAGTCTGCCCACCTCTGCCAAATAGTCCCTGAATGAATGAATCATGATTTTCAAACCTCTCTCCCATAACATTTTCCACATTAGAACAAAATTTTGTTCTACATCCTTCCTTGCCTAAGTCTCCAAAGAAGGTGCTAATGAATAATAAAATGCAAGCCCTGCAGGGAACTGTAGGAAGGCAGCCAGACGATAAATATCTTCTAATAAATGGACCCAGCTCAACAGGAGATAGCTCTGTAAGATCTTATAAGCTAATCATTGTCAAAGGGATTGCTTTGGTGCCCATGGAAAAGGAGTTACGTGGTTGTAGAGGCAAGTGCCATGTTTCTATCAGTATTTCACCCAAGACAATTAAGTCCAGGCCCAGAGTCATTCCCTGATAGAAAGAGCAGCCATTACTTGGCTACCGCTCACAACACCAGCCACTTTAGTACTCACACCATAAAGGAGGGACAATTCTGTTCTGGACAGCAAATGTTAAAAAAGTGACACTAACCTTGTTTTTTATGAAAGCACATAAACAAACCAAATGATACAAAACTTTGCTCCATTTTTAGAGCACCATTGTAACAAAGCCCAGCTGGATGTCTCCCCAGGCCCAAATAACATCTCCGTAGGAGAAGCCTATGCAGCTGGAGATGGGATTGGCCTTTGCGCTCAGGGATCTTACATACCATTGACCAGTTGCATCTTGTTCCAAAGAGATTTACCAGCAGGCTAAATGTACAACTCATACACCATTGGTTGGGCAGAAAGTAAGTGCTTTCCAGCATTACTTTGTAAAGGAAAGTCCCTTTGAACCACAGCTGCCCTGATGAACTAAGGAGCAGATGAAGACGTAACAATACAGCAGAGTTACTGTAAACCATGAACTTGGGCAACAAGGACTTAGTGCCTTCCTGATAAGATGTCCACGACAGAAAGGCTTGCCCTTGTATCTCCAGGATGGCTGCCCATGAAACCACAGAAATATAGTTTGATCTGGTTCAGAGGCTGCTCCTGCTTCTGAATACAACCATGACATTGGCTTGGACTCTCAGCAACCCCAAGGTCTAAGTTTTCATCCTCCATCTCTTCCATGCCTAGAGATTTTTGTATGCCTTTAGGTTTTAAACCTCAGCAATCTAATCTAGCTCACACAGCACCCACAGGGAAGGGACTTGCATTTGAAGGATAGTTGTTTTAACAAATATACACATAGAGAAAATAACAGCTCCACAGCAAGTCAGCTCACTAAAATGAATAACATAATTAAAAATTAAAAGAGGTCAGGATATATTCAGGATTGCAAGGGCACTTCACTAAGAAGGAAGAAAAGACCTACATCATGAAGAATATGTGAAGATTTTTGAAAGGAAGAAACGGAAAGAAGAGCCTCATCCCTCTTCTGTGGCGATGCTTTCCATATCACACGTTTATGCCTTGTTTCCTGGGAAACCCACTGTCTGGGCCTCACCATGACTGACCGCTGCTCTGCTGAGATGCCCAGTTTGATTGCTCGGGGCTTTGAAGTTCCACCTAAGGCACAGCAGGTTTTTCTTCCTGGTGTCTGCCCCTGCCTCTGGCATTTTTACCTCCTGCTTGGGTCCTGTCGGGGCAGAGGAGAGAGTAAATGTTGCTGCCTACTGCCTGTCTCTATGTATCCCTGGTGGCACCTCTGCATCATCCCCAGATGGATATTTTTTGGACTGACACAGATCAAGGACCTTGGGACATTAACAGATCTACACCCTTAGAGTTGTTCTATCTATACTTGCCCTCTCCCCTCCAACACCCACACATAAGAGATACACACACACACGTCTATGCCTCATCTTCCCTCTCTTCCCTTACTCTGCAGCTGAGATATCCCAGCCTGTCCTACGGCTGAGTGCTTACAAGACGCAGCTAAATCCTACTTTACACTACACAGAATAAACTGAACCTGCTACTGATACATAATTCCTTTCTTTTCAATATTTCATGAGCTTGCACAACCCCCTTCCACAGATGCCCAACCCTCCATGCTTGGGTAGCCATTAACATCTTCCTACAGAATATCCCACTACATGGATGAACCTGGAGGACATTATGCTGAGTGAAATGAACCAGTCACAGACAGACAAGTACTGCATGATTCCCTTTACATGAGGTATCTAAAGTAGTCAAATTCATAAAAGCAAAAGGGTAGAAGGGTGGTTGCCAGGACCTAGGGGCAGGGGAAAATAGGGAGTTCTTTATTTATGAACCAGCAGGCATACTTTCAGTTAAACAAGATGGATATGTTCTAGAGATCTGCTGTACAACGTTGTACCTATAGTAAACAATACTGCACTGTACACTTAAACTATATCAAGAATTTGATCTCATGTTAAATATTCTAACCACAATAAAATAAACTTTTTTTTAAGAAGAAAAACACTTTTTAAAAAATCTTCCTTCTGAGAAGAAAAGATTTAAGCATTACACAGGATCCTAATTAAAAAGTACTATTACCATAAAGTAAGCAGAATATTGGCTTTTTGACATGAGGAGAGGATGGAGATGTCACTTAGAGAAAACTCAAAGTGAAACACCAGCAGTATCCAAACCAAAAGCCAGAAGAAATGTTCGCAGGGCCATTAAAAAAAGAAACTACTACATAGTCGTTTTGTCGAACATATTTTAAGAAGAAAAGTCTCTTTCAAATAATTACAAATTAAAAACTTGGCTCTGAGACTGAACTTTGAGCAGACAGATGAGAGAGATAAAATGAAATTTTTTTCTGCCAAGAATAATAAAGGTCTTGATACAAAGATGTGATGTTTTCCCCCCAGTGAAGCAACTCTGGAACAAGAAAAGCATGATGAGGAGGAGAAATTCAGATTACAGAAGAATGGTGGCAATTCTTTCATTTATAACTTGCTAAAGAATGTTGAATCAGTTCCTTAATGAGCATGCAGAACTGAAAGTTTTTATGGGAGAACATTGAACGTTGTTTATACTGGATGAATGAATAGCGTTAGAGTAAATCGCTTGTCCTTATTCTATTGGGCGGCTTTGGTTATTTGAAGTAGATTTTCTTTTATTACCTTTCCAATGTCCTACACAACACAAACCTACAGCATTTTTTAGAGAGAACCTGGCCTCAATGGGAACTCACCTGACATTGGAGGCAGACTTGGGACATATCAAATTGCCTATGTCACGAGTACCTTTGATAAAATGATCTCAGTATAGCTAATTTCTCTTGAGTTATGTCTCATGATAAACCAACTCTAGCAATGCTAAGATGGGACAGATTTCCAGAAATAATCATCACAAATTTTCAAAAGGCACTTTGTGCTGAAGTAGAAAATCTTTTATCCTAATCATAAGACCTTAGGAATGGATACTGGTTTGGGACTCAGGCAGCCTGGATAATGTTACAAACTCTACCGTATCTATGGTATCAAGCATCCTATATCACAATGTGCAAGAAATTAACTTGTGTGGGAACTAGGGGAGCCAGATTTGGCAAACTGAATTACAGGACCCCCAATTAAATTTAGATTCAAATAAACAGCAATAGCTTTCAGTATATCTACAGTTTGGCGGACATACTTATATTAAAACAATTATTTGCTGTTTATCTGAAATTCTAATCTAACTCAAAATCCTATATTTTGTCTGGCAACTCTACTTGAAATGCATCTGTCAAAATAATGAACTGGACTTTGCAAGTCAATCTTCAAGTACCATGTTATTTTTAGTTCAAATCCTATACTCATTTTCTTTTTAACTATCTTCCTATGAACTCAGAGTGCCCATGCGTAGTCCTCACAAAAGCAACGTTGTTGGGCAGAAGAGATCACACTTGGGGAACTGTGGACAGTTTGAGAATTTATTTATTTATTTTAGACAGGGTCTCCTTCTGTCTTCAAGGCTGGAGTGGAGTGGGGCCGTTTCGGCTCACTGCAACCTCTGCCTCCAAGGCTCAAGTGATTCTCCTGGCTCAGCCTCCTGAGTAGCTGGGGCTACAGGAGCATGCCACTGAGCCTGGCTAATTTTTGTATTTTTAGTAGTTTCACCATGTTGCACAGGCTTGTCTCAAACTCCTGAGCTCAGATGATCTGCCTGCTTCAGCCTCCCAAAATGCTGGAATTAGAGGTGTGAGCCACTATGCCTGGCTAGTTTGAGAATTTTTAACATCAATGTAACTGAGATCAGTAAAACTCAAGGAAGGATCTTTCATTCCCCCAGGAGAAGGTAGAATAGGCCCTTCAGTATTGACAGGTGACCTACAATGTAAAAGGCCTAAGGATGAAAGGATTAACTATGGTGCTAATTGATTGAGGAATTAGGAATAATGTTCTCTTTCATCCTCTGAGTTGATACAGTTCTCAGAAAACAACTAATACCCAAGGCCTGGAGTCAGAATAATTTATATTAGGAGCATGTACCACGCTGGATTAGTGGGTAACTTTCAAGCTCTTTTCAGAATGCAGCACTCACAGATAATTGTTCACATGTACCAAAAAATAATAGAAATGCATTCACCAAACATACCTAGAACATGGGCAGAAGCCCGGTGGTGTATTAAGCAGAGGCAATAGCAAACAAATGTTGTTATGGTCCTCAGGTCACTGATAGGCTAATGGTGGTGTTGGCTTGGTGGGAGGTAGCACAGAAAATAGATGAACGTAAAGAAAATGTGAAAAGTTCTTTGATGGGGGACTTAGGGGGCTGAGATAATTCAGCAGAGTCACATAAACCAAGGTATGAGGCAGTTGGTCAAGAAAGACTTAGTGGATAAGCCAGTAGGTATGAGTTTAGTCTTGTAGTATATACATAAGTCAAATGCTCAAGGTGAGGAACAGCAATCCAGGCAGAGGGAACAGCAGGAGCAAATATTTAAGACATGAAATAAGATCCTATGTTCAGGTAACCACAGGATTTTGGAACTGTGAAAACACAGGGCTTGCTCAAGAAAGAGGAAAGGGGTGATGCAGAAAATACAGGCAGGAGGTGGATCACATACACACATGAATAATAAAGAAATGATAACCATAATTATAATAAGTTTTATTCTTTGGCCACTGCAAATGAAGAAAATGCTGAGATTCATGCCTGTGCTGAAGCATACAAAGATGGAAAATCAGCTGGGAGTCAATTAACCATGAAAAAATAGCCAAAAGTCCATAATTTTGGTGTCTGTCCCTTGGTCAAAATAAATGAATGTCTACTTTAATTATTCAGTTTCCATCTGGATATGTCAAGCCCTTAGGACATGGAAGAAGCAGAGTGTCTAAGACTCAGATTTACAAGGATGTGCGATTGTTGTGGGAGAAGGAAAAATAATTCTGTCCCATCATCGAGAGTGAATCAATGGGGGAGGTGATGGAATAAAGGCAAAGGAAAATATCATATTGCAAACCTGTAATGCTAGACCTTGAGTTAGAAACAGGAATGATACTGAATCTTTACAGTCTTGTGAGGCAGGGATAATTCCTAAACTGGCAAACAAAAGAATCAGAGTGGCACCGTGGTTCATGCCTGTAATCTCAGCACTTTGGGAGGCCAAGACAGGCAGATTGCTTGAACTCAGGAGTTCGAGACCAGCCTGGGCAACATGGAGAAACTCTGTCTCTCCCAAAAAAAAAAAAAAAAAAATCCAGGCATGGGGGTGGCATGCCTGTAGTTCAGCTACTCAGGAGACTGAGGTGAGAGGATCACTTGAGCCCAGGAGGCAAAGGTTGCAGTGAGCCAACATTGCGCCACTACACTCCAGCCTAGGTGACAGGATGAGGAAAAAGAGACAGAGAGAGAGAGAGAGAGAATCAGAGAACTTAAGCCCAAGTTCTGGCATCAAACAAAATGATGTAACCTAAATTTGACCCCAGCTATAAGAAATAAACCCAAACACATGTGCCAAGCGTTCTCTAAGTCTGCAGCAAAAACAGTCAAAGAAAAGTGACTCATTATATAACAGAGGTAGTGCCTTTGCAAAAAAAGAAAATTAATTTCATTCTGATTTCCCCTGATTTGTACTGTATGTACCAAATCACAGCCCTCTGTGAAATTAAGGGCATTAGTTATCTTCCCATTCAGTTGCAGTGGCGTTATACTTGCATACAGACATTCCTAACTGAGATGAGAAATATCAAGTTTTTACAAAATCATTCATCAAGAGGTGAGACCTAATCCTGATTAACGTTTCAATAAGAAGCCTGGGACAAAATAGAGAATCAGTACAGGATCACAGCAGCAATTAGGCATCTTCTAGACAGCCACGCTTTTCCTCAGACCAATCAAGTTTGAGCAAATGATAAATTTTTCCTTTCTCTCTTTTTGCCCCCTGCTGTGAAATGAACTACCTTAAATAACTGATGAGGTGACAGCAAGCCTGTTAAAGGAAACGTCTGCCCATTACGTGAAGCTTAATTAAACAGAGCACAGGGTAATCGTTCTTCCATCTAATAAGTGATACACCCTGGTTAACATCATCCTGCTTGCAGGGCTTGGTCTAGAAGGCCTGCGATGACACCCCACAAGTAAACTAGGAAAACACACACACACACACACACACACACACACACACATACAGATTTTGAGAAATCACAAGCCAGTTTGCAAATGGAGTTGTGCATATGCAAATAAAGTTAATCAAATATTAATACTCATCTCCTGGTTATTCTCTCTTTAGATTTATTCAGAATGATGAAGCTACATTCATTTTCCCCCTTAGATGAGCCATTTAAAATTAATGATAAAAATTTAGCACCAGTGGTCGGGTGCGGTGGCTCAAGCCTGTAATCCCAGCACTTTGGGAGGCTGAGACGGGTGGATCACGAGGTCAGGAGACAGGCCATCCTGGCCAATATGGAAAAACCCCATCTCTACTAAAAATACAAGAATTAGCCAGGCATGGTGTTGTGTGCCTGTAGTCCCAGCTACTCGGGAGGCTGAGGCAGGAGAACCGCTTGAAACCGGGAGGTGGAGGTTGCAGTGAGCCCAGATCATGCCACAGCACTCCAGCCTGGGCAACAGAGTGAGACTCCATCTCTAAAATAAAATAAAATAAAATAAAATAAAATAGTTTAGCACCAGTACTGTGAGGGTCTATGGACTTGAAATCCTCCAAGAGTATGTCATTAATGCATGAAGATGGGGATCATAGGTGTTTTGCTCATTTTCTTATCTCCAGGTGGCGGCATGGTATGAAGCACTTAAGCAGTATTCAAAGAATACTTGTGTGAGAAAGACACTTACACTTGGATGCCTTCAAGGAAATGGGTAAATCCTAGAAATGTGTTTATGGGCAGTATTATGGAACAGTATTACGGGTTAAATTGTGTCTCCCAAAAAGATGTTGAAGCCCTAACCGCTAGTTTCAGTAAATCTGACATTATTTGGAATTAGGGTCTGTGCAGATGGCCAAGTTAAGATGCAGTCATTTGAATGGGCCCTAATTCTACGTGGCTGATATCTACAAAAAGAGGAAATGTAGACAAAAGGAGGAGGCCAAGGAATGCCTGAGTTACCAGAAGCTAGGAGGAAGGCATGAAACAGATTGTCCCTCAGAACACTCAAAAAGAACCAACTCTGCCAACACCTTGATTTTGAAATTGTAGCCTCCAGAATTGTAAGACAATAAATGCCTGCTGCTTAAGCCATCAATTTGTGGAACTTTGTTTCAATGGAAACCCCTGAAAACTAATACGGATAGAGTGGACTAAGATAGATGGAAGAACAACCCACTGCCAGGATGCCAGCCACCCCTGTTATCCTGGCCACAGGCCACATGTACCCTGAGAAGTAATGCTGCAGCCATGAGTACTAGGTTCAAAGCCGACCTCTGCCCTTCCTAATCTTGTGGTCTCATTTCAAAACTGTGGGTAATAGTAGAGTACACTTCTCCTTAGGTTGTTGGAAGGATTAAATCAGATAATTCTTGTTGAAGTGCCGAACACTATGTATAGCATGTAGTAAATGCTCAAAAAATACTATTAGCATTAGAGTCCCAGAATTAGAGCCCCGCACCCTAAAGCTTAATGGCATTGGAAACACTTTTACATTCCTCTGGTTAGTCACCATAACAGGGTGCACGTGGCTGTATCTGGACTGCCTACGTGGAATTGGCTGGTAATATAGGGTCCTTGGGGTCCAGATAGGCCCCTCAGCCTCTGAGGGACATGGCCAGGAATTCAGGCTGTTCACACTGGCTTTCACAAATAGCCTTCTGCTCCATCCCATCTCCTCATTTCCTCAAGTCCCCCTCGACCCTCGAGTTATCAAGAGGAGGCTTTGAAATCTGCAAAGACCTAGTTATGTTGGAACTGACCCGAGAGGCCTGAAGGTCAGCAGGGCTCATGAGGTGCTGGGAGGCGGGGCTGGGGAGCTGCACGGGCAGTGACGTTGCAAGGCTGCTGGGAACCCAGCGAGAGGAGGAACCCTGACTTGTTTCAGTGAGAGGCTCAAGGCAAAAGAAGGAACACCTGTCAATCGGAGCATCCAGGGTGCCACACTGAGGTGGCTTCCTAATCCCTTGCATCAGGGAGTGTGCCCAGGGCTTGGTGATCATTATCTTATCTACTCTTCACAGCAACTCAGTCAGGTAGGTATTATTACCTTTATCTTACAAATGAGCGAAGTGAGGTTCAGAAGACCTTTGGTAATTCAGCTCAAAGTAAGTTGCAAAGCACATGAGCAGCTGGTATTCAAGCGCAGTGGAAGTATAGCCTGTCACAGCCAACCATTGTGACTGGCTGCCTGCTGGCACCCACAGCAGTGCCCCTGCTAGAAAGTCACTCTTAATGGGCGCTTGCTAACATTTAAATCTGATTGAAGACTGCATTATCAAACCCATCTGCTGATAGTTTATAGCTATATACTTAAAAAGGCATAAATGCTTTTTGAATGCCAGGAGTGTGCGTTCTTAATTTCCCACAATGTTTATGGAATACCTGGAGTAGAGCAATCACAATAATAATTCATACTTTATAGCACTTTATAATTTACAAAGGGCTTTCATGAACATTAGCTCATTTTACACATCAGCCAACAAAGGTAAGGGTTATTATTATCCTTGTTTTATTGATGAAGAATGAAAGCATTAAGTCATACCTAGTCTTTAGTATTCAGAGATCCGAGTGAAGATGAAGGCTGCTATCTGAGAGTTGGACTGAGGCTGGAAAACCCTGCCTCAAGAAAGAAAATCTGTTCCCTCAGGAAAAATATAGTTTCCACGTGAGAGTGGACAGGTCCAAAGTCAGCCCCAATTTGGCTTTCTGTCTGCTCAGGGCTTCTTGTCCAGGTGGTCACAGCTCACTAACAGCAGCTGATGAGGATAGTGGCTTATAATTAGCAGGGGCTTATTTCATGCTGAACACTATGCTAAGCACTCTACATACTTTCTTTTATTAATTTGCACACAGCCCTGTGTGTTTTTAATTATGTTATTGCCATCTTATAGGTGAAGAAATTGAAGCTCTAAGAGGCTAAATAGCTCACTCAAGGTCATATGACTACTGTGATGATCTTAGAGGTTTCATTTTAACAATTTGACTTTAAGGTGGACTGCATGATTAGTGTAGCCTCTTCAACTATCTTCATTTTTATTTCCTGCTTTACCCCAGAGCCTCTTGACTCTCCCTATGGCTTTATTCAAAGGCTTGGCTTTATTCTGCTTGGGACTCTAGAGGCAATGGATCTGGTACTCTACCTGCTTATATTAATAGGAAGGTGCCTGCCATGTTCCTCTTCCACAGAGACTGTAGTTTGCAAATAAAGAGATTGACTTTGTGAAAATGCCAGAACTCAGGCATTAAAATGTCCTGATGGAGACAGCTTTGAAGTCACAAAAGAAATGCAGACCCAACTACCCTATTAGGGTCATAAATCACTGCTTACCACAAC
Organism: Homo sapiens; assembly: GCF_000001405.40. Taxonomy (NCBI): domain Eukaryota; kingdom Metazoa; phylum Chordata; class Mammalia; order Primates; family Hominidae; genus Homo; species Homo sapiens. The sequence continues at coordinate 65,036,589 of NC_000016.10, forward strand.
CCATGTAAAGGGGCCTGTTCTTCTTCCATTCTGCAGCCATCCTGCCTGCAGGATGTCGTTTTGGAAACGTCATATGTTCTACTAAGACAGACCTATTGCCATTTCTAAAATGATCCAAAATGCAGACCCCCCTCAAAAGAGTTCCAGAGATATTATTAGCCAAGGTGGTATCATAGGTAATTAGAGTCCAGCTCCCAATGGAAGATACACTTTGAAGGCAAGAAATCATTTGGATACTTGGGTCCCATACTGTTTGCAAACATCTGCCACTTGACTCTCTGCCTGAAATAACTCAGAAAATAAGAAATTTTGAGATGAGAAGACAAAAGGCAGAAAGAAGATGGCAGGGCAGATGGAGATGTTTCATGCAAGAACTTTCGATGAGAAAGGGAACACTGAAACTAAACATATACTCTAGCCTAAGGTTTCTGTCATTCAGTGAGAGAGAGGAGACATTCAAGGGGGCAGACCACACCACATCACTGCAGCCTGCTCTGGGCAACATCACATGAAGGGAAAACCCGATAGCTCAGGCAGAGGAAGAGCTCCCTGAGAGATCTAAGAAGCTAACCTTGGATTTGAAGTTTCAGTTCAATTTCCATCTTCTGATGCCACTTACCAGCTGTGTGGCATCAAGAAAATCATTCAGACTTTCAGCCTCTGTTTTTGCACTGAGAACTGGAGACAAAATTCCCCACCACCCCGATTTCCTCATTGCAGAGGACAGAGTGTTAGGAAGATGGCACTCCAGCACATGTTGTAAAATTCTAGCTGTGACCTGGACTCCATCAGTCACTGTGAACCTCTGTCTACACAGCCCCAAGTTTGGAAACACCTGGATATTTGGAACTGTGTAGACTTGCACCTTGCCATCCCCATCACCCCGACTCCTGTTTAGGGAGCCTTCCTTTGTGACAGTCATTGGTTTAAGTGCATTAGAATTAAAACATTCCTCTATCAACACAAAAATCCTTCTGGTGTAGACACTGATTATTGGATGATTGTAATAACCACCCTCCTCTCTCCCCTAACAACCCTGCTAGAGTAACCCCCATCAAAGACACCTGCTTCTGAACTGTTTACTTGGCCCTTGGGACCGTCCGCATCCCAGCAACAGGGACTCAGGCTGTTCCACTTCCCCGAGAAGACGAGAGTGCCAAGACCTGAGAGAAGAAACCCAAGAGGAGCCTGGGGCTAGGGAGGGATCTGGAAGTCACCAACCACTTGTGACAAAGAAGCAAAGAGAAACACAGAGCAGTCACTTGCCCAGTAGGAGGTAGATAAAAGATGAGAAGCCAGGCATCCCCACTCCTGAGTCAGGCTGAATCCAACCCCTCTGATGAGGGGAGAAAGCAAATGCACTCCAAAACTGGCAGGGATGTATTTCAAGAAGTGTTCATTCTTTTTTTTTCTTTTTTAATAAAAAAAGAATTGTTCTTTTAATTTCTTTAACGCTAACAAAACTCCAAAGAAATGAGGAAAGAAGACATCTGCTGCTTGAGAAAGACTTCCATTTCCTAAGTCCCAGTTCCTTTTTACTCCGGGAAGATCTAATTTTATCTAGGCTTCCCGAATGCAGTCACACAGTGGGGACTGCTGAGATTGGGGCTCTGGCAGGGGGATTACAAGCAGAGCTTTTGTTTTGATCTCACTGCTTAGGTTAATGCATCATGACTCCTCCACGGGCTGTTTCGCGGGACGCTGCTATCCCACTGTCTGCTAGGGAAGAAAATGTCTCGTGAAAATAAATCAAATGCAGCAGTATTTACAAATCCTGAGTCGGATTTCCATCCTGTACAACAGGATGAGAATTTGACCCATTATTTACACCAGTAAGCTGAGAATGACATCAAAAGCTCTCTCATTATCTCCGCAGGGGAGATAATGATTTAAGTGTCTTTAATCTAAACATGCAACTTACAATAGAAATGTGTATCTACTCCTTCCACAAAGGAGAAAAGAAACAGCACTTACTTCTATATTTAACAGACAGGACATCTAATTCTAAGCCTTGCTTCTAAATATCCGTGGATCCCACATCTCTATCGTTTCACTCGGAAATTCCTCTTGCCTTGGGGAAATAGGATGCATATCAAAGTCTAGGTAGAGAAGGAGCCCAAAATAGAGATGAAGGCACAGAGAAAACACCTTGGACACTTGGGAAACAAAACACCTTGGACACTTGGGAAACAAATACAGCATTCTTTATGCAGTCTGTAAAAGCAGACTTGGTCTCCTTTCGCTCCATTCCCTTGTTTCCTACCGCACACCTGCCTCTGATCCTATTTCACAGGGATGCTCTAAGAACAGGTGAGAGAAAAGAAGTGAGGACATTTAACTTTAAAACTCTCTGCAGAGACACATCACTTTATCATTGTTGCCACTCATATTCTTACAACATCTTAGGATCTGTCTTTTTTGGGCACCAGAAGAATGGGGTGGGAAGCATCTGGATGTGAAAGAGATGAAGTCCAGCCCCATTATTTCCCACCTCTGTGGCTTCTTAGGCAAAGCATGAACTGATTTAACTCTTGGTTTTCGCCTCTGTAGAATGCGCACTTGCCTCCTTCCTTGCCATATGAAGCAAGTCCTCAATTAATGTTAGTCTGCCTCATCGATGTGTCTATTCTAATGAATTAATTTTCTCACCTGTAATAAAATTACTTCAATCCTAAGCCAAAAGAACAAAGCTTGAGGTATCACGCTACCTGACTTCAAACTATACTACAAGGCTACAGTAACCAAAACAGCATGGTACTGGTATCAAAACAGAGATATAGACCAATGGAACAGAACAGAGCCCTCAGAAATAATGCTGCATATCTACAACTATCTGATCTTTGACAAACCTGACAAAAACAAGAAATGGGGGAAGGATTCCCTATTTAATAAATGGTGCTGGGAAAACTGGCTAGCCATATGTAGAAAGCTGAAAGTGGATCCCTTCCTTACACCTTCTACAGAAATTAATTCAAATGAATTAAAGACTTAAATATTAGACCTAAAACCATAAAAACCCTAGAAGAAAACCTAGGCAATACCATTCAGGACATAGGCATGGGTAAAGACTTCATGTCTAAAACACCAAAAGCAATGGCAACAAAAGCCAAAATTGACAAATGGGATCTAATTAAACTAAAGAGCTTCTGCACAGCAAAAGAAACTACCATCAGAGTGAACAGGCAACCTACAGAATGGGCGAAAATTTTTGCAGTCTACTCATCTGACAAAGGGCTAATATCCAGAATCTACAATGAACTCAGACAGATTTACAAGAAAAAACAAACAACCCCATCAAAAAGTGGGCGAAGGATATGAACAGACACTTCTCAAAAGAAGACATTTATGCAGCCAAAAGACGTGAAAAAGTTCTCATCATCACTGGCCATCAGAGAAATGCAAATCAAAACCACAATGAGATACCATCTCATACCAGTTAGAATGGCGATCATTAAAAAGTCAGGAAACAGGTGCTGGAGAGGATGTGGAGAAATAGGAACACTTTTACACTGTTGGTGGGACTGTAAACTAGTTCAACCATTGTTGAAGTCAGTGGGGCAATTTCTCAGGGATCTAGAACTAGAAATACCATTTAACCCAGCCATCCCATTACTGGGTATATACCCAAAGGATTATAAAACATGCTTCTATAAAGACACATGCACATGTATGTTTATTGTGGCACTATTCACAATAGCAAAGACTTGGAACCAACCCAAATGTCCAACAATGATAGACGGGATTAAGAAAATGTGACACATATACACCATGGAATACTATGCAGCCATAAAAAATGATGAGTTCATTTCCTTTGTAGCGACGTGGATGAAACTGGAAACCATCATTCTCAGCAAACTATCGCAAGGACAAAAAAACCAAACACCGCGTGTTCTCAGTCATAGGTGGGAATTGAACAATGAGAACACATGGACACAGGAAGGGGAACATCACACCCTGGGGCATGTTGTGGGGTGGGGGGAGGAGGGAGGGATGGCATTAGGAGATATACCTAATGTTAAATGATGAGTTAATGGGTGCAGCACACCAACATGGCACATGTATACATATGTAACAAACCTGCACGTTGTGCACATGTACCCTAAAACGTAAAGTATAATAAAAAAATTACTGTAATTTAGCAGCATTGAGTTTGTAGAGTGCTTGAAAATAATGGCTTACTAATATATAATTCATGTATCATAAAGACCATGCTTTTTATTGACATGTAATATGTTATATATTTATTGGCCACATATGATGTTTTGTTGCATGCATAGAAAATGTAATAAGCCTTTTAAAGGGTACAGTGTTTGCTGGTATGTTGTAAAGTTGTGCACATATCACCAATATCTAATTTCAGAACACTTTCATTACTCCCCAGAAGCAACCTCATAGCCATCAGTAGCTACTATTTTTAGAACATATTTTACTAACCAACATCCTGGTATTCTTCAAGGTCTAAGAACTCTTCTCTAAAGTCCACAGTGAACTTTCTCCTGAACTTACAGCCAGCGCCAAAGTGCTGGGCAATTGTGTAACACTTTGGAGTTCCTGGATTGACACCTGACATCTTCCTGGCCTTCCCAAATAGACAGTATGTTCTTGGAAAGCAACAACCATGTTTTCCGTATTTTCTTTCTCCTCCAGCACCTCAGCTCAGAGCTGAACACACAAGTAGGTGCACACATGGGTACCAACTGATTGACCAATCGCCACCTCTTCCAAAGACCAGCACATTTGTCATCTGTCTGCTACTCTGAATTCTGGTGCTTCCACAAGCTGTGAAGAATAATCATGTTCCATGATTATTCTCTCCATAGTATGTGCTGTTAATTTTTCATCTTAATGAACTGTCCAGTCGAGTGTAGCAATGGGAATAGTGATAAAAGCACAATAAAAAATGTCTTATGCCTTGATACTGTCAGAAACCTTTTCCCTACAACATCCGCACATAATTGAAATAAAATATCTCAATGGCTACAAACACCATTTGTCAAGAATAAAGTGGATTAAGTGCTATTTCAAAAATTCATACTAACAGGCTTCATAAACATGGATTATTGGAATGTTCTTCTGATTGATACCTACTCAAGCATTTTAAGCGCATGGCTTTTATTCTCCGCGTTTGCTTGAGTGAAACCACTTTGGGTACTGAACTACATGTCAGCCCCAATTTTCCAGAGTATTACAGATGCACAGACTTTCCTGCTGGGAGATGGGTCAGGCAAGCCGGAGCAGGCCCAAAAGGCCCATGCTAATGCACGGGCAGGGAAACCATTATGCAGCTGTTGGCTTCCCCAGAGTGGAGTGCTCCAGGCAATGATGCCCCTCAAATCTGAGTAATGGTCCAGGAGGAACTCAGAGAGAGAGAGAGAGATGTCTGAAGATTCTGCTCATCCCAGCAGTGTGGAGGAGCCCAGGCTCCAGGCTTCTGCCCCAAACATACCAACCATCATATTCCTGTCAACTCATTAGGCAAATGCTTAATAATTGGCTATTGGTGTAGTCACATTGGTTTAGTCATTAATTCAAGAAATATTTAGAGTGCTACTAGTATGGATGGCGCTGCCCTTGACATCCAGGACGTAGGGGTGGGCATGGCTGAACAAGTCTCTAAACTTCACAGGGCTTAGAATCCCATGGGGAAAACAGACAATATAAAAATCAGCCATGAAATGAAATAGACATGGTATTTGCTAATTGTGATTGCTGCTGTGAAGAATTAGACACAATGAGGAAGTGTCCAATGACTACAGGGTGGGTGGAGGATATGGCTTCAGAGGTTGTGAAGTCAGGAAAGGCCTCTCAAAAGGGAGCATTTCAGCTGAATCCTGAAAGGTGTGTGAGGAGACTTCCAAGACTGAGAGAATAGAAAATGCAAAGTCCCTGGGGTTAGAAAGGGCTGGGTCTGCTCAAGGGGCAGCAATTGTCAAATGCAGCTGAGCAGATGCGCAAAGAGAGAGGTAGGGAATGACTGTCTCAAGGAGAGCATTGGCAGCAAAATTTGCATCTGGATTTTATTCCAGTTAAAACAGGACGTCAATAAATAGTTTAAAATAAGGACCGTAGAGAATTGCAAGAAAACCCCCACTTCACTCCTCCCTTGGACCTTATTCCATCCTGCTACAAATTAAATCTTGACCTGTCTTCCCTCCATCTGGTATTTTTCATTCAACTTCTGATCCTGACAGTGATTTCCACTGGCTTTTTCATCTGCACCTGAATCCTCCCTCTCCAAATCTATTGTGGACAGACATTCCAGCCCCTGTTCTCCTGCCTATCCTAAGTTCCTTGTAGCCCCAACTTCACTCTGGGTCCTTCTCTAACAGGGTGGGAAAACCTTTCAGACACTGCTACTGATTTCCTGGAAGCAGTGTTTACTCTGCAAAGCAATCAGCAGGGCTCTGGTGATGGGAGGCTTCTCTTGCTACTCCATGTAAATGCTGAGGTGACCAGAATGCTCTGAAAGTTGCATAATTTTAGTGCAGAAACAGGATTAATATCTGCCTTCAGAGTAGAAGTAATTTAAGTTCCTTGTAACCAGAGGTCCTTTTCTGTCTTGTTCACCACAGTATCTTGGTACCTAGTACAGTGTTTAGCATCCCATGAATAAGCATTCAGTGAAAACAATGGAGGAACAAATGAATCTTGTGTATTCATGCACAGACATAGGAAGGCTTGTTGCAAAATATTTAATAGAGTTTGTCACAGGTTGGATTATCTGGGACGCTGACTCTGAGATGGAGTTTAGCATGGGGATGTTTACTAGGGGGTACCCTTTGGAATAACACCTGGAGAAGAAAAGGAAGGGGAATCAGAAACAAACATAAAGAGAAGATGTGTGATGCAGCCCAGCAACAGCCTCAGACCACCCTGCATGGTCATCTGGGCTAAAGATCATCCTTCAAAATAATCCCAAGAAAGCTGAGATGGCCAGACTTTTACTGATCAGCCCTCCAATGTGAGCTGCCCTGGAAAAGAGCATGACTTTGGCTGAGGTGAAAGCTGCAAGTGAAGTCACCTGCCAAGAGCATTCCCAGTAGCTGAGACCACCAGATCTTCAGTGAACTGGGGAACTGGGTGGTGCATTGCAGTGTTCAGTGCAGAAGCAATTCTACCCATGTTGGGATTTCCTGTTTCTTACTGTTCTTGATGCTTCCAAAAAAGTTAAAAGGAATGAAGCGATCTCTGCCTTAATTTAGGTTTCTTGTCCTGTGGTTTGATAGAACATTGGCATTGGTCTTGGGGGGAGGGGAGGAGTAGAATCCTGGCTCTGCCACATATTACGTGTGACTCTGGGCAGGGGACAACTCTGTTTTCTAGGCTCTGCTTCACCTCTTTGGGCCTCGTTTTATTCTTCTATGGAATGGGGCAGCTAATGTTGATCTCAAGAGATCAAAGTGGATAATGCACAAGGAAGGTCTCTGCAGTTTAAAGTGCTGTGCAGAAAAAGGGAGGAGAGGATCTTGTCCCTTTTGAAAATGGATGAGCAGCATTAGCCTAAGAGGGAGTGCCTGCCAAAGCTCTCAGCAGCAGAAGGCAGGTGAATGGAGACCATGCTCTTATTCCTGCGAAAGCCTGTTCACCACACATGAGTATGCATTCCACACACTCCAATAGATGGCATGGTATTACACAGCCAAACTCTATTCTCAAGGATTTAACAAACTTGAAGACAACTAATTGGCGATGTGGTAACCCAGCAACATCAGTGTGACTTCTCCATTAGGAACAGTAGGCACAGTGCCCACAACACATTTAGAGGATGCACAGAAATGTTTTATTTTCTTTTAAAATCAGAAGAAAAAAATGACCTTTTAGGGTAGAACACTATATTCCTCTTTAAACCAAAATGGTCATAAACTGTAATTTTTTTTTAATGGAAAAGGGGGCTCATGAAGATACATGTACCCAGGACCCGTGGAAGTGATAGACACTGAGGAATCAAGGCACTCTCTATACAGAAGGAAAAAGGGACAAACTATCTCACAGGGTCTAGGAGCCCCTGCTGGAGGAGAAGATGCTTCTCTGCTCACTCGGACAAATGGGGGAAGAGAAGAAAAATGTGTGCAAGGGAATTGAGGTGTCAAGCATCACAATGCATTCAGGGGCTACCAGCAGCACAATATGGACAGAGTTAAATGGGAGGGAGGGGAAGGGAGGCTTCTGGGAGTTGGGCCTGGATCAAATCAGTCTTAGAATCCAGGCAAAGGACTTAGCAATTTATCCTGAGAGGGACTGCAAGCTTCTGAAGCTTGGGTTTTATACTGAAGCAACTTGATACAATTTGGATTTAGAGAAATAATGCTGCGGCTCAGTGGAGAAGGACTGGGGAAGAGAGAATAGAGCTGGACATGCTTTCATGAGCCTGAGCTCCAGCCTCCCTGGTGGGGGCTTGTGTGGGCACCGGTTCCATCCCACACTGTGTGGGGGCTGGCACGGCAGGGACGTGTGCTCCGGCTGAAACCACTAGCAAGATAAAACCACACAAAGGCTTTTGCTTTCCTTTCCCAAAGAATGATGTAAATGGTTTGGGGCAATGAATCACCATCCCCCTAGGTCCATCTTTCAAGCAGAAATTCTGAAAAGTGTTTGGGAGTGTTAAGAGGTCCAAAATAGTATGTTATAGACAGAAATATGATACTTCAGGAAACTTGCTAGACATTCATTTAAAGAGGTATCTTCTCACAAGCCCTTGCAAGAATGTGACCAAGTTTTTAAAAATTTGTTTCCCTCAAAAGTATATATATATATATATATATATATATATATATATATATATATGAACTGTTGCTATGGCAGCCTAACAGCTTTTGGAATGGTGCTTAAACTGTAAAAGAGCCCCTAGAAAAGATAAACTCACTAGCCCTGCCACAAATTTTCTAAAGCTTCCAAATGGTGGCATCTGTCAGGTGTCTGGCTACAGTCTTCTAGATCCTCAGCAGACACAATTAATTGGTGGCAGATTTTAGTATAGCTCGTTCCCTTTACTTCCCTGATTTATCTAATTGCCTTGAGCTCTGAGTCCCCCACTGCACAAAGGATAATTTGGGTTAGTAGCCAGGAAAGGAAATGTTAATTCTGTGGCTCAAGAATCACGTAGGGACAGAGAGTACAGGCGGAGTCAGTAAATACGTGTTTAATGCATGAATGAATTAATGAATGGCCAAGAAGTAATTCCTTGGAGATTCCACTCCACCCCTCTCAGGTTCAGCTACTTTCTTTGGCTGAGACTGTCTTATTTGTCTGTCACCCAGTAGATCCTAGGGACCCAGTCTGCAAGGAGCATGCACATGTCTTGGCCCAGAGCATAAAATAGTACCAAGGAGGCTTTCAGGAATTATTTGATGAGTTAGTGAATGAATGAATACCAGAAAACAATCCTCTTAGGCCCAGAGCACATGACTACAAAATCATAAGACACTGCCTTACTAAGTTACTTCCTGCTTGTCATGCTGTTCGAAGTCCCTCTCACTTTGAGTACAAACTATCCCTTTCCATGTAACGCAGGGAGGAAATGCACAGGTAACCTGAGCAATGCTCAGGCGCTTTGATCTTTCAAAGGAGAGAATCCTATACCAGCCTTTGAGATGCCGTGTTGACTCTGACAAGCTGAACAGAAGAGATAATGCTGTCTATATGGCTGGTTGTCGGAAATGAAGTGATTAGATTTCAGTTGGATTGCCTGTTACCACCCTGGACCACAGGGCCCGGAAGGCAAGTGTGGAGAGCATGCTCACCTGCCCAAGAAGCGCTTGCTGAGCACTTGAGGAGGCAGAGAAAATCCTTTCCCAAAGATCAAGTGGCCCAAAGAGGGGCACCTCCAGCCATCTCCATCCTAGGGATGGATCCCCATCCTGGGGGTGGATTTGCTGCTTATGGGCATCTCAGGGAAACTGACAATGAGAGGAACACATTATTGATTTCGAGAACATCTTATGTTATCTCAGTAAATCAATGCTGGGGAGAGGAACTGCACTCTGGTCTCCAGGTAACTGACATCCAAGCTGTACCTTGATTAGGGATTAAATTCATAAAATTGTTGCATAGAACATGGCAAAATGATTTTTTAAAATTCAGTGTCTCCTGATGAAGTGTTCATAAGAATTTATTGTGTTATTTGGGCAACTTTTCTGTAGGTTTGGATAGTTTTAAAACTTAAAAAAGTTTTAAATCAAATGAATACAAGCAAAACAAAGGGAAAAACTTAATACATTTTTCCTTTTAAAATTAAGGTGGCTGGGCGCGGTGACTCAGGCTTGTAATTCCAGCACTTTGGGAGGCCGAGGCGGGCAGATCACTTGAGGCCAGGAGCTCGAGACCAGCCTGGCCGATGTAGCAAAACCCCATCTTTACTAAAAATACAGAAAATTAGCCAGCCGTGGTGGCATATGCCTGTAGTCCCAGTTACTCTGGGACTGAGGCTGAGGCATGAAAATCGCTTGAACCTCGGAGACAGAAGTTGCAGTGAGCCAAGACTGCACCACTGCCCTCCAACCTGGGTGACAAAGTGAGACTCTGCCTCAAAAAATAAATCAAGGTGTAAAACAGGGTTTACAGCTGGATGTGATCTATGTATACAAATGTGGAGGAAGTAGCTATATGGATGTGTGTGTTTGCAACTGCCCAGAAACTGTCTGGAAGTCACACAGAAAACTGACAATAGTGGCTTCCAGGGAATGAGATTGAACGCCTAGAGTATAGGAATTGAAGAAGACTTAATTCTCTGTAGACTCTTTTTCACCTTTTAATTTTTTTTGTTTGTTTTTGGTTTTTTTTTTTAGATGGAGTCTTGCTCTGTCACCAGGTTGGAGTGCAGTTGGTGCAGTCTCAGCTCACTGCAACCTCCGCCTGCTGGGTTCAAGTGATTCTCCTGCCTCAGCCTCCCGAGCAGCTGGGACTACAGGCACGCACCACCATGCTCAGCTGATTTTTGTATTTTTAGTAGAGACGGGATTTCACCATGTTGGCCAGGATGGTCTCGATCTCTTGACCTTGTGATCTGCCCACCTTGGCCTCCCTAAGGGCTGGGATTACAGGCATGAGCCACCATGCCAGGTCTCACCTTTTAAATTTTAACCGTCTTTATCTATTTTAACCATCTTAACTGTTTAAATGTATCTATCTAAGGATACATAAAAATAAAAACAAATATTTCATGGGACATCCCACCTAGTAATGACAAATACTGACTTAACAACTTCTGTACTGTTCCCTTTGCCTGGAAAATCCTTCCCGGTTTCTCCTGATAAATCCCTACTCATGATCAAGTCTAAACCCAGAGGTCACCTCCTCACTGAAGCTCCGCCTGATTTCCTCCAGCAGAAGTCAGCCCCTCTATGTTCTCACAGATCCATGGAGCTGTCTAAAAGGAACTCTGTACCATGGTTATTTGTTTGCCAGCCTGGCTCCATCACAAGAAGAGGGGTTCTTTGGAAGCAACAGTACGGTTCCATTGTTGTATTGATACACATGATTTATTATTGTATCCCCAGCACCTAGTCCAAAGCCTAACATAGGGATGGTTCTCAAGATGACTGATGAGTAAACACATCCAGAGTCTTTTCTCCTCTTGCCATTTTTGCCCCTCACTCACTGGATACATTCAGTCACCTCGCTGCATTAGCCAGAACCCACTATGTCTCCTTTAAAACTCAAGTGGAGAGCAGAATGTGAAGAAAGAGGAATGTGTATACACTGTTAGTATGAATTCAAATTAACACAACCTTCGTGAAAACAGTGTGGAGATTTCTCAAAGAACTGAAAATAGGGCTACCTTTCAGCCCAGCAATCCCACTACTGGGTACCTATCTAAGGGAAAAGAAATCATTATATCAAAACGGAACCTGCACCCATGTGTCTATTACAACACTATTCACAATAGCAAAGTCATGGAATCAACCTCAGTGCCCATCAAAAAATGACAGGATAAAGAAAATGTGGCGTGTGTGTGTGTGTATATACATATATATGTGTGTGTAAAATGTGGTATATATGTGTATATATGTGCACATATACATATATACACATAAAAAAGAATGTAGTGTGTGTATATATACGTGTCTATATCTACATATATATACATATGTATATATGTGTGTGTATATGTAGATATAGACATATATATTTATGTGTGTATATATGTGTATCTATACACACATACATTATCTCTATACACACATATGTATGTAGAATATATATATACACACACACAACGTTCTTTTTTATGGCTGTATGGTATATCACGAAATACTACACAGCCACAGAGAATATTACACAGTCATAAAAAAAGAATGAAATCATATCTTTTGCAACAACATAGATGAAGCTGGAGGCTATTATCCTAAGTGAAAAAACTCACAAACACAAAATCAAATACTGCATATCCTCAGTTATGAGTGGGAACTAAACAATGGGTACACATAGATATAAAGATGGCAATAATAGACACTGGGGACTCCAAAAAGGGAGGAGGAGGGTTGAAAAACTACTTATTGGGTATAATGTTCATTATTTTGGTGATGGGTGTACTAGAAGCCCAAACCTCACCATTATGCAAAATACACATACAATAAGCATGTACATGTACCCCCTGAATCTATTATTAAAAAATAAAAAAACTCAAGTAGAGATTTAGGACATTGCCATACCAAAATAACTGTAATAATAATTGCCCTCCAACTCCCTCCCATCCCAGCTTGGTTAAGACTGGAAGTCAAGGTACAAAAGAATTGGAAGAGACATTATCAATAGGAAGCACTACAGTGCTGTGCTTAGGAATGGAGACCCTGTCTCTACCCATCGCTCATCGGTGGTCCTCAGCAAGTTCTTTAACTTCTCTAAACCTCAGTATCCTCATCTATGAAAGAATCATGACCCCTGCGCATAGCAGCCAAAGTCTTGGTGACGTCAAACAAGATAATAAATGTAAAGCACATATCACAGTACCTGGTACAAGGGCATGCTCAGAAAATATCAATGTCATTGACCTCTTTGCCCATCACTAGCTAAATAAAGCAAGATCAAAGAACACAACTTTGGTTCAGGTTTTTCCTTTAGTTATGATTTTGCACAGGGACTGGATGTTCAGGTGACCTACCACATAAGGGCTTCATGTAATCATTAGTTGATTGTGGTGATGACAGTCACATTGTACACATTGAAGAGCTACAATGTGTAGGCAACAAGTGAACCGAGTGTCTGTTTATGATTCTGATGACACCAGATACAGACAGACACTTGGCCTCCTTCTCCACAGTGGCCTACATCCCAAAATAGGAAATACACATTCACAGACAGACCCAGCAGCACAGAGAGTTAGGAAGCAGGTTGCTAACACTTCAAGCTGTCAGGGACAATGCAGAGCCCGGTGGGTTCTGCAGCACAGGTGAGCTGCCCCAGAAGCAGCTTTCTGGGATTCACTCCTATGCAAATGAAAGATAACTGGGTGACCTGCGACCAGCAATTCCTGCTGGTTATTACTCAGCAGGATGCCAATGTGTGTACACTTCTCTTGAGCAAAGGGCAAATCTCTTCCACTTCTCCAAGATGTTCATTTCTAGGCCCCTGTGCTCTACTGAAAACCCAGCAAGGTCACAGGGCTTAGAAGCCTTATCCTGTAGCTGCCCAGAAAATTCCTCCTCTGTTCCTAAGTAAGACATGTGTGCTAGAAACGGAAGCTCAAGCTCCAGTGGATTTCACTGTAAGTTAACTAGAGTGCCGATCCTGTGAGCCCATGCCACATTTGTTTAAAGCCTCTCTCCGTCTTTCCTTCCCACTTGGATTTTGACTGCTATATGCAGTTACCTGACCATAAACTCCTTGAGGAAAGAGGAAGTGCCCTTTCATCTCTGCCTGCCTTTGTGGCATGTCATAGGTGCCTGTTCAAGAAAGTCTGGCATCTTGACCTGTTTGGGAATCAAGAATCTGAGTCTCAGCTAAAGTCATTGGTTAGTTTTGTTCTTCAAAATCCTTACAGTGCGATCAAGAACAAGTCCTTTCCTCCACCAGGCACAGAATTCTTTTCCATCAAGAAGAAGCTTAACCTGAAAAATCAAAGGATTGTTCCATCTGCATTCCTGCTGTTTTATGTTTTGTTTTGTTTTTTAAAGGTTTCATGCCACCAGCCTTGGAGTAATTTACCTTCCTCTCCTTGGAATAAAAGCTTTGCAGAACTCTTCAAAATAGACTGTTCTTAATTTCCAGGTTAAAAAAAAAAAAACTACCAGATTTCCTAGACATGAAATTAAATTCAAGTACTTTCTATTTAACTTTTGACTCTGATTCATTGACACCTCATTCTAATTGCCCCTATTATCTAGAAAAATAGGAAATGTCACTCGCACATCTTATTGAGGAATTCAAAGGGCCGATGAAATGAAGAGCCCCATTTGGCTCAGCAGAAATGAGATGATCATCATTCACAGACATATCCACAGGAGGGATGCACTTCCTCTGCTGAGCCAGGCTTCGGAGCAAATGAGTGCAAAATAAGCAAATGCAAGAGGAGTCAGTCCTACAATTTCCAAATCATTCTGGTGCGTTTGTAGGGGAGTGCGATTTTGCTTCTAGGATAAGCGTTTTCAATCATTGGTTTATTCCCTTAACAAACATTGACCAGACAATGAGAGAAAGAGGTGGGGACTCCTCACGTTGAAATGTCCTCCCAAAACAGACCCACATTAACACAAGAGTGTAAAACACCTGAGAAATTATCAGAAATGTATAGTTCCCAGTCACAGGGGACTACCATCTATTTAACAATAGCTTGTGTGGGCTGCAGGAAAAGCCCCTGGCCTTATGTGGAGGTAATGTTTTTTGCCCATAATATGGGAGATTCATTCAGGAGAAAGGCAGACAAGGACAGTGGTAAGACACAAACTCTAGCTAAAGTTAGACTTCCCATAAATACAAATTCCAAGGATAAAAGTTATAGCACTATGGCCATAGACAAGTTACTTATCTTCCCTGATATGCTTTGGATCTGTGCGTCCACCCAAATCTCATCTCAATTTGTAATTTCCATGTGTGGAAGGAGGAACCTGTAATCCCCAAGTGTGAAGGGAGGGAGGTGATTGGATCACGAGGGCAGTTTCCTCCATGCTGTTCTTGTGATACTGAGTGAGTTCTCACAAGATCTGATAGTTTTATAAGGGGCTCTCCTCCCTTAACATATGCTTCTCTTCTCTCTTCTGCCACCTTGTGAAGAAGATGCTTACCTCTCCTTCCACCATGATTCTAAGTTTCCTGAGGCTTCCCCAGCCATGCAGAACTGTGAGTCAATTAAACCACTTTCATTTATAAACTACCAGTCTCAGGAAGTTCTTTATGGCAGTGTGAAAACAGACTAATACATTCTCCAAGATTGAGTTTTCTCATTTATAAAATGTTGGATATTAATAATACCTACCACATAAGGCTTTTGGAAGGAGTAAGGGGAGTGATACACTTAACATCCTTAGGAACCTGACATATAGTAAGCATGCAAAACCTGTTAGCTGCTGTTATTATGACTTTTCTCTGTTAGTCACCTTAGTCCACCTTCCTCACATTTAATTAAAAATATACTGAGGGTCCCTATTCATTTGCTTAGTAAGTACTTACTAAGTGCATACTTTGGCCCAGATACAGTACTTGCAACTGGGAGCACAGTGGTCCCAAATAAGTCCTGTCCTCAAAAATCTCTAGGTCTAGCTGGGAAGACAGACAACTAAAAAGGCAATTACAGTCCAATGTAGAAATCACAGTAAATGGTGTAATCCCTGGCTGCTAAAGCATTGTCTAGGTAATCTTAGGCTATTAGAAATAGCTCCTTAGAGATAGTGAAGTCCAAGCTAAGATATAAAATGCCTTAAGAGTGCTTATGAGGTGAGAGAGATTATGAGGCTTTGGGGGAAATAATGGCTGTGCCTTATGAGGAGGTCCTAGAGTGGATGTATATAATACAGGCAGGGTGGAGAGGGAATACCAGCTGAGAGATGAATCTGGACAGCAAAACAGTGGCCCTTCCCATTAAAGGATCCTAGAAGCTTGTTAAGAAAAGCTTATCTCTATCATTGAAAGGAAATAAGTGGGAAAGTACAATATGTACGGATTTAAGAACATTGTTCAGGATATACATAGATAATGGATCACGTTGGAGCTGATAAGGGAGAAATAACCCTGGAAGCAAAAATACGTAATAGGTGACAATTTCAGTAATATTAGAGAAAAAACATTTGACTTGCATTTGAACGGTGGCAATAGGGATAGAGAGAAACAAAACTATTTCAGAGATAGCCAAATGATAGAATGAATAGGAATCAAGAGGAATTAACTGCTATTGGAGGTGAGGGGTTGAGAGGCTTAAAGTATTCCGTCCATGTTTCTATTCTGGGTGAATTTTGATACTATTACAGGAATGTGGGACCCAGGAAAAACCTGGATTTGACGTACATATTTAAGTCACCACTGGACATCTACATGGAGACGAGCCGTAGGCACTTGGATAAGAAGGTCTAGATTCCCCAAGAGTGGAAAGTCACACTGGTAGAATTAATTCTTAAATTTCTATCTGGATATTTAGTTGTCTCCTGTGAATATTGCTCCAGTTACCACCGAGCAGATGGAGAAGGTAAATGGATTCGTAGAATCCTAAAATGTAAGAACTGTTAGAAATCCTAGGTCCAGCCACCCTGGCAGTCCAGTAAATGGCTTATTAATCCCATAGCACAGACAGTGAATGGCAGAGCTAGGTCTGGGTGTAGAAATCAGGCCTCCTGGCTCGTGATCGAGGGCCATGTCATTTGAAGTCTAAAAGGTTCAGCCTCCTAGCAATCTCATTTCCTTGTGGGACATAAGCTACCTTGTTCCCATTTTAAGACTTATTTCAAAAGAAAAGGGGAAAAAAGCAACATGGCAATCATCTCAGTTGGCCTGTTCAGCCGGGTCCTTGCTAAACAATTATAATCCCTTTAGTTCCTTCTTTCTCCTCCAGATCTTACTATTACTAGCACATAATAGGTGTTCAATAAAGAGAATCCAATAACATCAACACTGAATAATCACATTCCTCACTACCGAAAAACGTAGGCCTTTCTCTCCCTCTCAGATTCTACTTTTGGCTTTAGTGAAGGTCCAAATCAAGCCACATTTGAGACACAGACCCAGTGGCATACTTTCCATCTTGACATACATAGTAATATGTGAATTGTTCAGTAATATTAGTCCAACTTACCTTCTTCACCCATTGGATACTTGCTGCCAATTTCTGTAACACACTCCACCCATCTGATTGGTCACTCAACAAATGACAACACGAAGGAATGTCACAGGGCCGCTGAGCTGAAAACACAGTGATTTCTGCAAAAAGTGAAAGGATCATTAGTAACCTAGTGGTGCCATGAATTGACCAAGTGATACAGTATTAAACACAGTTGCATATGACAGACTTTTCTCTTAGAAGATGACAATCCAGGTGTGCAAAGAGAGAGAGAAACAAATTACTAAAATTACGTGAAAAGTGGGAAAAACTTGTCATGGATTTATAAGTACCACCGGATAGTGTGATTAACCATACATGCGTTTCGTACTTTGATGACAATGA
Source organism: Homo sapiens (assembly GCF_000001405.40). Lineage (NCBI taxonomy): Eukaryota > Metazoa > Chordata > Mammalia > Primates > Hominidae > Homo > Homo sapiens. The sequence continues at coordinate 65,054,173 of NC_000016.10, forward strand.
TAAAAGCAATCCTACACACAACTTCTTATAACATGCTGTGTCATTCACATACATTTGCTCTTGCATGAAGAACAAGCTATTGGGGGAAGGTATGAAAACTTAGAGCCCATTTCTGATAGAACCTATGTTCCAAAGCCAAAGCAATGTCTTCCTTCCTAAAGTGAGAAGCACCGTTCTGGTGTTGACAGATCCTCTTGAACAACAGGCTCAAGGATGAAGAGTAGCAATAGCAGTGGTGGTAATAGGAGATACTATCCCCACTCCAGCAGACCAGAGCATTGGGCTGACAGTGTTGCAGCTCTTCAAGATTGCATTTCCCCTACCCACAACACCACGTTTTAGACTTTCTGTGTCTAAAATGGGGGCTGTGTTCTGCTTGGATTCTGGTCTGATTCATCTTCATATCTCCCAAAATGTCTAACACATTTCCTAGCCCAGAGCATCTGTTCAATGCATATTTGTTGAGTGAATAAAGAAAGGAATATGGAGTGTCTAAACAGCTGTCATCTTTAAAAACTGAGGCACTGAACCAAGAAAGGTGCCAGCTGGCATAGCTTCCATAACACAACAGCATAAAGGAGTTCTTGAATGTCCTTCATCTCTAGGCTTCTACCTTCTAGGATCAACTCAGCCTGCATTAGGGGCTTAAACAGCTTATTTCTTTGACTTGACTTCATTTCTTTCCAAATCTCTTTCCTTGTTTGATATTGCTTCCATCGAACACCATACACAAAGCCTTCTCCAAAACAACAAACAAGCAAACAAAAGCCCTTTTTAGTGAAGGGATGTGGATGGACCTTAGATCTACTAAAATTTGTTCATAGAGCCTGGTTTTGGTGACTGTAGCAAGATGAACAATAAAGCTGTCCTCTTGTGTGCTATTTATCCAAATGTCAGGACAGAGTAACACTGGAGTTATTCCTGGAGATACAGGGAGTCATGGAGGAAATGCTACATGCAGCAGTTCACACAATGCATAACGAATGAGGAAGGACCCTGCTTGTCAACCATGTTACATGCTGTGGCCAGTCTCTAAAATTACCCCACAATAACCCAGACACTCTGATAGGCATGCCCTTGTGCAGTCTCCTTCTATGGGACTATGAGCTGGCTCTGCATAACAATGAAACAGCAGAAGTGACACTCTGAGAACCATGGGAGAGGGACCTCCACCCTGGTCGGTCCAAAAGGCAAAGCATTGAACCAAAGAAAATTACTCTTGAGCCTTAAGATTCAGCGGTATTTGCCTTTTTATGTAAACTTGCTTGGAACACATCACTACTTTCTTTTTTCCAATTTCTCCCTTTCAGAAAGGGAATGCCTATCCTACACCTGTCCCACCACTGTATTTTGGAAGCACATAATTTATCTTATTTCATAGGTTCACAGCTGCAGACAAATGTTGCCCCAGGATGAACAGTACTTTAAATCTCATCCATACTGATTGTGTCTCAGAATGAATAGTATCCTGCGTTTCACCCATACTTATTTAGATGAGAATTTGGACTTTAGACCTCAGAATTTATGCTGAAACAAGTTAAGATTTTGGAGGCTGCTGGTATAGAATGAATGTATTTTGCATGCAAGAAGGACAAGAATTTTGCAGGATCAGCAGTAGAATGTTATGGGCTGAATGGTTTTGTTCCCCAAAATTCACATGTTAAAGCACTAACCCATAATGTGATAGTATTCAGAGGTGGGGCCTATGGGAGGTAATTAGGTTTAGATGATGTCATGAAGGATTGTTCTTCTAAGAAAAGGAAAAGAAAGCAGAGCTCTCTCTTTGTTTCTGCCATGTGAAGACACAGTGAGAGGACTGTTGTCTGCAAGCCATGAAGAAGATCCTCACCCAGAACAGAACCTACTGGTCTCCAGGACTTTGAGAAATTAAGATCTGTGGTTTAAACCACCCAATCTGTGATATTTTGTTATAGCAGTATAAGCAGACTAATACAGAAACCCTGTAGCTTATCTTGTGCTTTTTGAACGCTTGCTCTAGGAGAAGTTGGCTGCCATGTCAAAAGTTCAAATACTCGATATTACTGTGCTGTGAGAAAGCTCCAGACAGCCAGGAGGAGAAGCTGTATGGCTGGAGAGAGAGGTGCCAATCCATTTCCAGCTCTTTCAGCCTTCCAAGCTGAGGTGCCAGACAGGTGACTAAAGATGCCATCTTGGACACCTAATACATAAAAATATTCATGTAACTCCAGCCATCTGACTACATGGCAGGAAAGAACAAGTAAAAATACCTAAATGAATTCAATCAATCCACAAAACTGTAAGAGATAGTAATACGTTGTTGTTATATGCCACTAAATGTTAGGATGTCATGTAACTCAGCAATAGATAACTGGAATGTTATAAACAGGGGTGGAAAAGATATTTGCCATGTATCTCACCAGTGAATTATCCTTAAGCACATATAACCATCCTGGGTATTATGAACGCCATCTCACCCTACAACACAAAAAGGTAAGACTCTTGCTGAAAGTGTACAGCCAATAATGCCCAGGGTATGGTTGGAATCCAGCAGTGCTGACCTCATAGCCCAAGTACCTTCTGTTTTCCTTCTCTAGTCTTCTGTTAATAATGAAGCTGTGACTGGGGCCAGCGTGTTTAAAAAGGGTTGACTTCTCAAATCTGTAAAAGACCGATCGAACTCCCCACTTTGTCTTGCATTCTTTACCTCCCTGCAAAATGTTTCCTATAGAAATCCTTTCACCAAAAGCCTAGGCAGTCAATCAAAAAAGCTTTGGAAGAAAAGCAAAAATAGATGGTGAATTGTCTATGAATTCTAATCACTGCAAACATTTGAGAAAGAGGGACTGTGGATTCTGTGAAAAAAACTGGTATACAATTATATCATGTTTCTTACAAAAAAAAATGAACATACAAAATCCAAGTTGTTCTTTATGCTTTTAGCATAGTTGATGGAGCTAAGATGGCTGTGCGGGCTATAGTGGGTCATCTGTTTCTGCATTCTCTGCACCGGCCTTCATGGCTGGAATGTTCATTTTCCTTCATCTTCCCCACAGCTCATGACTCCCCCAAGACTTGGAATCATGTGTTCCCCTCTCAGCCAGGAAACCACACTCCAGCCTTGCTGCACCCACTTCCTACCTACTCTCGGGACTTCTCTCTGCCATCTTCCCAGCTCTGCACACCATCATGGGCTGTCTTCAAGTACAGCGCCATTGTCATCTATCAGCCCTTCCATCATTGTGCTTGGCTGCCCACAGCACTAAGCCTCTTAGGGGCTCAGACAGTACATGCTATATACTATTTCAGAGAGACTAGAAATCAGGAAAAGGAACACCGTGAAGCCAGAGTGTATAAAGTGGAATGAAGGACATACTCAGTAAGCATACCAAAATCAAGGAAGACAGTCAGTGGAGGATGCAGCTGTGACTGTGGCAGCTCCCTTTTGCTAAGCTCTGATTGTGTGGAAGGCTCAGTACGTGCAGAGCCATATCCTTCCTTTTTCCACTTTCCCTCTCTTAGGCTCTCCATTAAAATGGAAAGAGTTGTCAATGAAGGGAGCAGCATAGCCCGAGGAGATGGAGTTACTCCGTTTTACAGATTGAGAAACTGAGGCTGAATGGCATATGCCCAAGTGCATAGAGCAAGGAAGTAGCATAACTGGGCTGGATCAATAAACCCACTCCTTTTTCCCTAGGTTTAAGAACCCACCAGGAGGCCCACTCCCCAGGCAAATCATGCCTATTCCCATGGTGTGTGACTACAGATAATTTCTACTTTTTGGTAAAAACACACTGGGAAGGCCAGCTGCAGTGGCTCATGCCTGTAATCCCAGCAGTTTGGGAGGCTGAGGCAGGAGGATCACATGAGCTCAGGAGTTCAAGACCAGCCTGGGCAATATGGCGAAACGTGTAAAAAAAAATTAGCTGGGTGTGGTGGCAGGTGCCTGTAGTCCCAGCTACTGAGAAGCTGAGACTTGAGGATCGTTTGAGCCTGGGGGATCGAGGCTGCAGTGAGCCAAAATAGCGCCACGGTACTCCAGCCTGGGTGACAAAGTGAGACCCTGTCTCAAAAACAAAACAACACAAAACAAACAAACAAAAAGCCACCACAATGGGATATTTTGGATATTTTGGAACATAGTTAGTTAAAGCAAACTATAATTAAATGTTTACATGTTACTGTTGTATAAACAAGTGAAATATCAGGTTTTTAAAACTTTTCTTTGGTGAAGAAGTTGAACAACGGCCATCCACTTTTCTGGTGGTCTAGAAATACCAATTTGCTTTGTTGATGTTGCTCTGTGCAGGCAGGAGAAGGGGTCACACATACACAGTCATCCCTGGGGGTCTGCAGATGGGGGCTTCTTCCTTTTTTGAGCATCACATGTTTCTGACATTGTTGAACGGATGATTAAACTCAGTTAATAATCTCCATTGGGTGTTTTTCTTTCCTGTTATTGCAAAGTTCCAAACCCATATGGTAAAGCATATTTCGTAAGCTAGGATTGTAGATCATGATTTTTTTTGTAAAAAATTGGGAGAAACAGGAAGCTGTTGCATGTGAGAGAACAAGACTTAAAATCAAGTTTTTCCTCCTCCAAGCTAGTTTGAGTTGGGGCAAGCAAGAACTTTCTGAGCCTCAGTTTCCTCACTATAAAATGGGGATAATAACAATTATTTTGAAGAATGATTGTGGAGGATAATCACAATACATGGAACACTTCACTTATACACTCAAAAATCAATAGTTGTGATTATGAAAAGATATATTGTGCTTCTATGATTGTGCATGATTAAACATTTTACCTTTTATTGTATATTTGCTATTCAAAAACCCTTTAATAGATGTGTATTTATACAGAACCAATATTGATATGTGCATAAATATTAACATACAATTTTATCACATGTAATTAATAATAATCTATAAGCATTTTGCAAAATTTTTTTTTCAGATGAGGAATCTGAGTCTCAAAGAAATTTAGAGATCCTTCAAAGTTCCTGGACCCAGATTAGACCTCTACTCCCACTGCGTGGTTAGGGGACACCAGCTGTCCTCTGCTCATCCCTTCCTGCAAAATCTTCAAGGCTGGCTCCTTACTGCCTGTACAGAGGATGATGCCCAACGTCTATCTGTAATTAGAAGAAGACATCCATAAAGAGTTTCTGAGCCCCAAATGGATTTGACACAGTGGCCTTTTAAATCAAACTCTTACTACGATTATCTTCATTTCTATTTAGTAGTTTTTCTAAGTAAGCCATGCTTTTAGAGGCACCTAATGCAAAGTGACAACCTTCACCATTTTCCAAAGCGCCGATGGACGGGCGTAGAGAGAGTCCATTGTCACCATGGTAATTACTGCACAATACCTGACGGCCAATGGACGGTCAGGAGGCTCAGGCAGCCGCTGAATCCGGCATTGTCCAGGCCTGATAAAAAGACTAGAGGCCTTGAAAAGCCGGGGAGCAGGATCTCACAGCTCTTTCCCTGAGCCCTGAAAGGCCCATTGTGCTGCCACCATAAATTCTGGGTTCCCCGGGCACTTGACAACTGAAGCCAGGGACAATAGAATTCTTGTGTCCAACAAAACACGCCTTGTCCAATGCCGGTCTTATCAGCCGCATTTACAAATGTCTTTCGTTGTACCCAAATAATTCCCTATTAGAAGGGCTATTGGGAGCAGAACTAAATAAATATTCACGGCCTTTGTCATATCTTTGGGAAATGAATAAACAAACAGTCATCTAGCATATGAGCAAACCTCCTACTACTCACTACATTTTATCTGTATTTCTTGCCCAAATTATGTAGCTTCACTTTCTCCTTTCAACATATTAACAACTGAGGTACTAGAAGCTCCAGTTTTACGTGCCATCTACTACACGCCATCGGTATTATTGCGTTGGTGCTTCTACATGTGTTTTGTAAAAATTACTCTTCCCCACAACACTAGAAATTTTATTTCTGCCTCATGAAAGAGGAAGAAATTAGAACCTAGAGAAGTTAAACAACTTGCCCAAGATAACCAAGCTAATTAGTGGCAGAGTGGGAATTCCAATCTAGATTTCCCTTGCTCCAAAGACTCTTCCCCTCCCACTCAGCAATGATGATTTTGCTACCAAATAAAGAAGAATAAAAGTTAGAATAAGGGGAAATATCTAAGCACACCCACTATAAAATTTGCATATATATATATATATAGAGAGAGAGAGAGAGAGACTATATTATTAACAACTTGAGAACAGCTAGAATAGAAGGAAAATGAAAAGACTTTCTCCAGGAGAGTATATTTTATTTTTGCCTAAAATGCTAGCAATTTTACTTTTTAAACTTTTTTTTAGGGTGGAGGTGAGAAGCAGACAAAAATAAGTACAAGCATGCTGCAGGAAAGTTTTAAGGATGCCCATATGGTCAGTATGTAAAGTTTTCTAAAGAACTACTAGGGTGAACAAAGCAACCAGCATGCACACAATCACATATGCTCCAGAATAACTTTAACCTCTTCTTCTGTAGCTGATTTTATTTTACTTATTTGTCTCCTTGTCATGTATAAATATCTAAACATTTGAATATAATGCACATGATCAAACAGAAATCCCCTTTTCAACAGAAGCCATCAACTAGAAGAATGGTGATTTTTACATTAAAAAAAAAACTTGACAATATTAAAATTCTAAATGGTTTCCCGTCAGGTCAGGAGATGCCCACATTCCACATTTATTAACACAGCTTATGCATCTGACTCCTGTCTGTCCCCAGCCTCACCTGCCCACCTTACCTCCTGCTTCAGTAAGTACTGCTGTTCCTGAGCCTGGCAGGCTGTGCACCTCTGTGCTTCTCTGCATCTGACCTCTTCTTCCATTTACTGTTAGTGTGACTTTGATGGAAATTCTCCTCAGTACCTAGCATAAACTCAGAGGGCCTCAGGATTCCCTTAGTGTAACATAGTGCTTTTTTATTTCTCCCACAATTAGAGATCTTTGTTATTTGTGGCTATTTGGTCCTCCCAACTTTCCATCAAGGAAGCTGTGAGCTATTTGAGGACAGAAATCACATATTATTCTCATTTTTGTTTGTCCCAGGTCAGTACACTGCTAACACTCCACAGAGCTAGACTATTGGAGAAATAAATGAACGGTAGTAATTAGACAAAGAATGGCCACAAAATTATATAATTTTTTAATTTAAAAGATTGAAAATACCTATTGACTTTTATCTACTTGATGTCAAATGACAGGTATAATTTGTAATTTGTTTTCAAGGACTGTAATAATGTACTCATTTGGCACAAATTATTCAGCTTTGATAAATGCAACGTGGCATTATTTGGTTTGTTTTCTATAATATTTAAATATTTAAAATCAGTAAAGTAGGTTATCATTTTGCAAATAATCGGCTATTAACAATAAAATACCAACAGGTATTTTCTGACTGGCATTAAATGCCTGTGTTTGTGCAAGTATTAAGTTTGAAAAAGTGTGGTCAATATTTTCTAAATACTTCACATGCCAAATGAAGCATTTAATCATCTTTGGGGATTTAAGGCATGAATGCCATCATGTACATATGATGCTAACTCTCAGCATTTCTCTATCCCCCAGGAGCTGAATGTTCCGCAGACACAACTTAATCCAAACAGGCAATTATGATGGCTAAAATTTATTGAGAATTTCCAATGGACCAGGTCCTGGGCTAAGTACCTTTCTACAACACACAATTTCATCTTATGACAATCTTATAAGTCAGGTTCTGTGGTTTTTCTTCATTTCACAACTAGGAAATTGGAGCACAAAAAGACGGAGTAAAGTTGCCCTCAATCACAAAGCCACTCACCAGTGAAGCCAAGACTCGGACACAGGCAGTTTGCATCTATAGCAATTCACCCAACAGCTGTACTCTACTCCATTCTTTGGCTATAAAATAGGGCACTAAATTAGGAAAGTAGTCCAATGATTTAAAAGAAACATGACTAAGGACTGCATCACTTTACCAGGCTACCTAACTATCCAGGAAAAGCAGAAACCAACTACGAAGGAGAACCCATGCATGTAATAAAGAAAAACAAAGACCTTTAACCAGACACAAGGCCTGAGACAGTCTCTTACATTTTACCAAATCTGGGCAACTTCCAGACAACCAAGAAATCCGCTTATTTGCAAGTTTCTGGAGTATGCAAATCTCCATATTCACAAAGTCAGAGAAGTACTGCAAACACACACACACACAGAGACACACACACTGCAGTGTTTGTTGTATGCCAAAATAGTCACAGCCTCCCGCTATCTTTCCATAGTAAGAAAAGTAAACTGCATAGTCCATAGCAATACAACTGATTTATGATATAATAGGAGAGAGTTCCCTCTGGGGCCATTATACTCAGAAAGAAACAAAATCAGGTTTCTCAAAATTAAGTGGGACTATCCTTTTGCAATATAAAATTAGGTTAAGAAAAAAATGCCATTTTGTTATTTGCCTTTTCCTAGGCACTTACTCTGAAGACACAAGCTGTACAAACTCTGCTTGTCTATAAACTCCACAGGGATAAGAAGCATATATGTTTCCTTGTCCACTTTATAATCAGGTAGACAAAGGCACAAACTAAATGCTTCAAAAGAGCTTTCAAACCAATGACTTAGTAAATAAAAATCTGAGCCCTGGACATAGTGGTCTCACCTATTTACAAGTGCTTCTGAAGGGCTGCAGTAAGTGGAGACTGATTTTCTTCAGGCACAAATTTGAATTTGGCCACAGAGGGGCTGACGTGAGCCAGGGAGAGAGTCTAGCGGGTGCTCTACATCCTCATCACACCTCATTAAATACACTGGATTCACCCAGGGTCGGCAGGGGAATCAGGCCATTAAAATGTTTCAGTTTCGCGTTTGCTGGACTTTATTGGTGGAAGAACATTCTTCACTGCTATGCACAAATTGTGACATTCTTGAAGAATGCGAAAAATCATTTGTCAATATTGAGAATCTAATATTTTCATAGGAAGCTTTATGTAGGCTATTCTACCTCGATTTGTGAGTCACATGTGTGTGTGCTTTAGATGTAAATGTGACTGCACACACACACACAAACACAAAACACATATTCTCAAGGATGTTTTTTTCTTTTCATTTTTTAAATACTCTTTGGATGGTTACTTTTACTAACTCCATTGTTAAGAACTGAAAATAAAGAGAAAAAACAAACAAACGAACAAAAAAAGCACTGTCAACAGCTATGTGGAGCTGGGTCATCTTACCAGACTGTGCTTGGATCATGAGTGTGGAAATGACAGAAAAATGGCCCTGTTTGTCTGCAAATCAGTGGATCAGAGGTTTCAGGAGGACTTCTTCTACAATATTCATATTCTCTATCATATGGCTTCCATCAAGAAAATGAGGCTGGATACCTACACTTGATCTTAGCCAAAAGGCCAAGAAGCAAGGAGGTTGTCTTTCTAAACAGGCTTTTAAAATGACTCCTTGGCTTTGATATCTGCAAATGTTCTACATACAGAGATATAAAGATATATAATAGTATCTATATGTGTGTCAGTACACACACACACATGCATGTGTATGTTATTCATAACTTGATCATTTATATTTGTAAACATTTCAGTCACATTCCTTATCCAGTAAGTAAATGAATTTTGGCATTGGGTACCAGGGTGGATTTGATGGGCAGTAAGATTGTTTCCTACTTTGAAATGACAGAACTTTGTAATTGGAATAATCAGTTCCCCTGGCTAAAAGCATCCCACCTCCCTTTATGAGTGTTCCAACCACACTTCAGGAAACACAGAGCTAAGAGCTGATACTTCTCTAGTATTCAACATGTGTTGGGGATTTCATGGGCCAAACCCAATACCATGATGTGGCCATCTTCAAGAGGACACTGCATGTGCAGAAGACCTTGGCGGCCAGGGAGGGGTCACCTTTGGCTCTCAGGGTGATGTGTAGGCACAGCCAGGTTTCAGAGTCAAGATGGTCCTCAGAGAAGGCCCAGAGGACCTTATCTAGGAGCCAAACCAAAGGGGCATGTCCCCCAGCAAGCCAAGGGGCCAATTTGTGGAATTAGAAAGACTTTGGCATAAGATGCAGCTGCAAGCTGATTCCTGTTTGGGCCTCCATGACTCTTCAGTTCTGTGGCTTAGGACTCTGTTTCCTTACCTGTAAAATGAGCAACATAACACCTCACATTCCTGTGGCGAGCACAGAGGTGATAATATGTGCACATCACGCTATTGTTTCTGACACAAATTTACTGTTCAGTAAATATAAGTCAATACCATCAGGGTTCTGTTACAAAGACTCAACATAAAGAAATTAATGCAATACCTGACACAACAGGGGCCCCACCAATTGCCAGATTACTGGCCTTCAGAGACAATAAATGGGGGAAATGGAGACATACCTTTTCAATTCTTTCTCAGTCCTGATGTCAGCAAAGAGAAAGTCTCTGTTTGCAGTGATTCCTAAACAAACCTTTTTTTAACAAAGACAAGGCAGTCTCAGGCTCAGAGAGGATTCAATTATGTTGTTTCCTTTTAATTGTATCTGTTTTTTGACTGCCTCATATTTATGACAAGAGATACTGGCTTTCCAGAAATTAGAGCAATATAATTTTCTTCAAAAATATTTTTTTAAATAGCAGAAAGTAGAAGGAGTCAAAAGAAAATATTAAGTAAATAACAATGTGATTGTATCCAGATATTAGGGAAGACAAAACCTGAATGACTGAGAGGTGAGGAACACGGATCCATGGCACCACAATTATTTTATGGACAGGGAGACGGAGGCCCAACGGGGACATGGGTGAGGAGCGGTGCCTACAGCATCTAAACCGCCCCAGACCCTGCCTCCAGCATCCCAGGGTCTCTGCACCGCATTTTCATTAATATCACGGGTCAGGTCAGCTATGCGAGGGGACTGCAAGAAATGATCACAGTTCTCTTCCAAGGACAGAGAAGGAATTACAGGGAGAGACAAATGCCAGTTCCGACATGGTGGTGGAGGAGGGAGCAGAGTCTAAAGCCCTACAGGAAAGTAGGTCTTCACAAAGAAACTAGGTTGAAGACTCACCCGGCCCACTCTCCACCTCATGCCCCTCCCTGTGACGCATGCCGTGCATTTTACCAATATCCTGTTTTATTCCAAAGGGAATTTCAGGCCGCCTACAAAGGTGCATACAGTACAAACACATATAAGACTATTTTGAATACTAAATATGTGAAAAGGAGAAAGAACAGCATGAAATAATTTGAATGAAGGTCATATGCAAAGCTTGGGCTAAAGTCATATTAGTTGCAAGGGCTGCTTCACGAAAGGGACGGGGACACACGACCTGGCACAGGACCGCAGGACCCATGAAGATAAAACTGCTGCTGAGCTGTATTGCAGCCATTCTGGGTACTGATGCCAGCATACTATTTATCCCATTGGTTCCCACAGAGACAACCCTGTGCAAGACACAAAGCAACAATCTTAAACATAGTGGAAAGATAATTATTGGGCTGCTTAGAACAGCATCACTGGCCCACAGAGGTGAAGGAAGGAGATAGAGGAAGATACTCAACAGCATCTTTCTGCCAGAAGGACCTGAGAGCAAGCCCCTCTTTCACACAGCTGCTACAGGCACACCCTAAACCAGGGGCCTGCTCATGCCACTCTCAGTTGCAAAGCCCTCAAGGTCTCCTTGGATTGGTCTCCTCTACTTTTAACAATAGCCAAGCCTGCTATGTTCCAGATACTGTGCTAAAGTGGATTGTTGCATAGATAACCCCTATTTGAAAGTGGAGAAATCTAAGATGGAGAGGGTGAGTTACTGATGCCACCTGCCTTGCTTGTAGGGATTCACATCCATGCAGTCTGACGCCAGAGCGTCCTCTCTTAAGCACCACTCCATTCTGCCCTCAGGGAAAGCCCTTCATTAGTGAGCCTCACTGGTCTTCAGCTTCACCTGGGGAAGCTCCTTCTAGGAACCCATTGCTTTGCCTCAACTTACCATATTGTTTCACTCTGCCTCCTTCATTCCTACTTTTGCCTCTGAACTGAATATCTCTTCCTCTTCCTTTTTCACAAACTTATCCTTGTCTTTTAAGGTCTTGGCCAAATATCACCTCCTGACAGTCCACCTTCCCAACTACACACACGCACAAAGCTTACACTGTGGCATCATCTCCGCCAACCACTGTGATTGGTGGAGATAATGACACAGTGTAATTCTGTGAGCAGATGTTTCTTGAGCATCTATTATGTGCCAGGCATCAGTCAAATCCCTGGATACCAAACAGGTAAGATTGCTCTTTTTACAGAGTGTTCAGCCTCTGGTAGAGTTAAAAAGTAAACAGAAAAATTAGCAGCAAAGAATTAGACAGGGATAACTTACACAAAGAAAATTTTAAAACGTTAATAAAACAGAGAGGGGATCATATCTTCTTAGGACCTCTTTAAAGCAATACACATGTGGCCAGCACATAGCTGATGCTCAGTAACTATTTGATGAAATGAGAGGCAACAACTATGACTTACAACCACCTTTATCAGTCATTCTGTTCTTATGTGTTTGAACATTTTGTTGTTTTAAGAAACCATTTTCCCAACTGTCTGCCTGCTCCTCCAGTCCCTGTGAGGTTATGAAAAGCAGAAACTCTGTCATCTGCATCGTGTTTATAGCTCCTACAGTACCTACTTCAGAATCATCTGCATTTGCTGCAAACCATAAACACAGAGACCTGGACTTAAAGTTTGACATCAGAGACATCACAAATCACAGGATGTAAGAGCCAAATGAAAAGTCAGCAGTGATCTAATCTAGTGATTTTACTAACTGTTCTTGGCAAACAGTGGTATTCCTGGGGTATCCCAAAGGCTGTTGCAGGGGCTGTGGTGTGGTGGGGAGAGCTGGAGGGAGGCTTCTGCAGATTCCTACAACTTTCTCCTTTCTTCTATTTAATCCACAGAAGCTCTACTTTATCCATTCTATATGTTTTAGAGGTTAGGGTAAGAATTTTCCTTACCAAAACCTGCATGAAATACAAAGAGTCAACAGGAAAAAAAAAAAAAGAGAAACGACGAATCCAGGAGTTAAATGAATCCTTTGAATTTTTACAGAACCTCATTCTGAACAGATGTATATGTTTAGATATGGGCAGATGCATACAACCACAGACAGATGACAAGGCATAGATAGAACACATACACAATGTAAGTAGAGCACACATTTGGCAGTGGGGGTACAAGAGTGTGAAAGAAAGAGGTATTAAAATAGTAGCGAAGTATGCTTTCGAGGGAAGCAGAAGTCTTTCTAGCCCCACCATTCTCTCAAGAATTTTCTCTTCTTTGTTGCTCATTCATTCATTCATTGTTTTTCCTTTGAAATTGTGCTCATTGATTTATTGTTTTGTCTTCTTTATTGCTCATTCATTCATTCTTTTTACTTTGAAATGGAGCTCATTCATTGTTTTTACTTTTTAAATAATTGTATATCAAGTATTTCTATGCACACTGACACATAGAATTGGGACCTATGTAAAGGTGAGACAGAGAAAGAGAAGGAGGGAGGGAAGAAGGGAGAAGAGAAGAAGAAGGGAAGAAAGGGAGGAAGGGAGGGAGGAAGAAAGGAAGGGAGGGAAGGGAGGGAGAGAGAGAGGAAGGAAAGAAGGAAGGATGAAGGGAGAGAGAAAGGAACAGAGGGAGGATGAATTGGAGAAAGGGAGGGAGAAAGGAAGGGAGGAAGGGAGGGAGAGAGGAAGGAAGGAAGAAAGGAAGGGAAGGAGGGAGGGAGGGAGAAATGAACGGAGGGAGGGAGGAAGGAAGGGAGGGAGGAAGGAACCAAGGAAGGGAGGGAGGGAAGAAGGGAGGGAGAGAGAGAAGAGGGAAAGCAGGGAGGGAGGGAAGAAGGGAGGAAGGGAGGGAGGGGGCAGGGAGAGAAGGAGAGAGAGAAGAAAGAAAGGCGGGAAGGAGGGATGAAAGGAGGGAGGGAGGGGGCAGGGAGAGAGGGAGAGACAAAGGAAGAGAGAAAAAAGGAAAGGAAGAAAGGAAGGAAATGAGAGAAGAAGGGAAAGAGGAAGGGAAAGAGGGAAGGAGGGAGGAAGGGAAACTGCAAGATAAAGTAATCAGGTGAGTGAGGGGCCTGAAATGCCCTGTCTTTCCTCTCTTCTTCAGCACACAAGGAGGCAGTGTCTTAAACAAAGTAATCACAGGGTTCCAGAGGAGGCAGGTGGGTGAGAAGAATGAAGGGAGCTCCCGAAATAAGATATGACTACAGAAAAAAAAAAAAAAAAAAAAAAAAAAGAGGGAGAGAGATGATGACATGATTGGATCTATGAGACTGTCTATTTTTAGTGGCCTAAAGAAGACTCTCTCCCGTGACCTTGCCAAATTATGATGCAAACACAGTTAATGAAAGCTCTCTCAAGCTTCTCTTCGAAGTCAGCTCATTACCAGATCATTTCTGCACACTCATCGCCCAAAACCCTGTAACCTCATTAAAGAACTAATCCTAACAGGTTTGACCTGAAAGTTAGCAGATGGATTTACTTGAACAGTTTTCTGCTTTTCTAGTGGTTTTTCCCGAAGAAACATTAAAGACCAGGTTAGCACTTCTAAGCCATTCGCTTTAATTTCTTATTGATGTTCTTGTTTTGTCTCTCAGTTAAATGCCACCCATTTTCAGAAATAAGAAAAATGCTCTGAGCAATTAAGAAAGATGCTTGCTTTCAATGTCATCTTAATTATTTAAATTATAAAAAATAGAAAAAGAACAAAAATAATTCTAATATTGACTAATTTGATGTTTCCCTATGCATGTTTTAAGTATTCTCATTTCATTAGGAAAATAGAGCATTAGGCTGACTCCAAACAGAAAAACTCACTTGAAGTAAAGGACCTTGTCGGTATTGCAATTCTTTGCGTAATCTCATTAAGTTTCACCCATATTGCCAACAAGAAACACTCTTTTACATTCCCATAAAGTTACAATTGCCTTGTTGTAATAGGAGAACGTTTAAGTAAAACAGAATACATGCTGTGCATGGAATAGCAGGCTTTCCCCAAAGTCACAATGCTGTGACTTATAAAGAAACATGGGAAAATACTTGGGACTATTTCCACATGGTTCATTATGACGTCAAATCTCGACTCCAATTACAATAATGTAAAAATATTTCTGACTAATTTGAATAGTAGGAGGAAGAAAATAAGGACAATTCGTGAGTCAGAGTGAATGAATTCTGGGTGAATTCTTTCCTCTCTTCTTTATTTCTGATATGATGGTTAAGGTATTGTCTGTTCTGGAAACACTTTTTAATCTTGTAGTCACTTCATGACACATGGAGTACCTCTTTTGCAACATAGACACCTGAGCTGGCCACATCTAAAGTGAGCTTGGGTACAAATACCGATACCTGAGCATCCTCTTTTTTGTACAGCCAGGAAAAACTACTCTGCCCAGAGATGCCCAAAGAACAAGCCAATTTATTCCAAAATAGAAACGGAAAAATAGTTTTACAATACCAAATGACTGAATCATCGAAGTGTCAAATTAAATATTGATACCATCAATTTGAGTCTAAAATACTTTCTTGGGTTAACAGAACCCAGGAAGAAAGGTAAGCAACTACCAATCCCATAGCACAAACCTTAGAAGGTTCTCCCTGGAAGCCCCTTTCATTTCACCCAGTTTATTCCTCCAACACACATCAGTTGACCACCAATTGCACCATAGGACTGTGCTGGGGACCAGGGACACGGTGATGAACAAGATTAGAACCTTGCCCCTCATGAGCTTGCATTGTATCTAATTTTGGCTGCTCTGACCTCAAACCTGGATAGAATTTCCCAGGAGAACTCTTGAGATTTGCCATCTGACTCAGAATAAATTAGCCAATAACCCCATCAGCCTGTAGATCAGAGCTGCTGAGTATAAGTCCAGACCCTGCCACTGTACGATTGTGGCAAATCCCTTTGCACTCAGAGCCTCACTTTCCCCATCTGAACAATCAAGAGGTAAGTAAGTTTAATATCTTAGAAAGCTAGAAGCTCCGTTATTTTATGGGGCAACAAATTCATTTGTCCCCAGGATATTCAGACACCTCACACTAAACCAAAAGCCACGGAACATGGAGAGAACATAGGACACTCCTCATGTCCACAAAAGCAAACACCTATCCAGTAGGAGAGTGAAGGAAGGAATGCAGGGAGCTGGTGACTATAATCTCCATGGGGCAAGTTTTGGAGTCTGACAATCCAGGGTTCAAATCCTGCCTCTACCCTGTAATTGAACGTGTGACTTTGAGTGAATGGCTCGACTCAACTGTACAAGTTTCAGTCTCCACATCTGCAAAGTGGTATCTCTAATGACAAACTCACAGCATTGCCCTGAAGATTAAAGAAGGGGTATACATAAGGCACTTGGCACCACCCCACACATGCCATGGGTGAGCAATAAATTTTACCCAAATTAATGTGAATTAACAGAAATATTATTATGCATTGGAAACCCCTGCTAAGACTGAATCTTGTTCACTTTCCTAGTGCCAGCACCTGGTATAGGTCAGTCACACAGAAGGTGCTCAGTAAATAAATAAATGTTAACTCTGATTAACTCATACTGATTAGAAACTCTGATTGGAAAATAGGTACAAATGAATAACTAAAAATAGGAAAAGGAATTGCTTGTTACTTTATAAACACAATTTGTTCAGGGAGAGTATTTTTCAAAATGCAAGGCAAAATGGTGATGACAAGGTCACAGACTCTGGGAGACGCTGAAAAAAACCAACCTCCCACATGGCTTGTGAGATCAGCAGAGGCAAGAGCCAAATGCATGAGTCATGCCCAGCAATTCTGAGGCAGGGACCAATCAGAGGTATGTGCTGTCCTCGTCACTGTCCGACTGAACTCTTCATTCATTGAACAAACAGTTCAAAAGGTCCTTTGAGGAACTCCCTGGTGCCCTTTGGCAGAAGAGTGGCCACAGAGCTGACACCTCGAGCAGAAAATGTGAGAACCTATGCTCAAGAGAAAGTGGTCCCAGTGGAAAATGAAAGGAGGTCAAGGCAGGGAAACCAGCAAGCCCGTTAACGATTCCATACAATGCCACAGAAGTGTTTTCCAAAAGCAGAGTCCCCACATAGCAACGGAAAATGCCAGCTTAATTTAGGCAGCTGCACAACACACACGCACACACACAAACGCGTGCATACACACATGCATGTATAAATATATGCACATACACCCCCATGCGCAAACTCCAAAAAGGGAGAAACGACTCTAAAATAGCAGAGTCCACTTTGAATCACAGTGAACAAACGGTTATGATCCATTTATGGTGATGAGTAAGGGGTTACGTAGTGGCTCTCTGTAACTAGGTCAGGCACCAATTGGTAGTCAGCTCCACAGACCCAGGAAGATTTAATGAGGAGGGGACCAGACAAAGACAGAAGATGGAAATAGTGCCCCAAGCGCGTGTCCCCAGACACCACAATCTGGCGATGGGATCCAGTCCATGCTATTTCTCTCAAAGATAGACCGGAACAAACTTTTGGAAACTCCTGACATGCGGATCAACAGTCCAGGCCAAGCCGTTGAGCCATGGCTCTGGCAGCAGCAACCAGGCTGGAATAAAAACAAACTCTGAATCAAAGGAAGATCGTGACCCGAGCCGAAAGTACAGAAAGAGCAAAGGCATACAGAGGCGGCAGCTGTTACAGCAGGGACAAGACATAAATAAAACGGCACTGCCAGCCTCAAGCTTGTGTCCACAAAAGCCAATCCCCTTTGCTGGGATCTATGCGCCACCGTTCCCGTCCCTCGTCCCTGCTGGGTAGTAGTAACTGGCACCTGCATTCAGGCTGGCAGATGGAGAGGCCAGGCTTATTGATTCCAGTGCCTACTCACTCCACCATCACGAAGGTCATGGTGCAGCAGCTAGCCGCCGAGGGACTTCCTTGACAGGCAGATTCCAGCCTTGGCAATGCCAGGAGGCACCTTCTCTCTTCAATCTCGGGACACCTCATGTGGGGAGACCAAGGGCCACAGGACCGTGAGAGGGCTCAGCCCAGCTTTGTTCTGGACAGACGGAGAGGCGGCTCCTGATCCCTGGCACTGCCAGCAGCCCTGTGAATGAGCCACTGTGGTAAGACACACACCCACTGCTAATGAGACCCACACAGACACAAGCAAGAAAGACAAGTGCAGTGGTTGCTACAAAACAGGCAGAGAAGAAGCCAAGTCCGGCAGAGGCAGGATCACATTGTGCCCACCAGGCTCATGGTACCCCCAGCCCACGGCAGGGTCCCAATCCAAAAGGGAGGACCTCGAACTATTTGTCTTCCCTTGAACTAACAGCATCTTCTTGTCCAATTTTTTTTTTAAATTGGCAGCCAAAATTTTATGGATATTTTTAAAAAGTAAATGACATCATCTATCTATTACTCTTATTGTTTTAGGGAGCATTTTTAACTTAAAAACCTAAAGGGGTAGATTTTTCAGAATGGAAACACACTTGGCAGTGAAATACTTGTATATTGAAGAAAAGGATGCATGAAATTGCTTTAGAACTTTAAAAACAATTTAAATTTATTTTACACTATTGTATTGTATATTGTAAAGTAGTAAAGAGTGGGCTCTGGGCAAGTTGCCTGATCCAACTTGTTCTAGTCACTAGCTGGATAGCCTTAAACCAGCTACTCAACCTCTGCATACCTCCATCACCTCACTGCTAAAATGGAGATTAGGGTGTGCCTCCCATGTGGGGTTTCCTATAAAAATTAAATAAGTTAATTCATGCAATGCACTCAGCACAGAGCAAGCTCTTAATAAAGGCTACCTACCTTGATCATTATCATCATCATTAGTGTGATCTATGTTGGCCATTTGAACTGACCTTGCAGAATAAATGCTTAGGTTACAATGCTACATTTTTTTGTGTCTAACCACAGTTATTGAAAATCCAATAATATATAAGTATGTGGACCAAAATGGAAACAACTCAATGTAATTTCACTTGCTGAAAATTCAGAATATTTAGAGAAAACAAGAAACCTAGACCCCATAAGCTTCCCCTGCCCTCTCCCCCAAAAATCCAGAAGGGAGAAGACTGCAATTGTCCAGTTCCATTTTTATTTAATTAATTAATTAGTTTATTTTTTTACTTGAGACAGAGTCTCCCTCTTTCACCCAGGCTGGAGTAAAATGGCATGATCTTGGTTCACTACAACCTTTGCCTCTGCATGTGATTCTCATGCCTCAGCCTCCCGAGTAGCTGGGATTACAGGTATGAGCCAACACATCCAGCTAACTTTTTATAATTTTAGTAGAGATGGGGTTTCACCATGTTGGCCAGGCTGGTTTCAAACTCCTGGCCTCAAGTGATCCACCTGCCTTGGCCTCTCGAAGTGCTGGGATGTTATAGGCGTGAGCCACCACACTTGGCCTTCCTTTTTAATATATTGCTTTTGTTGATTACTGCTTTTTTGGGTACCCTCTTAAATTTTGGACCCTGGGCCAGTGACTCACTCATCCCAAACTAGACCTAGCTCTGGGTGGGAGGTAAGTCCTCCTCTTTCTTCAGAGTGTGCTTCTGTCACTGTAATGTACAAGTCACTTGGGGACCTTATTAAAATGCAGACTCTGCTCCAGCAGGTCTGGGAAAAGGGATGAGGTCCAGGTCCTGCCTAACAAGTGCCCAGGTGATGGTGAGGCCACCACTGGTCCACAGACAGCATCAGGAGAAGCAAGGCCTTGCAGAAAGTAGATGCTTGGAGAATGGAGAGGGGAAGCAAACACCTGAGTTTCATTTGGTTGTCTTTTTGATGTCATGGTTGTTTTCAGATAACTTGGAAACTCTTTCATTATTCATGGCTGTTGCTAAAGCTGTGGCTAAGTCCTTGGACCCAGAGGCGGGGAACATTTGTTGTTTTGTTTTGTTCTAAATCAAACAAATAGAATAAAGCAAATACCTATTGACTCCTGGTGACTGCCCTTTGGGGAGTTCATTTAACTTTCATTCCCTTATTCTTTTGAATGGCTACAGAAGCAGGGATAGGAATGCCACAGAGAACAGAGCTGTGCAAAACACCCAGACTCCAAAGGGGACACATTGCTGCTAAAAGTAATAAAACAGTGCCAGCTCGATATACCCAAATTAACTGTCTGTCACTGCCCTTCAGTAAAACTGCAGGAAATAGCAAGAGTTCAGAGTTTTGGATTTAAAAAACTCAGGGTTCACACCCAGCCTCCATCATTTGGTAGCTGTGCAACCCCCCGGCTTAACTTCTCTGAACCTCAGTTTCTCTACATAGAATGTGATCCTAGTAGTGCCTGCCTTATAGGATTGTTGCTATAAGATAATTCATATATATATACACACACACAATATGTGAACAATGGCATGACTTTTTCCAAAGTCCCAAGAAAGCACCCAAGAATTGGAACATTTATGACAAGTTCCTATGGATGTACCCTTGTGTGTAATTTTCCCTATTTCCAAGCCCATATCTTCCCCCAGAATATGTGTGTGTGCACAGAGAGAGACAAACAGACAGACAGAGATAGAGAAGAGGAGGGGAGAGAGAAGAATAATAAATAAAAACAACTTAACTGAAAGAAAAAGAAAGAGTTTGAGTAGTGATAAAGACCCACATTCAAAATAGTATTTTCCTCTTTAACTTGTTCCTAATTATTATACAGAACAATGCAAACATTGTAAAAGAAATATTAAATCATCTTACATCCTTAGGTGGAAGAAATGGTTAATATTCTCTATTAAAGTGTATATACTTGGAAATTACCAAACACACAGGCACACACATGCGCACATACACACACACACTAGTTCCTCCTGCTGTCTCAAATCTTACACTCTCTAGAACATGGCACTGTGTCCTACACATAGTACACCCTGGCAAACATAAGCAGGCTGAATTCATGGAAGGAAAGGCTTGCATGGCTGGTCGTCTGCTCATCAGTCCACCATTTGTGGGTGTGCACTGCCAGCCTGGTCTGTCAGCTAGACTTGGATAGGGAAAAATGGGGGGAAAGTAGGCCTGAAAGGAATGGCTCTCAGTCATGCCTTTAATTGTCACCATGCTGGGGGACAGAATGTCAGACAAGCTTCTTGTCTCTGAAAGAAACAGAGCCACTCAGGCAGAGGATTAGAGGACTCTGCATGTGGCAGTGGCCTTTCAGACAACACTGTCCTAAAGCCCGTTTCCCTGTCTCCAAGTGGGATGAGGGGGCTCTCTTCATCAAATCCTACTTACGGGACCATCTGTGTCCCTGACCATGTAAATAGGCCTCTTGACTCTCACTCAAGCATTGTTGCAAATTGTCCTCTTCTCCACACTAATGCTCAAGGCTGTGGGACACTGCAAAGAACCCTTCTTCCATTAGGGATTTCTCTGTCTAAGCAGGATTTATGATGATCCTTTGGCAAGGATCTTTGAATCACTGGCATTCACAGGACAGCCAAAGCATATTTCAGGAGACTCTATTGCTAACAAGCAATACAGCCCTGAAGATTTATCTCCTCTGATGAAGCAGGCAAATCCTAATGCTCCCAGGATGCCATCCCTAGACAATGTGCTATTGCACAGCCAGCGTAGACAATGTGGTATTGGATACACCAACTCTCTCCCAAATAGCTGTGTGACCTCAGGGAAGTAGTTAAACCTCTCTTACCAAGTTATCTCATCCATAACATATAAATGATTGTGTTTTCTTCTTAGGGCTGTCATCAAGATTAAGATGTTGAATGGAATCAAATGCCTGATTTATCTTACACCTGATTTATGGGCAGAGTCTAATACACAGTACCTATTCTTTTTGAAAAAGGATGTGAGCATGTGTAGGAAGAAGAAGGCAGCACTCACTGACTACCTAGAGCTCTGCCTGTGGGAGGGGCTGTGAGCTGCAGTCCCCGTAGAATGAGATGAGTGCACCTGTGCCTTGAGAGTTTGCCAACAAGCCAGCTCCCTTGAGGTGCAGTAATTGTGTTTCAGCAAGAGGATCCCAAATCCTGCCTCACCACTCCGGCACTTGTTAAACTCAAATTTCATTTGTATCTATTCTAGTCAATTTTCTTTGATTTATCTCCCACAAACTCCTCTTCCAATTCCTGCATCTAAGCTTGAAAGGCATAACTGCCTTTGCTTCTTTGGTTGTTCTTTTCTTTTACAGGGTGATGCCGACAAACCAAAAAAACAAAAACAAAAACAAAAACAAAAAACCTCCCTCCCTCAGGCTCACTGAGCTGCTCCTCCACCAGCAGCATCCATCAATAACCTCATAGATGTCTCATGGCCTGAAGAAAAGGAGACTGGGTGGAGAAAAAGGTGGAAACAAGTGTGGGCTCCCTTTGATCCAGCCCATCCTGGCAGCACATGGTATTTTTTTCAATACTTTAAGTCCTGGGATACACGTGCAGAACATGCAGGTTTCTTACATAGGTATACACGTGCCATGGTGGTTTGCTGCACCCATCAACCTGTCATCTACACTAGGTATTTCGCCTAATCCTATCCCTCCCCTAGCCCCCCACCCCCCGACAAGCCCCAGTGTGTGATGTTCCCCTCCCTGTGTCCATATGTTCTCATTGTTAAACTCCCACTTATGAGTGAGAACATACGGTGCTTGGTTTTCTGTTCCTGTGTTAATTTGCTGAGAATGATGGTTTCCAGCTTAAACCATGTCCCTGCAAGAGACAAGAACTCATCCTTTTTTATGGCTGCCTAGTATTCCATGGTGTATATGTGCCACATTTTCTTAGCACATGGTATTTCTAATCCGAGACACCGAAGCAGGGAGCTTTGATCAACCCCATTTTTCTCAGGGGCAACTGAGGCCCAAGAGACTTAGGTAACTTCCTAAAACCCATTGAGGGCATATCAGGAGTATAAAAGACACCCAGAATGGCCTGACTGGGCATCCCATACACTTTCCACTGCATCTTGTTATTTCCAAGAGAGAAAAAGAAAAATCCTATTAGCTTTCAGTGCTTTTGCAAAGGTCACAAAATAGTAAAGATACCTGCATGTCTAACTTCTGGCTCTGCCATGCTAACATATGAACACCAGAAAATCACTTGATCTCTCTAGATGTCAGTTTCCTTATTGGAGGAAAAAAAAGTGAGTATAAGCATCTTTACTGATGATTACATGTGGATAAAATGAGATAATAGTGCTCTGAGCCTGGCATGAGGTAGAAGCTCCTCAATTGTGTGTAGCTTCTTTTCACAGCTGCGTAAAAACAAATCTTATTGTGAGACACATGTGCAGAAGAGTGAAATTGTGATGTAAAGAGAATAACTAATAACCATGGAGATGAGTGTATTGCCTAGTCTAACTATAAATGTGAACTCAAATGCAAAAATGCAATGGAAACTGAGAAAAGAGAAAGAAGTTAACAAGTGCTGCATCACATCTCACCTGCACAATATCTTACCATGTACCCTGTAGTCAAGACAGTGAAAAGATGAACTATAGGTACCTTATAAGGAAACATACAGGTTTTACAATCAACACAATATGCTTCACAAGGGAAATCCTTTTAAATTAAATATTACGTCATTACGCAGCTATAGGACTCAGAAGTATCAAGTTTCACAAATATTTGGTGGAACATATAAAACAAATTAAACATCCTATATTTTGCTATTCTGTTCATCTCTAAGACTTTGCTGCAGCTTACTTTTTCACATCAAAGATAAAGAAGACTCTTCTCAAATATTTTCCCTTCAATTAATGTTAGCCAGAAATGCATTTGTAGGCTCTCTGTGTCTTAACACCAGAATTGACTTCATTCACAGAAGTGGAAATACAGAGACGGGTAAGTTTTCTGAAGTAGAGGGTAGCAATTAGGTTGATCCTCTGATTTGTGAACTATGATCACTTGCTCTAGCAATCCTTACCCTCCCCTACTATGCCAAGGTACATTGCCACTGAAAGCAAATAATCGCATCCTCTGTTAATTTTGCAGGATATTTCTTTCATATATTTTGACAATATGGAAAAGTCAAAGAAACCTCCCTGACACTGAAAGTGAAATTTCAAGAGCTCAATCTGTGATGGTGTCTGGCTATAAGACTTTACAGTATTTTGCCCTCACGCTGCTATTTCCATGTGTAGAAAAACAGTTTACAAATCCCTGCTAGTGAATGAATGTGAGTGTGTTTACCGAGCTCAAACGTTCTGCCTTTTGCTTGAGACATGTGATACATTCGTGCTTCTGGTGGCATCAGGCATATGTGATATCCCCGTAGTGACAGGAAAGCTTTAGAATTAGCATCAGCGAAGACACTACTTCGTATTATATCATTCCCCCAATAGCAGTATAGAGAGCCCCCAAAGAAAACCATTGTTTCCCCCATTAAATACATCATTGAATACAATCCCCATCACACTGCAAGAAGCTGATATTTGCCAGAACTTTCCAGAAACTTCATAGGACAGTGTAACCCATCTCAAAATATAAAGAATTCTAGTCTAATAGACATTTTTTTGATCAATAAGTCATCAAGCATTTATCAGGTGCTGTTTTCTGCTGAATGAGGCACTAGAAATCACAAGGCAGGTAAGCAATAGAGATTCCTGTGGGAGGCTCCTGGAATCGGGAACCTAGACAGACTCCAGATCCTCATTTCACAGGGGAGAAAACTGAGGGAACCATGTGCAACTAATGCCATTTGGGGTATTTGGCAGAATGTCAACCAGAACCTGGGGCTGCTGACTGCCTGGCTGTAAGCAATGTATAATCCAGCTGTTTTTGTCTCCAAGTTTAAAAATAATTTAAAAATAAACACCAATTTGGATGTGAAAAGTGAAATTACCCCGGCCTAATATGCCTGTGTTGATTCCGAAGCTAAAAGTGGCCTGAGTCATTAGCAAGGTCCACTTCATGAATTTTGACAAAGCCTTTCATATGCAAGGCATTGCAAACCCATTCAGGAAGAAACTATTGATGAGCATGTCCTATGAACCAGGTGTGAGGGACACAATGGCATATACAACAGAGCTCCTCTCTGCACAAAGTTTGCAATCTAAGTAGTGACTACTAGTAGACAGATGGGACGGAACACTTGCTACAGGGCGGCTGACCAAGAAAACCTCTATGACAGATCTATTTAAGGGCAGAAAGCCTTGAAGCACAAAAAGGAGTTGAGGGGAAATATTATTTTTAAATGCATTTTTTTCTATCATGGTTTGCTTTGCATTTTATTATGAAAAAAATTAATGTTTTTTCTCAAGATGTTTTCTAAAAAGTATTTGTACACACATTTAAATGTATGCTTTTACTTTGATTCTTGTGACAAAATTTACCTTACACTATTGTGTATGCATGTGCGTGTGTATGTGTGTGTGTGTGTTTGTGTGTGTGCGTGTTCCAATCAGCATTCTGCTGTGTCTCCAATTCTCTAGGATTAGGTTTTAATGCTTAAACTCTTCAGCATGGCCTGAGAATGAAAAGCTTCTCATAGCCTTGTTCCTCTCTACCTTTCTTGATTCAGTTGACCCCTCTGGACTGCCTGCAGAGTGTGTGCCCCAGTCACACCAGATCAATTTCACTCCTTGAACATGCCAGGTATGTTTATGCTTCTGTCATTCGCATAACCTATGCTCTTGAAACCACCTTGCTTTCTTGTCTAACCGGGCAAATTATGCCTTCATCCTTAAAAATTCATCTCTTTTCTCTAGCTTTCTCTGACTGTTTCATCAAGTGAAATCAACTGATCCATCTCCTGGAAACATCTCTTTTCTTTGCACAGCTCTCAGCTCAAATTGCATTATAATTATCCATATAATTTTTAAGTTTTACTTCTTGATATTTTTCTAATTATCAGATAATGCAGACTTAGTGTCAAAATTTTAGAAAATAAAATGTATAAATGAGAAAATAAACATTGGCTTACACTATTTTTTTTCTATTTTTAAATGCAATTGAGATTTTTCTTCTTCTGTCGTACCTGACTTAATATAAACCCTGAATATTTTCATGCATTTCTACTGAGAAGTCTCTGGGAGCTCTGCCTCTAACAGCTGCATAATTGCTTGTCCGATGTACAGTAAACTATACAACCATTCAACCCCTACTACTGGGCTACTCGGTATTTTAACATTTTCCTATTATAAGTACAAATGCAAAAAAAAAAAAAACCTGTGCATTAATGTCTGTCTTCATTCTTGCTTATTCCTTTAGAATGGGTGCTTAGAAGTGAAATCACTGGGTCAAAAGAGGTAAGACTTTTAAACATCTATGTACATATTTCAGATTATTTTCCAGAAGAGATGTTTTAATTAACAAACACACCAGTATGATTTTTTAAATGCTCATTATAATCCCCCATCCCATCACAATAACAATAACAAAATTTGTAAAGGGATAAATGCATTGCTTGAATATCTTTCTTTGATTAGTAACAAGTTGAATTCTTCATGTGAGCACGTGTACATGTATGTGTATGTGGGTATAGTCATGCATACAATTTTGGTTAATTGTATTGTTAGCTGCTTCCCCTCTTTTCTATGGGAGCAATGGTATTTCTAATTCATTTGCAAGAGCTCTGTATTAAAATATTAAAATACCTCTTCATTTGTTTTGAGTTTTCACAGATTTGTTCTTTAGTCATCATTTTGCTCATGATATTTTTGAGTTGGTAATTTGTCCATTCTTTTCCCTGCTGTTATTTCCCCTTATGGTTGTTTCTTCACATGCTTAGATTATTGATGCATCAAGATCTTCATTAAGAAAGGTTTCTTTCTTTATTCATCTTTGTATCTCTAGCATATTGATGCAATGGTAGTGCCCGAAATATCATCATCATTCAATAAATCCTTGCCAAATTGTATTGTATTTTATTGTATCATACCAGTAAAAGCTATCTCTCAAATCATTTGCTTTCATATATCAAAATTCACATTTTAATAATTTATATATGTTGAATATACAATAATCGTTAATACTATATGCATATGTCTGTCTAAATTCTATACCTCAATATTTCTCTTAAATACCTAAATTGATCTATCAAATTACATGTTCTGAATATCAGTATGAAATAGATAAACATATTCCACAGATAAGCCATTCAGTGCAATGGCCATCAAACAATGACCTGCACAGGGAAGGTAAGGAGCATCTACAGGGCTGGGCGCTGGGGCTCACGCCTGTAATCCCAGCAATTTGGAAGGCCAAGGCGGGCAGATCACGAGGTCAGGAGATCGAGACCATCCTGGCTAACATGGTGAAACTCCCTCTCTACCAAAAATACAAAAAAATTAGCCGGGCATGGTGGCGGGCGCCTGTAGTCCCAGCTACGCGGGAGGCTGAGGCAGGAGAATGGCGTGAACCCGGGAGGCGGAGCTTGCAGTGAGCCGAGATCGGGCCACTGCACTCCAGCCTGGGTGACTGAACGAGACTCTGTCTCAAAAAAAAAAAAAAAAAGCATCTACCATGTAATACAGCCCTATCAAAATGGGGGTCTACTTTGGTTGTCTATCAAAGTATAATGTTATCTGTCAGGATCAATGGCTTGAACACCCCCAAGAGAACCTGAGTTTTGTTTTTGTTTTGTTTTATCTTCCAAACCATAAAGTGATCACATTACTCAAAAACTTTCATTCTGAATACATTCTAAAATAAAATGTATTAATTTCAAACAGCTATATTGTACCTATAACTGTCCTGAATTAATTTTTGTTGGAAACATAGATGTGATTTGTAGTGTGAACACAGAATGAATTCAAGAAAATGTTATGTGAAGTCACATCACATGTCCTTGGGGGAAGGGAAGCAGGGGGAGAAAAGGTGCTGAGGACTGAGTCCTCCAGACCCTGCACAGGGCCACTGCTTCCCCAGTGCTATGGCTTCCCTTTCCAGGAGCTGCCTAACAGGCTCTCATCTTCCCATCTGAATGAATTCCTTCCCAGAGGCCATGGACAGGAGATTCCCAAACCCTGGAGTAAACCACAAAACTGCTTGCCCACCTACATTCTTTTCCAGAAAAGTCTGGCTCCCTGGGTTGAGGCAGTTTAAATTCCTGCCAGTAGCACCCTGACATCTAGCCAGGTCAGGGCTCAGCTGAGCTTGGTCTGCCCAGGTGTCAAATAGAAAGCTCACACTTTAACAGGTAATAGCAGAGGACAGATGAAAAGGCTGGGATCCAGGAAACTGTGCTCACCATTGGACTGGGTGGCCCAGTGAGCCCCTCACCATAGGAAGGTGAACAGCTGGTTAGAAACAAGTGCCAGGTAGTGTCTGAGCATATGTGAGGCTTATACAAACCACACCGCCAACCAGTAGCAGAAGTCAGACTGGGCACCTGGTATTCCTCTTCCCTCAGAAGTCCACACTGAAGTCAGGGCTCTCTCTGACTGGTCATTGTAGCCTCAACCCACGTGTAAAATGTAAGCTCCAGATTCAACTGACTTCCCAGAAAAAAAGAACTGTCTGGGAGGAAATAATTATTTGCTAATAAACTCCTAGTATCATCTTCTTCTATTAATTTAGTCATTCATTCATTTATTCAAGGTGTAATACCCAATTAAAGGCAGGATATATAGTGAATTTTGCCATCAGTAAGGTCTGAGTTTAAGTGCAGAGTCAACTCACATCAGCTTGGAAATTTAGGAAAAGATATTTAACTTCGGTAAGCCTCATTTTCTTTACCTATTTTGATGTTGCTTTTAACAGCCCAAACCATTACCTTCCTGGTAGGACCATTACCTGTTTGAAAGGCATCATTTGCCTATGACATTGATGCTTTACCTGTAATAGGCTGTGGGCACTGCAGGGGGATCACACGAGAAGGCACACAAGGGTTTTATGTAGTAGGGCTTGGCACATGGTGAGTGGGTAAATAGAAGCTACTATTACAATAGGAAAGAATACCTTACGTGTATATTGAGTAGGAATCCCATGAACACTGTTTCCAAATGACTTGACCCTTAAAAGTAACTGAGAGAAATGACTTTTTTTCTATTTTGACAATGAACACACTGAAACACAGAAAGTTTGAGTGCCTCACTTGAATTAGCCACCAGCTCCTTTTCAGATTTGGAATTTGGATCCACGTTTGTCTCCCTGCAAAGCCTGCACTCTTCCCCAGGTATCAGGCTGCCTGGTTCCAATCTATGCAGTGGGGATGCAAAGAAGAGTGAGACAGCCTTGCTTTACTCACTGACTAATGGGAAAGAAGGACGTGAGAGCACATTATTATGCCTGACATGGTAAGTGGCATTGAGCCAGGACAGCATAGGAGTGATTGACTCCAGGCAGAAATGGGCCAGGAGGGCCACACTGGTCCTGTCTCATTTGATAAGCTGCTTCTTCAAAGCTGAGAAGGGTGTGTCCAAATAGCAAAAATGGGGAAGACTGGCTACTAGGTAAAAGACAGCCTGGAAAAACAATGGGCCAACTTACATGGGGCCTTTCCCATTCTAGCCATCCTGGCAAACAAATCATTGCTGAGGCAAGACATATCTTGACACAAATATTCTGACAAAGCAGTGACCAAGGGATGAGAGAATTGGAATGTCAGCATTTTGCAACTCCCTTATAAAGGATCTAATCATCAGACATCAGGGGTGGCTGACATCACAAGAGAAATTACCAACATTATGTGCCTCCAGAGGGAAGTCCCCATGCCACCTAGGAAGTAGTCTTAGCAATAAATAAAATAAATTTAAAAATTGAATCTGAATCAGACTAAGACTCATCCAAGATGCAATTTTCAGAAAATTAACAAGACAGAGGGAAAACACAGCAGAGCTCTTCAATCAGAGCAATTTTATTTTCCAGGAGACATTTGGTAAGTTCTGGAGAGGATTTCCCTTGTCACGACTGAAGAGGAGGTGCTACTGGCATCTGATGAGTAGATACCAGGGATGCTCCTAAACATCCTACAATGTACACGACAGTCCCCCACAGTCAAGAATTGTCCTGTTCAAAATGCCAATAAGTGCTGAAGTTGAGAAACCTTGTATTATGAAATAAATTATTTCATTTATTCAATGAAATAGGATGATAGGATAATTTACAGATGAAAATAAACGTAAAAGGTCTAAGGCCACGTGTGATGGCTCACATCTCTAATCCCTGCACTTTGGGAGGCCACGGTGGGAGGATTGCTTGAGCCCAGGAGTTGGAGACCTGCCTGGGCAAACATTAGTTGCACATGGGGGTACATGCCTGTAGTCCTAGCTACTTGGGAGGCTGAGGTGGGAGGACTGCTTGAGCCCAGGAGGTGGAGGTTGCAGTGAGCCAAAATTGAACCATTGCACTTCAGAAGCCTGGGTGACAGAGCAAGATTCTGTCAAAAAGAAAAAGAAAAAGAAGAAGAAGCCTATCTAAAGATTAAAAAAAAATGTTTAAATGGCAAAATTAAGCTATAGTGTTTCAGAATGCACACACACATTAACAACAAGGAGGGAATCATATAAGTGAGAATAGTCGTCATTTTTGTGCAGAGTGATGGCTTTGGGGAAGCATCCTGAGTATCTGACGAGGTTTAAGATCCTCACAGAGGTGGTTTAAAAGTATTTACCTTGCAATAATGCATTCAGCTACACAAGTGCTTTACATGTGTTTTTGTATAATATCTTACAAGAACATAGTTTAAAATATTAATCACAAAATAAAAAGCCTTCTCTTCCCAATTTGGCTAGGAGTTAATTAGCTTCTAGCTACTGAATTCACAAAAATATATTGCTGATTCAACCTAATGCATAATTTCTTTTACTGTCCTATCCACAGGTGCTTAAAAATTATGATTATTTTTATTTTTTGAGATGGAGCTTCACTCTCATTGTCCAGGCTGGAGTTCAGTGGCACTACCTCAACTCACAGCAACCTCCACCTCCCAGGTTCAAGCAATTCTCCTGTCTCAGCCTCCCGAGTAGTTGGGATTACAGGCACCTGCCACCATGCCTGGCTAATTTTTTGTAATTTTAGTAGAGACAGGGTTTCACCACATTGGGCAGCGTGGTCTCGAACTCCTGACCTCAGGTTATCCATCCGCCTCGGCCTCCCAAAGTGCTGGGATTACAGGCATGAGCCACCACACCTGGCCTTAAAAAATTATTTCTAACCATTCTTGCCCCTGCTGCTTATTGCTAGAGATTACCAGCCAAAGCTGCATAGTGGTTAAAGCATGATAGAAAAGTAATTAAGAACAGGATCCCTGAGTCAGATAACCTGGGTTGCTGCCCCATTCCACCTTAGTCATCTCCACAAGCTTGAGGTTCCTCCTCTGTAAAATGACATCAGTAATTATACCTACCTCGTGGAATCACTGGGAATATTAGCCAAATAATGTATATAACTGAACTCTGAAAAGCACCCCTTTTGTAAAACACAGCTATTGATTAATTATTCACACATCTATTCCTCAAGTACTTAACACGTGTCAAAATTAGTCCTAGAGGCAGGAGATGTAGGTAGATTGATTGGTCTGAATTCTTTCATCTTTCATAGGATAGACTGTAGATTCTATTGCTACAGAGATCCACTCGGTTCTGCTTTTTACTGAAGCTCACTACTTTTAGACACTATAATTACTCAAAATTTAAAATGAGGGAACTAAGAGTGAGGAAACTGCAATTCATATGTGTGGTTACGTGCCTTATAACATTCTTTGGGCATTTTCTTATTACCAGATCCTCAGCAAAGCACTTTCATTCATTGCCTCATGCAATGCTCAAAATTGCCATGTGAAAGGAAGGTACTATCCTTATACTCTTTTTCAGGTATGAAAAGTAATTCTCCCAGATATTCTTTAGCTTTTCAAAAAGCTTCACAGCTGGTAAATGTCAAAACCAAGATTCAACTCAACTAGCTTTAACTTAGAAGTCTGTTATCTAATTTAAAACTTGATGGGTCTTGTGGTGCTATTTTGATGCTGCTTTTAAGAGTCCAGACCATTACCTTCCTGGTAGAACCATTCCCTGTTTCAAAGGCATCATTTGCCAATGGCATTGATTCAAAAATATCTTCTGGAGCTTTCAGTCCTTGATATTCTCTAAAAGAAATTGGGATCTGAAGCTAACAACTGTCTAGCCCTTTACAGAAATTGGTAACGTAGATAATTTAAATACATAGTGGCATGCAGCTAGTACCAGGATGCTGTAAAACCATACACTAGGTATACCAATGGTTCTCAAACTTTATAGATCATCAGAGTCACTTGCACGGCTCTTTAAAGCCACCTCAAGGGTTCCTGATTCAGAAAGTGTGAGGGTGAGCTCAAGAAAATGCATTCTTAACATATCCTCAGATGATACTGAAACTGCTGGCCCAGAAAGCACACTGTGAAAGCTACATCTAGATCCGCCTCTGTTGTCTCTGTGATGTTAGAATGTTTATTCACCCTTTGTGATTATGAAGGCACCTTCCTGTAAAGAAAGCTGTTATGATGTACAGAATGAGATAGCATGGGTGAAAGCTCTCCGAAAACAGAAAATAGTTAATCTGGCACTTCTCAAGCTTTAGGTAGCTTCACAGTCACCTGGAAGCTGGTTACAAATGCAGCGTCTCAGAGTTCACCCCCAGTTACAGAAGGCCAGGGTTAGGGCTCTAGAAACTTCCTTTGAAACGAGTTTCCCAGGTAATGTTGAAGCAGATGATCTGCAGACTACCTTTTATAAAACTCTCATAAAACAAACACAAGTCCCAGAGCACAAAAGGCAATAGGTCCTACAGCCCTCACTCTGAAGGCCAGGGTATGGTATAGAGATTGGACATTATACAAATTATAGACTCTTAGATATTCCAGAACAGACAGTAAAAGAAAGTGTATTTTAAAATTGCTTTCATGGAAACATCTACGTCAAATATTCGACTTTAGGGCCTTCAGAGTGAATTTTAAATGAGAAGAAAAGTGATATCATTTGAGATGAAAGAAAGCCCTAGGCCAGCATGCCCTAGAATCTTTTGATACAGAGCAGACTTCGGAGTTAGGTGTGAATTGGAAATGTCCCAGATGATAGGTAGTAGGTAATCAGAACTATTACATTTTGCACCTGACACAGGTATTGCTTCCTCCAACAATGACAGCAGCAGAGCCTGAGCAATTTCAACATCTTAATCCCTTTCCCTTTCTTTCTGAATCCAGGGAATTTAGTCTAATTCTTCATGCCTTCCCTTAGGAATTATGAAGTGTCAGCTACCACAGAGAATATGCAAGTGGCTCAGTATAAGAAATGTTTGCTGCAATTCAGGGGACTATGTAATTGAGTTAACTTGTAGGAAACATGTTTACTTCCTGGACTAGAACTGAGAGTCTGACCATGGGAAGGTATCAAGCAATAAGTACTAGGTGGACTCTAATGCAAATCATACATCACATGCTGCTGCAGGGAGCAAATTCCTTGCTCTTAATATTTTTATCAGAGTTGATAAAAATAATGGAAATTAAAAACCCTACTGTTGGATAAATGTGGAGAAGGAGATTTATGTAAATCAACTGCATTAGGTAAATTGTTTGCAACACAAGCTGCTCAGAATGATATTCTCGGGGCTGATCGAGAATTGCTATGACTGAGAAAATGAAATGTTAATGAATTTTATCAATGCTATTAACTTGGGTCCTCTTGACCAGGTAAGGGCTATTATCAAACTGTAGTGGAATCTACAAAAAAGTGGGCCACATGTGTGGGCATCCTGTGACACAGGCACATTTAATACAACATGGCCGTATAGCAGGACTCCTCACTTTGACCTTTATTGTTGTCTTTTTCCTTCTTTTTAACAGTAATTAATCATCATGGAAGAATATCGTGGAAATGTAGAGGTGCAAAATAAATTAAATAAAGTTGGCAAAATAAATATACAAATGACTGGTGATATGATCTGAATGTTGATATCTCCTCAAAATTTATTTATGTTGAAACCTAGTACCCAATATGATGGTATTAGAGATGGAGTTTTAGGGAAGTGGTTAAGTCATGAGGGCTCCAAGCTCGGGAATGGCATCAGCGTCCTTACAAACGAAGCTTCAGGGAGCCCCCTTGCCCCTTCAGCCACATGAAGACACAGAAGGTGCCGTCTATTTGGAACGGGCCCTCACCAGACACCGAATCAGCTGGCACCTTGATCTTGAAGTTCCTATCCTCCAGAACTGTCAATAATACATTTTCTGTTGTTTATAAATTTCCCACTCTAAGGTATTTTTTAATAGCAGTCCAAAGGAAATAAGACAACTGAATAATGAATGGATAATCCTGTCACCCAGTGATAACTCATTTTAGTTGTCATGCTAAAATGCTCACTACCTTCTAATAATTTTAACCATGCTTATTGTTTTTAAAATATAGATTGTGATTTACATACAATTTTCATCATGCATCTGTGATAAATACTATACCACAAGTAATTCTCTACATTATTAAAAATATATTCATTATTAAAAACATCTTAAACTTTTCAGTTGTATGAATGAACTGTTACTATTCAAAGAATTCCTCTAAGGGGTAATCATTTAGCACGTTTTCACTTTTGCCTCCTATAAATAAAAATTTGTTGAGCATTTTTTATCAGCTATATTAAGGTAAAATTTACGTACTGTAGAAATCACCTGGATGAACACATTTTTATGAGCTTCTATCTTGCGTGTTTCAGTGTTTCCTAAGGCTAGATATCACAAATTAACCAAGTAAGACAAAGGGCCTGATACATGTTTAGGTTCAAGACAAACTTTGCCAAATGCCTTCTACTATTGATTTATACTTTCGTCAGCAGAGTATTAGAGTGCTCATCTCATTCCACCCAGGTCAGAATGAATAGTATTATTATTCAAGATGCTTTCACTTTTAGGGAAAAAGTCAAGACATCAACATATGTGTTCAAAGAAATGGAAAGTGCATTTGGGAATTTTGTTTTTCACTTTCGATGCACTTTGAGTGTTTTTGTCATTTTCTTCCTTCTTGTTTAGTTGAGGTCATCTTCTTGTCAGCTTCTTGTTTAGTTGGGGTAATATGCTGTTCAAATATATTGCCCTTATTGAACCTGTTATAATAACCAAGGTAGAAAGTGGCAATATGAGTAACTTTCCTGCAACTGAAACAGCAGCCTCACCTAAACCAAGAAACCTCCAACTCTGGGTTCCTAGTCACGAACTACATTACCCTAGACAAGGATTTAAACTTCTCTGAGCATTATTTTTCTCATAGCAAAAAGGAAAAAGAAATAGAAGATGATCAAGTTCTAGGCACTTAACCAGCGATACCAAAAAATTTAATAACATTCTATATTTGAATAATAGAAAACGATTTTTAAAATATTATTCTACCCTCTAATTCAAATCGCCCTTGTGAAAACTTGCTCTTAAAACTATGAAAGAATGGTAAAATAACTAATTATGTGTGACTTACTCTCATGACTTATCCCATTCTTCTAAGTCTTGCAGTGCTTAAAAAAAAATAAAGGATGTGTAACTGCTAGTTATCAGCACTTTATATAACTTTTGATTCAAGTAACAAATAGCATTCCAGTTCTATGTATTAATTATGCCACTAAATTGCAAAGGAAAGAAGCCAATTCTAATGAATTGTAACCATAGTTTCTTTTGCGTGTTACATATTAGAAGTGGGTAGCACTTTAAATTACCATACACAAAACAGCATATAATTAATTCTGAATAAAAGATAATGTATTCTTGCTAAATACGAGTTATTTTAAAATCTCTTAATGAAGAACTAAGCATATGCTGTGTTGCACTGTGAAAATGTTTAGCATATGCCATTAGAGCCAACATTTTGCATTTATTATTGTATTTATTTTCAATAATAATATATTATTTAAGTGAACATACAAAAAATTTAATCACTAACATTCCGAATGTGGAAAATATATGCAAATTACAGGAAACTTTTTGGCTCCCCCTAAGTTGTCACTAAATAACTTTTTGATGACATGGTGTGATTGCAATTTGTAATAAAATGAGAAAAATGGAAAAGATTGTTACTTTTAAGTGGCAGAACATATGCACAATGCATTTTAAAATTCAGATACGGAAATAAACATTTCTATTCTGAAAACTGACATGTTCTAAGTTTTCGCTTAATAGAAAAGCTGAAATCTAGACCTTAAGTGTCACCTGATCTAGTATTGGGTTTATAATTTCCTTTCCAACATTGTGTTCCTGCTTTGAAAAGAATGTATACAGAAGAATGTCATCTTACAACTAACAATATTGTGTCTCTCAGTTGATTATGCTGGATACTTCATTCTGCCCCTTATCACCATTACCACAGATACCACTATCACCACCACCAACAGCAAGAAAATAACAAGTCTTGGTCCAATCCTTTCTTAAGCCTTATTCTCCCCATCTGCATCTTGATGATGCCTAATGTCCCTATAAATCAGCCATGTGACCATGGGCAAACAACTCCCCATCTCTAAGCTTTAGAACCCTCAGTTATGAAATAATTATACT
Source organism: Homo sapiens (assembly GCF_000001405.40). Lineage (NCBI taxonomy): Eukaryota > Metazoa > Chordata > Mammalia > Primates > Hominidae > Homo > Homo sapiens. The sequence continues at coordinate 65,090,575 of NC_000016.10, forward strand.
GCGGTCCTTTTTACTTACAACAGTTCTTCCCTCCCGCCAGCCATTCCTGGGGTCCAACAGAAACACACAATAAAATAAGGTTTTCCCAACTCACATATGCTTTCTATTCTTACTTCATTTAATTTGTAGTGAAAAATGTAGATAGTAGAAATGAATTACAATATCCTAAAGGCTCCAAATTAAAAACAAAATGTAAAGTTTATTTTTAAATCCAAAGTTCTGCTTTTGTTCCAAAGGTGTGATGACTAATTCATCAGAAACAGATGGAAACTAGAGGGAACCGCTATTCCATTCTTTTCCAAACACTCCAGGTTTGGAGATATTTTAAGTGTGTTTCCTACTTGAGTACTAATATATAGTAATTAAAAATTGAAAATGAATAAAATTTAAAATTTAAACTTAAATTCCAGCCCTAGGCAACTGCTGCTGGCATTTTGCCATAATTTCTCTACATGCTCTGATATACGCATAAGTGCGTAAGTATGAGTGTAGTAAGTTGAAGTCAGACTGAATACATAATTCAATGGCCTACCTTGTACCTCTTAACATTTTATCCTAAGCATATGTCCATGTAGCTACAACTCCTTTGTAATACTTCTAGTGACTGAATTTAGTCCACCATAAAAATATACCATAATTTATTTAAGAAATCTCCTTTTGTTAGATATTTAAGTTTTGATTTTTGCCATGATAGATATTTTTGTGCATCTAATTTTTAAATATTTCCACCTATTTATTTAGTATTAATTCCAGAAAAGTGAGATGATTATTGTAAAATCTCAGCAGAAGAAATATAATTACTTAAAAATAATGTTGGCGGTTTCTTTTCCATTTGAACACTCATTTTCTATGAATGCTGTTGATCGTACCTCAGCACATCAATGTCCCTGAATCCCACATATGTCTTCTGATTACTGTTGTTACAATAGAAGAAAGATTTATTTCTGTGTGTGTCTTTCCTCTATAGATTAGGCCTTTCCTTTTTTTTTTTTTTTGAGACGGAGTCTCACTCTGTGGCCCGGGCTGGAGTGCAGTGGTGCAATCTTAGCTCACTGCAAGCTCCGCCTCCTGGGTTCACGCCATTCTCCTGCCTCAGCCTCCCGAGTAGCTGAGACTACAGGCGCCCACCACCACGCCCGGCTAATTTTTTGTATTTTTAGTAGAGACAGCGTTTCACCGTGTTAACCAGGATGGTCTCGATCTCCCAACCTCGTGATCCACCCGAGATTAGGCCTTTCTTAAGAAAGATTTCTTAAATACCCTAGCCTCAGTTCCCTATTTAAAGTCAGGCACAGAGTAGGTGCTCAATAAACATTCACTCAATTGGCTAGTGTATCTTTAAAATTATTTATCAAGCTCCCTCCTTTTCCCAGGGATAATAAATAATGTCACCTCCCCAGAGAAGTCTCTCTGGATCTACCTGAACTCATTTCACCTCTCATTTTATTACACGACTCTGTTCATTTCCTTTTGGACAAATACCACAATGTGAGATTGTCCTGTCATAGATGTTGTGCCTCTTCCCATAGAATGCCATAGTCATAGATGGCAGGGTCTGTCCTCATCACTTATCTCCATCCTACAGCACAGTGATTGCTACACTGCAGCCCCTCAAAGCTGAAAAGTCTCTTAGAGGTCACCAAACTTAGCTCCATTATTTAAAAAATATATACACAGATGTCCCATGTGGAAAAATTAGTTACCCAAGTTTTAACTAAAAATGACAGAATCTAGATGAGAATTAAAAATTCTGGACTCCCAGGCCAATGTTCCTTCCACAGCTTTCCAGTGACGGCAACCTCACAGCCCAGAGCAGAAGACAGAAAGATGACCTCAATCCCATTCAGCCCAGGGAGACCAAAGTGCTTTGGGCCAAACTGATAGAAACCTCTATTCTTGGCTGTTAGAGGCACTATCTAACCCATGCCTTAGTACCACTTGCACACCAAGCTTAATAGAGATGGGGTGGCTATTACTATCTTCTGCTTATTGGTGGGGATGCCTGAGACACAAAGGAGCTGAGGAACATGGCCACAGCCAAGTGGCCAAGCCCAGACCAAGTGTCAGGTGTCCATTCACCTAGTCCCCAGATGTCTCCTGTGTCTCTTGCAACTCAGCTCAAATCACAGGTTCCTTGTCTCACCCATGAACAGATCCATCATCTGTTCTTGGGACACTGAGGTTCCTCCTCATCTTGAGGGACATTTTCCAAAAAAAAAAAAAAAGTGCCTTGACCTTTCCTTAAAGGAAAAATAAATAATAAATAAAAAGAACCCTGAAGTCAAGTCACTTATGTAGTGATGTGATGTACTTTTTAACAAATTCATTCAGCTTACAGTATTTACAAAACTACAAGTTTGTCTCCTTTTTTTTTTTTTTTTTGATGGACTCTCACTCTGTTGTCCAGGCTGGAGTGCAGTGGCGTGATCTTGGCCCACTGCAACCTCCGCCTCCCAAGTTCAAGCAATTCTCCTGCCTCAGCCTCCTGAGTAGCAGGGTTTACAGGCATGTGCCACCACACTCAGCTAATTTTATCTATTTTTAGTAGAGATGGGGTTTCACCATGTTGGCCAGGCTGGTCTTGAACTCCTGGCCTCAAGTGACCTGCCTGCCTTGGCCTCCCAGTGTTGGGTTCCTTTTTTTTTTTTTTTTTTTTTTAAGAGTTCAAGGGAGGGTACTAAAGGCAAAAATTCCACCCTGGATGCTGTACCTGTTCACTATTTCTGAGACCCAAAGACTACGAGGAGCACAGTGACCGACTCCTAGGCATGCAAACAATGAGGCTAAAAAGGAAAATTCTTTGTCTGGTGCTGCAAAAGGAGATGGGTGACAGAAGTGCCCAGAACTCAAGGCTCTCAGTGGCTCTGAGCCTAATAAACTTGGAATAGTGGGGTGGTTCTAGAACAATCAGCAGCTCTGGTACACTTCCCAAAACCCACACCTCTTAATACTATTTAATTAGGGATTATTTTTCGACATGAATTTTGAAGGAGACATGATCCTTCAAACCATAGCAGTGTGTATACAGGTACAAATATACACACGCGTACACAGCAGTTATTTTAGCAAGCATCCATTCATCCAACAAAATAATCTACTACGTGATATTCACAGTGGTAGATACTAGGTATACAGAGATAAAATCATTATAGTCCCTACCGTCAAAATGCTAATAATCTGGAGAAGGATATGATTAAATTGGTAATTTCAGTATGTTCTTATACGTACTATAATGCACACATTAAAAACACTAAAAAGGCCTCACTGAATGTCAAAATATGAAAGCAAAATTAATTAGTGAGAAGTCTATCATTTGAATATATGTTCCTTGGATGAATATTAGAACCAACTCTGCCTTAATAAGAAATTACTATTTGATAGGGTTTAACTAAAGCTCTAAGCAAGCCTCCAGGAGAAAGATGGACTCCCAATGATTGGCCTTGTGAAGAGCTCAAATACTAAGGCCCATTTACTAACCCATTTATTTAAGGCCTCTCCTCTTCTTAAGAGAAGTCGAATGGCCTTCATAAATACCAGCAATGCACTAAGATTTAAACAAAGGGAAGTTTTAAAGAAAGTGGGATGAAGGGAAAGTAAAAGTAAGGTTGTTAAGATGGAGCAAAGTACTTCATTCTAAAGCACACCATAATTTATGACACATAGTGTTCTTTCCTAGCAAGCCAAAGCAACTGGAGAAACACCAATAGTTATAAAACTAAACAAAATAAAAATGCATTCTTGTCCAGGTGAAACAAAACATTTCTTGATACTTGATGTCAGTAGAATTTCTCCCACAGAGTCTAATAAAGAAATCAATACCTTAAACAATAACCCAAAAATAAACAGAAAACTACACACACACACACATACACACACACACACACAGTAGATATGTATTTATATATAAATATGCAGGTGTATATATAGACACATCTCTAGGGTTGCTTAATTCAAACGGGGACCCAAGCATAGCAGTCCAGTTCAATAACCACAATCTCAGCCAGTGACTCTTCCATGGAATTTATAAAATCCTGTCTTAGTCTCAGCCTCTCCTTTGTACCCCTCTCTGTGCTTCTTTAACATGGTTTCATGATCTCCTCCCAGAAGGAGACACGATGATACTGACTACAAACAGAGGACTATAAAAGAATAGGATTAATGCCCTTATCAAGGGACTTAAAGGAGGAAATACACCTGTTTTCACCCCTTCCATCTCTTCTGTCAACTGAGGACACTCAGAAGGCATCATCTATGAGGAACAGGCCCTTGCTAGACACCAGACATGTGGCACCTTGATCCCGAGACTTTCCAGCTTGCAGAACTGTGAGAAAAAAAAACATTCTCTTGGTTATAAATTACCCAGGATGTGGAGTTTTATTGTAGCAGCACAAAGAAATTAAGACATACATATCTCTATACAGGTATGTATCTATATTGCCATACACTGCACAAGCATGTTTCAGGTAAATCTCACCAGAACCTGTGAAGTTGTGTGTTACTACCTCTAATGTAGGTAGGTCATAGGCATATTCACATAGCTCCTAAATAGCAGACCCAGGGTTTGGGTCCAGGTCTGCCTCACTCCTCATTCTTTCCAGTCTGCAACATTGTGTCTCTGAATGAATCACAGTGAGTTTCAAGACAGAATTACAAGCATTGGTGGCATACAAAGATATCTCTAATCTGGGAGATTAGAGCTGGATAGGTGGGTATGGCCAACCAACCACATCCTTGCACTGCTGAGAGAAACAATGTGCTTTACGTTACTTAACACTTGCGGCTTTTGATAAACCTACTCCACCATCTAAAGTAACTTCTAAATTAGGAAAAATATATAGTTTACTACATGTAATGATCAGTTTTATGTCTTAATTTGGCTAGGTTATAGTCTGCAGTTATACAATTAAGCAATAATCTAAGCAATCTAGGTGTTATTGTGAAGGTATTCAGTGGATGTAATTCAAGTCTGTAATCAGTTTACTTTAAGTGTGAAAAATCCTCCTAGATTATCTGGAAGGGCCTGATTCAACCAGTTGAAAGGCATTAAGAGCAGAACTGAGACTTCCCTGATGAAGCTACAATCCCATCTGTGGACTGCAATGTCAGCTCTCATCTGAGATGTCTAGTCTGCCCTTCCTGCCTACCTGCCCTATGGATTTTGAATTTTCCCAGCCAACCTCTGTGCTAAGGTCTTAAAATATCTCCCTCAAGTTCATATGTTGAAACATAATCTGTAATGTGATGATACTAAAAGGTTGGGCTTTTTAAAGGTGATTAGGCCAAGGGATCAATGCCCTTATAAAAGTGAATCAAAAGAGCTCCCTGCCTCTTCCACTATTTGAGAAGGCCTTGAGATGGTGCCATCTATGAGGAATATTCAGTAATTACAAATTGAAAATGAATACAATTTAAATTTTAAACTTAAATTCCAGCCATATGCAATTGCTGCTGGCATTTTGCCATAATTTCTCTACATGCTCTGATATATACATAAATGCAGAAGTATGTGTGTAGTAAGTTGAAGTCAGATTGAATACATAATTCGATGACCTATCTTGTACCTCTTAACATTTTATCGCAAGCATACGTCCATGTAGCTACAACTTCTTTGTAATACTTCCAGTGAAGTATTACAAGTATTCTTGTCTCTCCCTCATCAGACACAGAATCTGCTAGCGCCTTGATCTTGGACTTTCCAGCCTCCAGAACTGTAAACAATAAATTTCTGTTCTTTATAAATGATCCAGCCTAAGGTATTTTGTTAAAACAGGCCAAACAGACTACTATATGCTAAAATTGCTTAAGTCAATCTCTTACCATAAATCTTTCGGGGTGTGTGTGTGTGTGTGTGTGTGTGTGTGTGTGTGTGTATATATATGTTTATATATGTGTGTATATATACCTATTTGTACATATATGTTTATATATGTGTATATATGCATATTTGTACATATATGTATATATACACAAACACATGCCAAATATATATACACACATATATTATACATATTATATACATAACATATATAATACACATATATACACCAACTATATAGATTTGGCATATGTATTACATGTATATATACCAAATATATACAGTTTGATATATACAAATATATATGTATATATTTGGGGTGTGTGTGTGTGTATCCTGTTGGTTCTGTTCCCCTGGTTGAACTTCGACTAATACCTTATGTATATATTAATATTTACAAATGGAAGCTTCAGAAAATTTCTGACTCAAGGAACTGGAAGAGGCTATTCAGTCTCCTGACAATAGCCAGAAACATGTTTTAACTCCCTTGAATGACAGTTGTATTCTTACCTGTATCCAAAAGTCAAATTTCAATTCGTTAAATAACTAGAAGACTATGCTTTCAGTTTGATTTTTTTTTGACAAGTTCTTGGCAAAAGCAGTACACAGTAGTCTATTATTATGTTTTGATAAAGGCATCATTGCAGAAGACTATGTGGATAATATCTTTTAAAGCCTCTTCTCGTTATTACCTTTTATCTGGTTGTTTTACATACTGGTTGTTTTACATACACAGAGACAAACACACACAAACTCATTTCAGCTATTGGGAAAAACATATTTGTAAGTTTTCAAAATTGATAGAGAAGTGACAATAGGCAAAATAATATACGTGTTGTAAAGAACAAGGTTGGGACTGCATGGGGACCTGGATTCCCAACTGGGTCATGCTGGACAAATTAGCTTCTGTTAGCCTCGATTTCCTCAAATGCAAAATGAAGATATAGCCAATTTACTTCATAAGTCTCTATAAATGGTAATTGTCATGACTGTTCAATAATGAAACTTTCAGATTGACCCTCATTCTCTAGGGTAGGGCTTGTCAGCCTCAGCACTATTGGCACTTTGGGTCGGATGACTGTTTTTTGCAGAGGGCTGTCCTGTGCACTGCAGGACGTCTAGCGGCATCCCTGGCCCCTATCCACTTGATGCCAGCAGCATTCTCTCCCAAGCTGTGACAAAACAAATGTCTCTAGATCTTGCCAAATGTCCTCTGGGGGCAAAATCATTATTATTATCAGTAGTAGTCACTTTTTATTTTTCTAAAAATGTTAAGTATAACATACACAAAGAAGAGCACAGCTCTATGAATTAGGAAACACACCCCTGTAATCAGTCCTATAACAAAGAACAGAAAAGTAACATCTCTCCCACAACACATGGGATCCTTTCACATTCTCTACTTCCAGTCCACTACTGGGGACTTTTGATCAGAAAAGTTAAGATAAAAAATTTTTAAAAATAAGAGGAAATTCAGCAATTGAATCTGTAAATTGGTTTTCTCTGTGATTTCGCCCAATAACTAAGCTCTGCTATAATGACAATCTAACCAGAAACCACCAAAAAAGAGCAGGTGAGCCACTCAAACTCAGCCTAGGATTGCTTAGATTATTGGAGTAACACAAGGATGGCAACCCTTACTGATTCTTCCTTCCTACCAGAAGACTCACCTTGCTCAACACGATGGAGAAAATCAATTATCAAAATAGATCAACTGTGGAAGAGAAGGCCATGAAATTGGGTAGGGCAGCAGCTGGAAGAACCTACTGACCAATGGGTATCTTCAGGGAAAGAACAGGGGTAATGAGAGGTTCAATATTTACTATTGAACCTCATATTGCTACCACATCCCTCTCCCTGTTAATCCTTAAGTTCCTTGGATACTAAGGGATGACAGAACAACATGCTAGAGTTAACAGCATCAGATACTACTGTAAGATAAACCTAGTAGTCTAGTTACATGATATATTCAAATATTACTCTAGCAGCAAGGAAATATGGGAGCAGCTGGCCAGACTGACCCTCCTTCTCTGGGTATGTAATACATGTGCTGTTGGGAATTTATCAAATTACCCTCATTTGTCTATGAGATGCTGGAGAATCGCAGATTGCAACTGTGTCTTCAAGTGTGTGTGTGTGTGTGTGTGTGCGTGTGTTTTAGAGACAGGGTCTCACTATGTTGCCCAAGCTGATCTCAAACTCCTGGGCTCAAGCAATCCTTCCACCTTGGCCTCACAAGTTGGCTGGATTACAGGCATGAGATACCATGCCCTGCCTCTGTCTTCATTTTTAGTATCACCCGTAGCATCTCCTATTGGGTCTGGAATATCATAGGTGCTTATCAAATGCCTATTACTTAAGATAAGAAATTGTGTAATGAAGGGTGAACCTCACTAGAAATTAAAACTGCTGAAGTCCTGTTCTTGTCTCTGCCACTAGTATGCCATGTGATTTGGTGTGTGTGGGGGAGGTGGGGCGTGTAGTCTTCTAAATTTTTCTAAATATCAGCACCTAAATCTGTTTAAAAAAGGTAAGAATAAAATGACCTTTGAGGTCACTTTCAGATCTCTATTATATTTGATATATTGAGCAGAGAACCTGAAATTACAGATGTGCTTTGTAACCGTCTATTTTCTTAGTCATGCATTCATTCATAATTTCAGTCACTTACTAACCCTTTAATTCACCAATCCAATAAAACTGGGTATGATGACTTGTGAAATGGAATGCCTATCTAAGTCTTCTGGAATCCATTGTTACTGGGAACAGCACATAGACGGCTGTACGATAATAAATTTTATATTACAGGGTGCCATGATCTCCCAAGGAGAGTAGACAATACAAGTGAAAACATGGAATATTTAAAAAAACAGGGAAGGTCTAGGGAAGCCAAATATTAATTCATTCATCCACTCATCTATTCATGTCATCCAACAATTTTGAGGACCTATGTGGTACATGTTGTTTTTCCTTGTCTCAAGTGCACTGTCAATCACAAGGATAAACACAGGACCCCAGCTGTGTCCTTCAGAATATTCACAGGACATAGCAAATGGCCTCAGAGATGGACTGTAACTCAAGGAAGGTAGTCTCAGTTCTTTGCAGTTTCCTGATAGAGTGGCAGAAAGATCATTCTCTCCTGATTTTAATGATCTTAAGACACAAAAGCTATGTTCTGAGACTTCCAGTGGTTATTGTGTCTTTGTTACTGTCACCTAGGAAAAATATCTCAGCATCAATAAAATATGAGTTCAACACTTGATTAGACCCAGAAAAGAGTAGATGGAGATGTGCCCATGTAAATGGAAATGTAGAAATATAAAATTCACAAGATTATTTAAGTCCTTCATCCAGTCTTGACAGAAGCTAGACGACTCCATGAGGGCAAGTCATAACTTGTCCTCATGGCAATGACTTGCCTCCAAGCAGGGGTAATATGAGCTGCCAAGTTCATTGCCCTCATGACAATGAACTCTTCATGCAGTTCACAGTTGTGTGGAAGAGGTAGAGTAAAAGTGAGAGCTGAAGGTCAGAGTGTTCTGCACAAAGGAAGGAGGCAAAGAGGGCAGTTAGGAGATTAAGGACGCATCTCAGAAGAGAAATGATAAGGGCAGAAAACTTTGACAATGGCAAAAGAATTAGAAAAATAGACATTATGAAAGAAATATCAGAAATGAAATCAGTAGTAACTGGCAATGGACTGGGTGTGAGGTCTTAAAGATGGATCCTCCAAAGTTAATGTGTGATCATTTACCGCTGGTTGGAAAAGTGGGTGGATAGTGTTGACATCACAGAAATATAGAATATAGGGAAATTATCATATTTAAGAGTTTGCTAAGTGAAGTTTGGGATGCAGCTTGAGGATTAGTTAGTGACAGGATGTTGAATACTGCCATGAAATTTCATGGATCATCTGAGGCAACAAATGTAATAGGAGAAGAAGACTGGAAGAAAATACTAAGGAAGAAAGCAGTATTTGACTGGAAAGGCTGAGATGAGTGACCAACCAAGAAAATTGAAAAAAAAAATTCCTTTTTCAGAAAAACAAAAGTATCTTAAGAAAAACTGGCTGGACATGGTGGCTCACGCCTGTAATCCCAGCACTTTAGAAGGCCGAGGCAGGCAGATCACGAGGTCAGGAAATCGAGACCATCCTGGTTGACACGGTGAAACTCCGTCTCTACTAAAAATCCAAAAAATTAGCCGGGCGTCGTGGCGGGCGCCTGTGATCCCAGCTACTTGGGAGGCTGAGGCAGGAGAATGACGTGAACCCAGGAGGTGGAGGTTACAGTGAGCTGAGATCGCGCCACTGCACTCCAGCCCGGGTGACAGAGCGAGACTCTGTCTCAAAAAAAAAAAAAAAAGAAAGAAAGAAAAAGAAAAACCAAAAGATAGTGAATTTGAGGAAACTGGAGTAAGGGGGCAGCCAGGGGCATCCCCCACCAGAATGGCAATTCACTGGTGATATCTACAATGAGTAGACAACCACTATGTGTAATGATATCTGAAAAAACAATTCCATGCCCTCTATAGCTAACACCTCTTATCAAGGGAGCAGTTCTGATTAAAATTTAAATTTTTCATCCTAAGATAGACATTTAATTGCTTTTCTAATATTGTCAAAGGTGAAAAATCTGGTAACTTTCTTCCTTAAAGTAATTCCTCAAATATGTGTAGGCTATATTCTTCCAGGCATAGCACCTCAAAGCTTTTATCCATTACTCAGAGGAACTATGTTCTAATAACATTTCCATTCCAACCACTTACACAAACTTGTTCTCCACATTTGTTGGCCTCTCAGAACCCCAAGAGATGCATACCACTCTCCTAATCCATCATTGCTGAGACAAACCTTCCTTGCCAAGAAGACACCAACCAATCATGAGGAGAGACAGGCATGCACAAGCAGAGCACCACAGCCAAAGGCACAGGTTCTTCTCTGGGCATAGCCCTGACCTCACCTGTGATGCTAGTCAAACTCCCTTTCCTCTTTGGAGCTCTCCTTCAACATTAGGGGACCCCACTCCCAGGACAATTGTGGGGATTCCAGGTCATCAGTTTGGGAAAATATGAATTGTGATACTAATATCTTGCCCTACTTTCCTATCTCCATTTATTCATTCTTTCTTCCTCATTTTTATTTTTTCTATTTTCCTTCTTCCTCCCTTCTTCTCTTCCCTCCCTACTCACCACTTTGTAGGCCCCCCTATTATGGTAAATACCAAGACCATCACTACCATCTTCCCATGAGCAGTGCTCCTCAGCCAAGATGATGACTATCTTCCTCAAGTGTCAAGGCCACTTCCCAATACATCACATTGCCGTGTACTATTGATCACATTTATCACTACTAAAAATTATTTTTTTCACTTGTTTGCTTTCTATGGTCCACTCCCACAAACTAAATATAAGATCCATAAGAATAGATACTGTGTCTACCTTGTCAACCCTTATATCCACAGCCTAGCTGATTTTCAGTGTGAATGACTTTCGCTAAATGAATGAATGGATGGATATTCTGATAAATGGGTGGATGGGCAGATGACATATCCTTAGTCTGATGGGTTTTTTGTTGTTGTTTGTTTCAGGGACATCTTTACTCACAGTTATGATGACATATTGCATTCATACAATATAGACATGTATTCTTAAAAGTAAAATTATTCTCAGGTTGCATAGTAGAATTAAAAGTGCCAGATTCTTTGTTTTGCCCAATGATTGCAAGTTCACACCTCCAAAAAATGCCTGCAGACAACAGCTAATACGACTTTTAAGGAAACTTCTGACTCTAAGAACCAAAGATAATGTTTGAATTAAATCCACTCAAAGTCTAAGTTTTAAAAAATTCATGTTGAAAATCCATTTCTGCACTGTTTAGATTTCTGTGTAGCTATAGACCCAAAATCTTACGGCCAATTTGTCTCATTGAGTCAACAGTTGAAGAGAGTATGAGGAAATATTTCTAATAGGATCATGTCTCTTGCAACATCACCATATACCCACTCTCCTAAAAAAAAGTCACTTACCTCCCTCTTGGGAAACCTGTGGAGGAAACTCTTACTTTGGAGAATCCCAATAAATCACCCTTCCTTTACTCATGACTGTAATACATTAACTCTGGACTTGCCCATATGACCCTGGCCTGTAGCCAAAGGGATATAGACAAGCATGATGCAAACAGAACCATAAACACCCTTGCATGTTGCGATTTTTGTCCTTTGGAAACATATGCTCTTGAGATTTATCCTTTCCAAAGCCAACCACCATGCTGTAAGTCAAGTAGCCCCATGAAGGGGCCATGTGTTAGAGACACTGAAGCTTGTGTCAATGATAGCTCACCCACCCTCTGAAAGTCATGATTATCCCTGGGTACAGATAAGAAATACCCTATTCTTGGCCATCCTCTTAATATGGATCCTTCTGTTGAACCCAACTTTGGGGTGGAGACTCAGGACAGGAGCAATGGAGCAAAAAATGCAGGAAGATGGTTTAAAAGTGTGGGGACTGAGATGCAGCAAAAACACTGAAACTGAGCATTATCTGTCAAGGTATTTTGGTTCTCTACTGCTGTCTATCAATTCACCCACAACAACTGCAACCTGGAGCCAGCCCGTCTCTCTGTGCCCTCCTCTTGTCACTCTCCACCCAGTGCCTACACATGCACATTCATGCAGGTGCCTACCACATGGCCCAAGCACCATGGCACACCTCCTGGGTGCTCATATTTTTTGCGTTCCATTGAAACTCTAAACTTCACAGGAATCTGATTTCCTGGATAACCTGGGTGTTGAAAGCAGCTTGGTTTGTTGAGTTATCACATATTCTCGGTTAGCTTTGGATCTTGCAACCTGCTAGATGCTTATTTAGTATATAAATATATGTTTTAAACAATTGTGTATGAAATGAGAATAAGCATGAGACAATGTAAGAGAAAATGTTATAAATTCACTGATGCCAGGTGGTAACAGAATTGTTATATTAATGGTATTATTTTTTCATCATTGTTGTAATAATCGCCATCATTATTAAGGTGTTACAGTATTATGGAAAGATGCCTACATGAGGAAATAAAATATGTTAAATCTGAATTCAAGCTCTACATTTTACTAGCTTATATGATGGCAAGCATGTTATGTAATCCGATTCTAACTTTTTTGTCTGAAAAATAGGGATGGTAGTATAGGATTATTTTGAAGATGAATTAGATAACATGACAATATGCCCAACAGTGTCTTCCTCACCAATAGTAGTTTTTAAAAACTGTGTATAAATATATTCTTCAAAAGTTGAGACCTGCACTATTTGTAAGGTATCCACTAGCTGCATGTACCTACTGAGCACTTAAAATGTGCCTAGTCTCAACTGAGATGCATTAGTATAAAACACACTCCACATTTTAAAGACAGTATAAAAAAGATATGAAATGTCACATTAATAATGTTACATTGATTATAAACCAATAATTTATATTATGTTATAATATGTTGTATTGTGTTATAGTTTTGATATATTGGCTTAAATAAAATAAATTATTAAAATAAATATTCCCTATTTCCCTTTTACTTTTTTAATTTGACTGCTAGAACATTTTAAACTAAATATGTGAATGACGTTTGTGGTTTGTATTATATTTTTATTGGACTGCACTGGGTTAAAGAGTTATCATGAAATTACAATTATAAACATATAAAAGCTCAAAAACAAAGGATTTGGTGGAGAAAATTGAGTTCTTATTTTCAGAGGTATGCAAATATGATTCCTGCTGGGAAGGAAAGTATTATCTATGCCAATTTCCTTTAAAAGTGAAGCATGACACCTTCATAAGCAGAGGAAAGATTCTCTTCCTTATACCCAGGTGAAAGTTAGGTTTGGAAGAGCAGCAATAGATTAGTCAATTTTAGTAAAGGGAATGGAAAGAAACATATGGGTTTGGAAACACGGAACTTGGAGACAAATTCCACATTGTCCCTCACTAGCCATAGAACCCAGAGTAAGATGCATAAACTCTTTGAATCTCTTTCTCTCTATAGAGCAGAAATACTAATATACTTCTAACTTACAAGGTGATAGCTAGCATTTATTAAGTCCCATTATGCACTTGGCTTTTTGTAGGTAGGTGCCACTGTCATCCCAAGGTAGAGAGAAGGAAATTAAAGCAAAAAAACAAAAAACAGAAGCATGTAATATACACATGGACACAACAAAAGACAGGGGGCAGTGGAATCTGTTTTGGTATAAACCCCTTTGGCACTGCGCTTTTAATCACTGCTCTCTATTCAGATTAGTCTTTTATGGCTCTCCTGGGAATGGAAGGAGACAATGAATGTGAAGCATATACCAAGATCATCAAATAATGGTCCCCATTTATATTGCTGTTGTGAAGGCATAGCGAATTATGGAGAGGATGTAAGATTTAAATCACTCTGTGCCCCATTTGTTCATTCAAAAGAAAGACCCCAAAAGACAAGGAAGTACGTAAGCTGACTTTGCAAATTCTGTTGTCTTGGTAGTATTCTCAATTTCATAAGAATTAAATATTTGGGGGAAATACATTCAAAAGTTAATTTACGAAATATAAAGCCAAAAGAATTCTGGCCTCACAGATAACTTAAAAGCTTTAAAATCAGTTCCTGCATGGCCAGTAAAATAAATAAATATCTGAGGTCCTCCCAGTTCTTCCCGAAATGACTTTGAATCTCTCTGTCCACGTTTGCAGCACCAGCATCAAGTTACAATATTTTTTTTAACATAAAGCATACACTTCATAAAGATTGAACTATCTATATGAAGGCTGGGTTTTCTTTTTGTTGTTGCTGTTTGTTTATTTGTTTTTGGAAGAGGTTTTAGTGTTTGTGTTTTTGTGAGGGGCCCAGAAAGCACTGAGAATTAGGAAAAGGCTGAACCGAATATAGAGGGAGACTGGGAAATATTCCCAGCTGGGACAAACCAGCTGCTAGCTATAATCCCTGTGAGTTTCCCAGGGGGAGCACTTGGATCTAGCCTACTGGATAACCTCCATCAACACATTCCCACAACACAAGATACCTCCCAGGGCAACAGTCACATCCCTCTGACTATCCAACCTGACACCTCTGCAACAGACATGATTGTTTCTGACAAACTCATTTCTTGTTCAATTTGATATGAAAATGAAAGTTGGATTAGCACAATTTCTCACATTTGAGAGCATGTGCATGAATAGCATTTTCAATGTTGCCTTATAGTAAACCCAAATGAGCTTTGAAAGGAGATGCAACAATGCAGGTAGAGTTGATATTTTCAAGATCTCTCTGCTTTGCATCCAAATCAGCCCTGCAAGGTGAAAGCATGCTTAGTGGGCCAAGCTGACACAATCAATGTCACTCTCTTAGAAGCAGACCATCTTCAGAAAGAAATGTTAATCGAATTGTTTCCCATGCAAATGTAAAAACAGGGGAAACAATACTATAGATAATATCAATATTTTTCAACGTTAAGCAAAGACAGGCAATTCTTGAAGAGTGATGCTATTACCATGAATTTCATCAATTCAGTCTTACCCACAATGCTTTTCTTACATGCTTTGTTTTCACAACTGTTCCTTGGAGGACAGGTTTGGGGGCCTCTTTGCCAGAACTGAGAACTATGTTCTGAGTTTCCATGAGCCTACTATCAACTTGATTTTCATTGCCCAAATAAAATTTTGAACCCAGGAGCTGTGTTAGGAGAATAATACACATATTCTCTGGGTCAAGTCAGTGTGACCGAAACTTCTTCTTGGACTTTTTTAACAGAGCTCAACTGTTTTTCCCAATCCCTCCTGTAGGGAGGTAATGTTCCATTCTAATCCTCTTATTCTACCAAAGAGGAAACTTGAGTCCACACAAGAGGAGTGAGTTCCTTCTTGTTAACAGTGAGTGGGATGGGTATAGGGTTTGACCTGGTGGTCTACAGATGAAAATGTTACACAAATATAAGAGTTGATCAATACAAAACATAGAAACCTTAGTGGACTGTGTCTCTTTGAACAAAACTTTGCCATCTTGGTCTTTGCTATCACATCTATTCTGAAGACCTGCCTTAGAGTGCCAAATTTCATATCTCTTAATGTCATCCTCAAATTCGGTGTAGATTATTCTTTATCTCTTATAAATCTTGTTTCTTATTAATATGCATTAGAGAAGCTGCAATGGGACTCCCTTTTTGACATGCAACATACAAGACCTTAATGCTGCATAACAGAGAATGGATAGTACCTATTGATGGACAAAAACTGAATGTATACATCTTCTTTCAACAACCCTTCAAAACAAACTGTAAATCCTGGGTGCAAGATAAATGTTCTGACATGACATTCTTGGTAGCATCTTCCCTTCATGTATGCCAGGGCTGGACAGGAGCCAAAATCTCAGGAGAGAACATGGATCTGGGAAACACAACTTCTTTCTGCCTAACACATCTTTTTAAATATTTAAGTTTCATGAGCACATCACAGAAAACATAACACTTGGTGTCATCCTTAAATAATTCTGGGTGGGGAGAGTGCCAAGAATCCATCAATCTTGTATGCCTGAGAAAAGTCATGGGAAAAGGTTTCTGGATCTTTCAGGTCCTGAATTTAAATCATTTGCAGCTGTCTACCATGTGATCTCAGGCTCCCATTTATGGAACTGGAAAGATGAAATGAGATAACCTATGAAAGGCCCAGTCCCAGGCCGTCAGTAAGCACTTCCCGATGACCAGTGGTAAGTCTCACGGACCTACCCTTGAAAGCACCTTAAGTCTGTCTCCCTATAACAGAGCAATGAAGAACACGGGATCTCTTGGCTCAAAGCCCTGCTCATCCACTTATTAGCTGCATAATATTGGGAAAAGTTGCTGAATTATCCTAGGTCTTGATTTGCATATTTTATAAATGGATAATTATAGCTTCTACCTCATTGAGACTGTCCTGAAGATTGACTGAGATAATTCATGGGACATGCTGAACGCAGTGTGTGCATACAGTAAATGCTCAGTCCACATCAGCTATTATAACAATGCTTCCACCCTCGTGCTGGCTTCATCCTCTCTACCAGTGAGGTGACTGCCAGAGGGTACTCACAGGAGTACTCTCCCTGTGAATTTCCCTGTTTAAACTTTCTGTCTCTTTCTATCAGTTCCTTTCAATGTGGTCCAGAAATCATTTAATAAAGCATGCTTCAAATCCTGTAAAATTTCCTTGGGACCTAGGGAATAAAGTCCAAAGCTCTAAATTTGGTATTGAAAGTATCCCATAAAGGGTTTCAGAATGATGTCTCACTATCACCCTCTGCTTATAAACTCTGCTCGGGCAAAGCAAACCTGTGCATTCACATCCAGGTGTGCTTGTCTCCATGATTCCTTCTCCAGAATGCTGAGAAGTGATGGTTAGAAAGTGCCATGCCAAGTGATTTGTGGAGGAAGATTTGAGGGCCAGGCCATTTTCGAGCTGGAAAGGACCCAAAAGGCCACTTTACAGATGAGGAAACTGAGGTTAATTGGCTTTCTCAAGGCCACACAGCTATTTATCAGCAATGCCAGCATTGCAAGGGCTGATCTGCCTAGAGGAAGGGAATCACAGGGCAGCCTATTAGGGAAAATTTGTCAGCAATTGACCACAAACTTGCTGACAGGTGATCTTTCCCCAATCACAAGAAATGAGACAGAAGTTAGGCACCCAATAAGAAAAGGACACTAGGCACGTCTCTCTGTAAGTGAAAACTGTTGCTTTTCTGGCTTGCGATACAGGGCACAGGAGGAGTGGGGGTGATAGAGAGGGGGCAGCTACAACGATGCCTCAGGATCTGATCCGTTCCTCACTTCAAAGATGTGACTTCTCAGGCTGCGTTAGTCTCCTGATTAATGCTCCCAAATGCACTGCTGAGACTTGCTGAAGTTGAAGATTCCCTGCAATGATTGCAGCAGGAATGGTGATGAATAAAACACAAGAATCACCAATGCATTAGTTGGAAGGCAAGCGTCCCCAGCTCTAACTACTAAATTGCAATTTTTACTCTAAGATAATAATACTGATAGTGACACTCCATTTATAAAGTGCTTTGTAAGCTCCCCCAAATAATAACAAAAATGAAAATTGTATCTTATACTATATAGCAGTGTCTATGAAGAAGAAGGTGGAGTGAAGTTGTTCAAGATAGATCTCCCTTTACTACTGGAATATTTTGGCAAAGTATTGAGATTTAGAATTGTTTGCATAAATGAAGCACTTCACCCTGATTTTCAATTTGGCTTTGGATTTAAATGTAGTTTTGCTGCTGCTATCAAATCAATATTTAAAAAAAAAAACTTTTAAACATGTGGCTTTAATGAGTAGACAATTGAAAGTTGATTACTAGTGATATTTTACTAAGCTGCCTATATAGCCTCACCTATGTTTGGTTAGTCCTCTTTGGGTAGTGATCTGGATTTGCGTTCATAGTGACCAGGCAGGGATTACCACATAGAAATTGAAATGAGCTGGGCACAGTGGCTCAC
Organism: Homo sapiens; assembly: GCF_000001405.40. Taxonomy (NCBI): domain Eukaryota; kingdom Metazoa; phylum Chordata; class Mammalia; order Primates; family Hominidae; genus Homo; species Homo sapiens. Next base: position 65,108,885 of record NC_000016.10, read on the forward strand.
ACCTATAATCCCAGCACTTTGGGAGGCTGAGGCAGACGGAGCACTTGAGGTCAAGAGTTCGAGACCAGCCTGGCCAACATGGTAAAACCCTGCCTCTACTAAAAATACAAAAATTAGCTGGGTGTGGTGGTGCATGCCTGTAGACCCAGCTACTTGGGAGGTTGAGGCAAGAGAATCGCTTGAACGTGGGAGGCAGAGGTTGTAGTGAGCTGAGACAGCGCCACTCTACTCCAGCCTGGGTGATAGAGTGAGACTCTGTTTCGAAAAAAAAAGAAATTGAAATGAATGGCTCCAAGAGTTCTGTTCAGTTCAGTGATAACTGGGTTAAATTTGGGCAAGGAGCTGTCTCAGCTACAAAATCAAAGCCCTTATGAGGTTGTACTCTCTGACCCATTAGACAGGCTACCATGTCTCAGATGCTCTGAGACCTTGGGCTTCCCCTGCAGACTTCACTCCCTGAAAGAGTAAAGCAAATTCCTTTCAAAGGTGTATCAGAAAAGTTGTTGTGGGATGGTATGAGACTAACTCCAGAGAAAGTTTTTAACTGTGTGTCCTTGCTGCCCAAACTCACCCAACTGTATGCACTGACAACTTCCACTGTTTACCCAATAATTGGGCCAACACAGAGGCTATACAGTTAAGAAGGTGTGCAGACTGTCCCCTCCAGAAGCTAAGATGCGACTTGAGGCCACTTGTCCATTTTATGGGGTGGTCCCCTTTCATGCACCCATCAATGCCGAGAGTTCCTATGTATTCCAGCTTTTGAGATTTTTGCATTGGCTCCTTGGCTAGAGTCCATAGAAAACTTTCCCACAGAACTGGATGTGTCCCTTACAAGAGACCATTTTCCATCCACATGCCAAGCTATTATGCTGCCTGCCATAGCTGCCCTTGGAAATGCCACCTCATCCACTGAGCTATATTACTGGACTTCTACCCAGGTCCTGACACCTGCCCAATATTTGCTCAACACAAATTGGACTATTCAATGTTTGTTTGTTTGTTTGTTTGTTTTAAGACAGGGTCTGGATCTGACACCCAAGCTGGAGTGCAGTGGCGCAATCCCAGCTTACTGCAGCCTCGACCTCTCCGGCTCAAGCAATATCTCCCGAGTAGCTGGGGACTACAGGCACGTGACACCGTGCTCAGCTAATTTTTGTATTTTTTGTAAAGATGAGGTTTCATCGTATTGCCCAAGCTGGTCTCAAACTCCCGGGCTCAAGCAATCTACCTGTCTCAACCTCCCAAAATGTTGAGATTATAGGCATGAGTCATTGCACCCAGCCTATTCAATGTTTACTAAAACCTCCTTCTGCTCCAACCTTACACCCTATCTGACTCTCAACATTCTATATGGCCTTTGAGAAGAACTCAAAAGCCAGATATCTCATTCAATAATGCAGCAGATATTGTTCCTCATAACAGTCCCACAAGGATATGTAGGGAAATGAAAACTTTTGGGTTTCTTAGTTGAAAGCAACAGAAATAGACTCTGGGCAGCACAGTCTTTGCAGGAAAACTGGAGAAAGAGGCTCAGAAAAACCCCAGATACCTAGGAAGGCTGGGCAGTTAGAAGCCCAGGCCAGACTCTGCCATACAACGAGAAGAGTGAAGGCACCACGGTTGTCCCCGCTGGACATGGGTGGCTATGGGTTATTTTACCACCTCTGTGGCCCCTGGAAATCAGATGCTGTACAGCCACTGCTACAGTGACCAGAATGAGTTATCCATGGCCAATGATGTGTGTGTGTGTGTGTGTGTGTGTGTGTGTGTGTGTGTGTGTGTGTGTGTAAGATACTGAATCCAAATTTAAAACACAGGGGATTTGGTGCTGAGTTGGCATTCTAGCTTCCAGGAAAGTTAGGGAATCAACTCTCTGGCCCTTTAAGCCCCTGGAGTAGAAGGAACTCTCTTCCTCCTATAAAGGTGCTTATTGGGGTTATTTCCTAAACATAGGAAGGTGGTTCTGAGGCCACGCAGCCAAACAATTGAACAAGCAAACAAAATGCCAAGCATGAGCTAAATGGAATGAGTAACACATGGAATGTTGTCTTCCATGGTTTTGAATCACTTAAATAGAAGTGTGTATATATATCATATGGTTTAACAAGACTCTGTCCCTGCTCACATCAGGGTATTTTCATTGCCATTGCTTTGTTCTGTTTTTATAAGGCAAGGTTGGAACTGAGGAAACCAACCCATAGCATGAGACTAGGAGGGATGACAGATATGCTGAATAACAGACTCAAGATTTAAATTTTAAAATATTTCAGTAGACTGGATCAATTGACCAAACTCAGCAATATGAAAAGTAACAGCAACAAGAATAACAGCAACTCCATGCCATGAGCTGTTTTAAACAATTTTATAGATTAATATCATTTAATATCAGAGCTACTCTAGAAGGCAGATACTGACATTAACCCCAGTGCGATGGGGAAATTGAGAAGCAGATAAAGAGACTTGCACAGCTGGTTAGTGACATGGTCACGCCTGGAAGCAGGGAAGCCTGACTCCAGAGCCTGTGCTAACACCACTGAAGGTGACTTATCATTTCTTATGTGCACAGGGACAGGTGGGGAAATGCGGCTTAACGGCAGCACATAAGGAAAAAGAAATAAACAAATAAACTGTGGAGCGTAAGTCCTCTGGGTGATGTGGCTGGCAATAAAAGCTAATGTAATGTAGCCTCAGGCTGCAATAAAAGAAGTGTGTAGAAGGGAGTTCATAATCTAGAGTCTAGCTGCCTAGATTTCTGGCTTCAGTCCTTTCCTCTGAGGAAAGCTAGAAACACACACACACACACACACACACACACACACACACACAAATGGGGAGTTCAATCTGGAGATTTTAAGAATGGGGAGAGGGCATCCTGGAAGACAACTTAAAAATGAATAATTGCAACAGGGCGCGGTGGTTCACGCCTGTAATCTCAGCACTTTGGGAGGCCAAGGCGGGTGGATCACAAGGTCAGGAGTTCAAGACCAGTCTGACCAACATGGTGAAACCCCGTCTCTACTAAAAATACAAAAATTAGCCGGGTGTGGTGGCGCACTCCTGTAATCCCAGCTACTCAGGAGGCCGAGGCAGGATAATCACTCGAACCCGGGAAGTGGAGGTTGCAATGAGCCAAGATTGCGCCACTGCACTCCAGCCTGGGCAACAGAGGGAGACTCTGTCTCAAAAAAAAAAAAAAAAAAAGAATAAGTGCAATGTGGAGGAAGAATTACATCTATCCTGCATAGCATCATAGGCTATATCAAAGAACATAACCTTTGGGGAGATAGTTTGGCTCAACTAAAGGAAGCATTTCCAACAGTGAAGGTTCCCAATGTCTCAATGGTTTGCATAAGTAGGTAATGAGTTACATATCACTAGCAATGCTACAACCACCACCAGGACATGGTAGCAATGATTCAAGGACCTGATGGCAGAGTTTGTTGGTCTAGGTGGCCTCTGTAGTCTCTCCCTATCATGTAGGAGTAGAATTCTGTTATTTCTTTCCCAAACCACCATTGATCACTAAACTGGATGTGACTTGTCCTTCCTATGGCCCAATTTAATGCTTCCTTTGGGGCCCTTACAGTATGAAGCCTTGAGTTTTAATCAACAGACCTAGTATTCTCTGTGCTGTTAATATTGTCAGCTCTCTGAAGGGAAGCCCTCGTGATTTGACCACTTCTGTTTGCCCAACCCAGGACCTTGCATTAATGACAAAGAAATGGGTTTGAAATGAATTTCAAATCAAACCCTGCCAAAGTGTCCTCTATAGGCTTGGCAGTGGCAAGGTAAGGACATCATTCTTACTCTGTTCTTTACAGAACCTTGGAATGGAGTTAGTAATAGGAGGTGACTATAAAGTAGGACAGAGCTTAAGGCCAGGGCCAAGTGTTGCATTTTGCAAAGTATTATCAAACAGCGTATGAAATGACACTGGACTGATCACGAACTTCCAAATAAGAGATTCATTTAAAGCCTTATGTTTAGGGCTCACAACTTAACTGCCCAAGGATATCAGAGGGCGCAGCTTTACATAAACAAATGAACTAATGATACGTTTACAAAGAAATCAGACCACAGGTACAACTATTAAAATAATCAATTAAAAAATGACTTTTGGCCAGGCACGCTGGCTCACGCCTGTAATCCCAGCACTTTGGGAAGCTGAGGCGGGCAGATCATAAGGTCAGAATTTCGAGATAAGCTTGACCAACATAGTGAAACCCCATCTCTACTAAAAATACAAAAATTAGCCCGGGGTGGTGGCACGTGCCTATAGTCTCAGCCACTCTGGAAGCTGAGGCAGGAGAATCACTTGAACCCGGGAGATGGAGGTTGCAGTGAGCCATGACCTTACCATTGCACTCCAGCCTGGGCAACAGAGCAAGATTCCATCTCAGAAAAAAAAAAAAAAAGACTTTTGTTTATAGATAGTGAAAAGAGATTGGGTTAAGAGCCTCAAGAGCACAGTTCTGTTCCATTAAACCCTAAATTACCGTGGGATCTTGGGCAAGTCCTGGTTCCTCTCTGGGTTCCTGAACCCTCATCTCTAAATGAAGGTTGACTGGAATAGCTAATGATTCAGTTAATGACTGCATACATCTGATTCCTGAGAATTCTACTTGGTAAAATGGAGTCCTCAGCCCTCCTTAGAGAAAGTAGTGGTTCGAAGTGGTTAGACTGTCTGCAATAGGGAACATGATTTAAGATGCCACGTGGTAAAGCGGGCAGTGACAACATGGAGTGGAAGCAGATGGGAGTGATGAGGATGGTGAGAGGTCTGGAAACTGTATCTCATCAGATTAGCTGACACTGTGAATGGTGGGAGCAGCCTGATATGGTGACTAAGCTTCAGCATCTGATGCTTGGGTTACAATCCCAGCTTTATCAATTACCAGCTGTGGAACACTAGAATGCGTGATTTCCACCGCACCCCTCTGCCCACCCCCCATAAGATGCTGGCGACAATCTTAAGTAGCTCATGAGGGCATTGTGAGTAAATCTCATATTATACAGAATGTTCTTAGTACAGTGTGTGAAACTAACAAAGTGTTCAATAAATGCAAGGTTTTAACTATTATCAAATACCAGGTTCCAAACAATTGCAGAGCCTTCAAGAAAAGGAAAAAGTGAAGGGGGGTCAAAACGTAACTACTGGGAGAAAGTTACCATAAAGGTTATTTCAGCTCCTTCTTCATTAAAATGGAGTGCTTTTAATGACTAGAGTTAATGAATCACCTGTTCACCTCCTGGGTTTCCTGAGAGGTAGTTAGCAGGCTGTCATCAGGACATTTAAGAAGCTGTAGGATTATTGGGAAAACAAAAAACCTACTGATAAGGGAGTTGGATCAGAGGATCTCAGAAGCTCCCATTACAAGTAAAATTTGAGATTTTGTAGGAGCTGAGGATTGAGCAGTCACACCAGCTCTTCTGTGTCCTTCTCCAGAGAGTGAAGGAGGCCCAGGCTTGAGACACGCACCAAAAACAGTGGAAAACTGAGGATTTAGAGTCAGAGCAGGTTTGGGAAGCCAGCTTTCCTTCTCCCCAGACTCATGAGCTTAGATAAGTGTCTTAAATTCCCTCTGAGAGTCATTTTCCTATTTGTAAATAGAGATGAAAGTACCTTCCTCTCGGGGGGTTGTACAGACTAGATGAGGTACCGAGTAGAGCGTCCGGCACACAGTAGGATCTCAAAAAGTTGTCTCTCTCTCCTTCCTTTTCCCCGGCAAACACAGACAGATATTCCCTTTCATTGCAAGGTGCAGGCAGGAGGGAACGCCAGCCTGGAGCAAGAACAGATGACACCGGCGAGCCGCAGATGGGAAACTGCAGGACAACCTGGAAGGTCCAGGAGCCTTGGAAAGCCCAGCCTGGCTGTGATTTTGGGTGAGAAACAGTTGGAAACCATTCAGGGCTTAAGAGAGGGTGAGGACTCCGTTATTTTTAGCATGATGCCAAATCACTGTGCTTTTGCCTGGGCCTGCAAAAGACAGAAACCCACAAGGCAGGTCCAGGACTTTTTCAGCCACAGTCTATTTATGAGTTAAAACTGTCACTGCTCAAACCCCTTACAATCCCAAACTACATTTACCTGAAAAACAAACAGGAACAGTCTTGAAATGGAGACGATTTATCAAGAGACTAATTATCTTTTGAGCTAGTCTGGAATAGTAATGAGCCCCTTTTAAACGAAAGCAAACCTGTGATGAATATCTCAATATGGCATGCTTAGCAAACTTTCCCAGTAAGGTATTACTGCAGGGTAACTTACCACAGCAACCCATACGCAGAACGAACAGAGGGAAAAAATGCAAAGGTAGGAAGGAGGCAGGCAGTGTTCAAAAGCAGTAATTATCTCTCAAATCTCAAATCCCAACTGCCTCTTGAATATTTTAAGTGGAAGAGGGATGGATCACTTAAATTTACGAAATCATTCAAAAAAGGCAGGCACTAATAAACAATTCATTGCTAATTGGGAGAGGCCTCAATCTAAAACAAATGTTCAATGCAAGATTTCTGGCCTTATAATGGATAAGAAAGAACTGCTACCTGTTCTCATTAGTCCATAAAACTGAATCCCAAGTCTATTTCAGACAGGGCAAGCAACCCCAGCACACACTGAAGGCTCATCGTGAGCTAGGCCTTGCACTAAATTCTCATTTTATCTTTACAAGAATCCTAGGATATAGATATTATTATTAGGTCTATCATTACCAAGAAGACACCTGAGTCTTGGGGAGCTTATATAGCTTATTCTTGGTCACATACTTTGTAAGTAATGGAGGCAAAACTCCTCACTCACAAAATATAAGGCTACACCAAAAAAAAAAAAAACAAAAAAACAAAACCTCAGTAATCAAAATAAGTAATACTTTAATGCATTATTTTAAAAATCAAGATTAGTTGGCCAGGTACAGTGGCTCACATCTGTAATCCCAGCACTTTGGGAGGCCAAGGCAGGAAGATTGCTTGAGGCCAGGAGTTTGAGACCAGCCATGAGCTGCGATCACAACACTGCACTCCAGAGTGAGACTCTGTCTCTAAAAAAGTAAATAAATAATGAAGATTAGTGGGGAAAAAATCTATGATGAGCAAAAGACAAAATTTTCAATCAAGACAGAATCCAGCCGTGCACTTACAGGCCTTGGACTTACTCTCTTCACCCTCATCCTGGCCCCGCTGCTGGGCACTATTGCTTCCAAGAATGAATAACTGGTCCAAGCCTCTAGCATGATGAAAACTGAACTTTCCAGAATGAGTTTATGGGTAAAACATTGCCAGCAATCCGAGGCAGGGTAGGTGTGAAGCAATTTGAGCTGCTATGCCTATCCTTGCTTCCTCCACCCTTGCTCTTATTGAGAAGAATAAAGATGCATCGATAGCAGGGACTCTACCCTAAATTCTCACTGTTTGCTCTCACTGATGGAGCCTAATGGAGGCTGAAATGAGATCTCTACGTGTCTTAAACTAAGACCAGGGAGGAGCCTCCCCTACCACACTGGTTGCCATGCGAGGTGATCATCATAGTAAGGACAAAGCCGGGCTCCAGGCCATTTTCTTCAAGAGAGCTGAATGTGGAGAGCTAACTTTAATTTGTGAAAATCATTCCAGTGCAGAGGACCATGTCAGGAGGATTTCTGGCAAATAAGGGGTGTGGAGTTTAGGAAGTGAAAGCTTTTTTTCACCTGCAGCAACCAGGAAATTTTGAGAATAAACCCCTGCTCATTCACAAATATTGTTTGAGGGACACTTGGTGCCAGAAAACACAGAATAAGACCTTGGCTACTGTCTACTGCAGTCTTTAAAGCTGTTTAAAGCTGTTTATATCAACTTCCTAGATTCAGCTCTTCAATTGGCTTAATAAGGATAGAGAGAGAGAGAGAGAGGTACGAAGATCAGAAATTGGCCTCCATAAGAAATAGCATCATTAGTCTCTCTCATACTTTTGAGTTTCTTCCTCCTTTCCCTCTCTTCTCTCTCACATTCCTCTCACTTAATATCCCGATGTACCAGATTTTCTGATTGAGCAGAAACCTCGACCATACAGACTGTGAGAGAAATGCTTTGTCTCAATAAGAATCCCTGAACTCTGCAACCGTCTCATGACTAATTAAACCAAATAACAATGAAATTTTGCCTCCAGTTCAAACAATGTGCATTATTCACAAGAGCTTAGAATTTAAAATTGCCCCTTTTAAAGTTAAATAAACTGTCCAATGGTAAGTGAACGTCAGTTTACAAAACACTTTGTCTTACTTTCCACTGAGTTACTTAATACTCCCTCCCATAATCCATTTGCATTGATTCCTTCTTCATCAACTGTCTACGCATTCCAACACAGCTCAGAGCTGCAAAGAACTTCATTGCTGAATCACCAGGGAGGCAACTGTACTCACTTAAGACAAAAAACACAAATAAGTAGCCACTTAAAACAGTACTTATTTCTTTAATGGAGTTTTCCTCTTAATTATAATATAGCATTAGTTTCTTTTTGCATTCTCCTCCTGAACTTTCATGACACTATCAAACAGGAGCAAATATAAATTTGTGTAGCCTGGAATATGCAATTTAATCATAAGCCATAATTTCCATATCGCTGAGAAGAAAAAAAATCAAATGATTATACTCCAGTGCACGAGGAACAATCTTGAATTAAATTTTACTCTCTGCTAAAGTTAGGTTTTTCACAACAATATCAAGAATGGTTTAAAAGAAACAGTAAAACATTTACTGCTATATTAAAATTCCATGCCCCAAAGTGTTTACCGAAGATCAAACTGCTATTCCTTTTTGCAAATTAGAAGTGTCTTGCAGACATCTTCAAAACCTCATGAAAGAACGGGCAATGGTGTCACGGTAGTCTCACTGATATTTTTCTTCTTTATCCATTCCCTTCCACTTGGAGTCAGAAATGATGCTCTTTTTGCCAGAAAAAAATCCAGAAAATCCTCCCAGATCACTGTCTCAGTGAGAGCTGACCTTGTTTATCCTGCAGCCCAGCCCCCACCCCGGCTGCTGCTCAATGTCAAGTTACAGGATTTCCCAACTTTCTAGTAAACTCCAAGGTGGGAAGAAGATGCTGAAGGTAACAGGATCCACCCACTAGAGAGATGCTAATCCTGACCAACTGCTCGAGCAGTAGCTTGAACCACAGCTAGATTGAATTCGGTCTCTCCTGAGAGGGCCAGACAAGGCTTGTAAGTAACAAAACCGCTTTTCATGATGCCCTCAAAAGCAGATGGGCTCCATGCAGACAGTTGGAGAAGGGTGCCATTGCCCTCTAGTGGCCAGAAGTGCAATCTTCCGCGAAGGAGTCCATTTCCAGAGTTGTACAAGGCTCTCAATGTCAGGGTAAAATTATAGCAGAAAGATGTCTAATTATGCTCCTCGAGTGTTTTCTTTAGTCCTTCCTGCTCATAGGGGAGGCTGCGGATGGCTATCACAGGAATCCTGATGGAACAGCTCATTTTTAACTCCTACCAGTGCACCAGGATGTGTCCAATTTTCTCCAACTTTATTTTTCTTTTTCTTTAGCAGACCTGTTGATGTTTTTCCCCCTAATCAATTAAATCACAAATTTATATAGACCAACTACTTTTATATATTTCAGAGGCAATAACTTTAAATTAAAAAGGCTGAAAACTCACAATTCTTGGTAAGTGCAGAATAGGGATTCTTGACAAATTAGGTAACTTTTTATGAAACAGCAGCCAATTCCATAAGGGAGAAAATCATCCCAAACACATTTCAATCCCTTAAATCATTGGCTAGTGAATTTATACAGTGCTCAAATTTTCTAGGAAAAAAAAACTTGAAAGTTCATAGTCATTCTTCAAATTTGACAATTCAAGAAAAAAAGTTTGATACCTACTTTCAAACTCTATATATTCCACTGTTTTATTATTATTGAATGAGTAAGTATGCCTGTCATCAAAGTGAAAACATCAATATTGAAAGTAAATTCCAATGAAATTGTTATGTTTCTCCAACATCTACCTACATACATGTATTGAGAATGAAGGAAGACTAAAATCAGATTTGAAGATCTTGTTTAGATGGTTCTGAAAACAGATTTGAATATAAGAGATCAAAGTTTACCAACTTCATAAGTTACCACTTCATAAGTCACAGGCATTCACAGGCAAGGTTCCAGGACATGCTATGCTCCTGGGAGCGCAGTACTGGCATTGTAAATCAGACCACGAGGTCAATGTCATGGCGTTTCCCATATGAGGGTCCCCAAACCAGAATCTTTACAAAGCAGCCATGTAATTCTATTCAAAGGAGAAGAAAAACCATGAATTATGAAGACAAGTGCATTAAAAGAGCATGAAATTGATCCGTATTCCCCCAAATCATGGCGTGGCTCTCCAAGTCTGTCCCCTGCCCCCTCCTCCCACAAATAAACAATCAAACATGCACATCCACAGCCACCACTCTACAGAGGGAACATGAGTTCTAAGACATAAAAAAAATTGCGCCATAACTATTTTTTTTAAATTTTCAAATTAACAAAAGATTGCATCTTAATTGAAAATAGAATTTAGGTTTCTAGTAATTTTACTGTCTGGTGTTCTGATAAGAATGCTGAACGTAATGAAAGTTCTGAAGTGCTATCAAGATGGTCCACTGCTTCAGTTAGAACTATTTTAAAAGCTTATTTTCCTAGGCAGCAATAAGCAGCCATTTGAATAAATCTACATGTCTGGGGCTCGCCAGATTATCCAGTCTCAATCCTTCCAAGGCCTGCCTTCATTCCCCCTTTCCCAGGGGTGAGGAGGGTGGTTTATTCTTTCAAACAATGTCATAAAATGCCCAGTTTATGCAGACTCTGAAGTAACAACTAAAATGATAGTAATAATTTTTATTAATAATAGTGCATGCCTGCAAGACATTTTAATGTCTTAATTTACAATGTTTCAAAAGTAAGATGTAAAGATAATCCTTACTCAAGCAAAGTTTCCTGGCCTTTCAGATGCCTTTCCCTGGTCTCTACTGAAAAGCACTCACATTCCTTTTGTACTAGGCTGGATTTCAGTTTTTCACAGAGGTTCGAATTCCAGAGCCCACTGGCCAACTCTAAAACTTGGAATCAGAGATTACATTTAAGGAACTTCAGTAGCTGGAGCCTCAGAGTGCTTCTCGTATTGGCCACAACTCTGTCCCTTTGTTTTGTAACTTTTTTTCCTTTGTCCTATTGGAAGAAGACCAGGCTCCCTGCAGCTAGGGTTGGGCAGTTAATATTTCTGTTCTGGTGTCTGCACCTACGTATTTGTAGGAAAAACAATTCCAGGATTAACGAAAAGAAGGTCAGTCCCTTCTCTTCTCTGCCAACATATTAGGCTCTAGCGCTCAGAGCCCAGCCTGGCAAATGTGCTCATGCGATGCTACAGGATCCTCGCTCCTGAGAACACATCTGCATCCCCATCCCCAGGAAATCCAGACACCCCGCAAAACCATCGACGTCTGCTGCAAGCCCAAGTGATGAGGAAATTGATCCGTCCTCTAGCCAGATTAATTATGGTAGCCTCCCTGTGATTAAAACGAAAACTTACTGCCTCATATTAAACCGATAGCCATGATTAGAAGAAGAAAATAAGAAAAGATTTCAGAGCGATCGTAGCACGATTTCTTTAGGGGGAGACGAAGGGGGAAGACTTTAGTGAAATCTATACCCTCATACAGCCGGGTTTCAAGAACAACCCCCCACTCCCATCCCTTAGGGATAACCCGTCGTCAGGCAGGGATGGTATTAAATAATTAAAAGATGCGATTTCTTAATAGCAGTGTGATGGCCCATGAAATTCCTACTGCATTATCAGCAAAAGCAACAGGGCTTCTTCTAGCACCTAGAAAACCTTTCACCCGGGAGAGGCAGGCGCGGCGAGCCCCGGGCGAAAGCAGGGCCTCGGCAAAAAAACGGACAAGGAAGCCGGACCCGCAAGCCTCCCCCGACCCCACTTTCTCTGGGGACTCCGCTTCACAGCGTGAGGCGGGCCCTCCTACAGTTCCTCTGGGTTGGGGAGGGGGGAGAAGGGAGCTCTCCTCGCCGTCCTCCCCATCTGGCCAGCTTCTCAGTGCTTCCCACCTCCCGGCTCGCGTTCCGGGGCAGAGCGCAGGGAGGGAGGCCGTGCGTGCCGGGAGCTAGAGAGGCTTGGCGCGCTCCGAGAAGCGGCGCAGGTTTCGGGAAGGTGTGGTTCTCAAAGTTAACGTTGACCCTGGCAGCTTTCGCCAATCCCAAGCCAGAGGCGAGCCCGAGTCTGGGCCGCTCATGGACCTACTCCTGCGCTGGTGGGAGCTTACAAACGGGCGCCAGAGCTCCCGCAGAGACTCGGGCTGGAGGGCTGTAGCGCACCGCAGCCTGCTGCCCCAGAACCACAGTCGGCGGCCCCAAACCCACGCTATTAAAGTGCGGGCAATCTCCTTCCGGAGCTGGGGTCTTTCCGTTTTCCCGGGCTTACCCGGCAGTCTCGACTGCAGGGACTAAGCCCCGGGGAGCTTTCGGCAGGGATCCGGGAGGATGGAGTAAGAACCCCGCAGAGCGCGGTCATGTCGCCGCTTTGGGGAAGCGGCGCAGGGCTGGCGGGCACCGCGCCGTGGGCGACTTTCCCCAGAGATATGACCGGGGACAGTCGGCGTGTCCGGAGGTCTGCTCTGCAGTCTCTTGCCCCAGCCAGGTACAAACCCCCTCTGCTGTGGCCTCGGCGCAGACCCCACAGGAGGCCGGAGCCAGGGAGAGTCGTGGAGCGCACATCTGAAGCCTCCGTCCCCTGCTTTGCCCGCGCCCACAGCTGGCTCCCTTCTCCCTTTCTGATTTTTAAACAAATCTCTCCCTCCCTTTTGCTTTGCGTTAGTGAAGCCTTCTCGACTCAGATACCACCGTCCCCCTCACCACCCCGCCCCGCCAAGACATTCTCTTCCTGAGAAAATCCTGCCCCCCATTCCAAGAAGCCCCAACCAGGCGAGAGGAAGGGACTGGCGGCGCACCTCACCTGGGGCCCTTGAGGGTGGACGCAACCTCCGAGCCGCCAGTCCCTGGCGCAGGGCAAGCGCTGCGGTGTCAGTCCCGGCCCCAGTCCCGGTCCCATTCACAAGTCAGCGGCGGCTGCGAGCGGCCCCCGCGGCATCTGCTCCTCGGCCCGCGACGCTCCCCTCAGCTGGCGGCGGCCGCGGAATGAGCCGCCGAGCGCGCTAGTGGCAGGAATGAGAAACCGGGGGGAGGTGGCGGGCGGGCAGGCGGGTGCGGGGCGGGGGGGGCGGGAGGAGGGAGGCTGCCGCTGTGAGGGAAGGAAAGGGCGGGGGCTGAGAGAAGCCGAGGCTGCGAGAGGCAGCGAGATGGGCCTCGCAGAGGCTGCGGGGGCCGACCCCGTCCGCGCCCCTCCCCCCAGGGGCCCAGAGATGCTAACCCCTGGATTCGTGGCCGCCCCTCCCGCCCCGTGGCGCGGCGCTCCGACTCCCTCAGGGCTCAGATGGAGTCTGGAGCGACTGAAGTTGGGCTCCAGGGACGCACAGCCAATCAGGGAGGGCGGCGGAGGGAAGCTGGAGAGGGGTTGGGAGCCCCCATTTTCCTCCTTCCCCCAAATCCGCTCCAGCTGGCCAGGCTGGGCTCTCGCCTGGCGGGCCGGGATGGTGGTTGGGGGAAGGTATCGTCCAAGTGAGGGAAGCAATTGGGAATTCGGGAGCGCGTTCTATTCTTTCTCACTCCACCACCCCACCTTCCAAAAATCCCTCAACGTTGGCGGCTCCTGCCCAGCCCCCACCCCTCTCAATCTCCCATCCCTTGCAAACTCTTCTGGTGGCTCTGGTGGTGAAGTCGGGCGGGGAGGGAGACTTAGGACTTGGGAAGAGCCCAGTCTCCGTTCTCTCTCAGCTCTCCTCTCGTCTAGTGCCCCCCACGCAACGCCTCGGAGAGGGGTGCGCGGGGAGCGCTTCGCCGGGGTCGGCCTCGCTCCAGCTTTTGGGAGGGTGCCTTGGCCCCTACCCCAGCCAGGTATCAGTGGCCCCCGCCGGTAGTGTCACTTGTTGCCACTCCCTCGCTACAGACCCGCCAGGGCCCGGTGGAGTGTGCGTTTCTACGGGAGAAAGGGCCTAATGGGGCGCAGCGCCGGAGTCCTAGCTCCTTCCTCCGCTGTTCCCCTCACTGACGACTCGCTACCGTGAGGGTTCCCCGGGCCTGCTTCCTGCCCTCCCTCCCCGAGTCGCCGGGAGAAAGGGCTGGCAGGGCCGGGGCTTAGGAATCACGCCAAGGACTGGGCGGGGCGCTCGCGGTACCGGGAACGGCGTGGGGATCCGCACACCCAGCAGGGAACAACCATGCCTGTGTGGGGACCCCTGGCTTGAACAAGTTTGCAGGGTGGGAGGTGGAGGCAAGAGAGGAGGCGGAGGAAGGTGGAGACGCCAGTGGGTGAAGGCTAAAAAGGAACCGCCTAGGGGGACGGGGATGAGGCTGGGAAAGGAGAAGAGATGGACCCGCGAAAAAGACGGGGAAGGAGGCTGCGGAGGGAAAGCTGGGCGCCACAGCCAAGCAGTTTGAAAGGGCTAGAGGGGAGGAGACGGGCCCAGGAGTTAACGGAAAAAGAGGCCGAAAACGGAAGAGAAAGCTTGGGATCCTGAGCGCATGGGGAAGGAACCCCAGTGCGGGGCTAAGGCAAGAGCGGCCGAGCCCTGCCCTCCAGCTCCTGGTCACCAGCCCGCGGGTCCCGAGCGCCCGCAGCCGCCCGGGTTTCCACACGGCTTGGGGAGACGCCCGCGGGGGCGGGTGCCGGCGAGGCTGCCCCGGGACCTACCCTCTTCGGCCTGCGCGCCCGCGTTTTTCTTGACGACTCCAGGATCCGGGTGGCGCTGCGTGCCTGCCCCCAGTCCGCGTCCTGCGCGGAGAGGATGCCTCTGTCACCCTCTGTGTGGACGTGGCCTTTGAACTCCTCATTCCTCCACTGCGGGGGAAGAGCTGTAAGTTTCCAGCTGCCCGGTTATCTTACTCCTCAGCCTTCCCCCCACCATAGGTGTCCAAGGTGATAGCCCCCTGGGTCTCCAGTAACCCCCCAACCTCGCACCACACTCTGCGCAAGGGACGCGCGAGGACATTGACTCCCGGTGCTTTCCTGTAGAGCGCCAGAGAGCAGATCGTGGTGCCTGCCACTCCTGCCTCCCCCTGTGGGTCCCTGGCCCTGAACCTTTTCAGAGCTCTACCCTGCTTCCTCTGTCTGCCTTTTTGGCCTCTGCTGTAACCCCTAAAACTTTGGGTACTTCCCAAGCCACCGCCGAAAGTCCCCACTCTAATGAGGCATGGTGATGGTAATAGGATGATCTGGTGGCGTCATTTCAGCTTATAAATGAAGTTACTTACACAGGAGAGGATGGACAAGGGGTCCGGCTTTCCCTCAGAGGTACTCGAGTTTTGCTCTTGTTTGGCTACAAACTATTGCCTGGATTTTCTCAACCCTTCCACGTGGTCCTAGAGGGAGTGTGAAGTCACGATCAATCTGATCATACATATATTATACAAAGATGCCCGGGATCTGTAATGATTAGGACATCTCTTGATCCATGAAGCAAGTTTCATAAACTCCCTTTTGGAAGCGTGTCCAAAGATGAACCTGGCCACATGTCAGCTGACATTAGCTGGACTTTGACCTCTCCTCTCTGTTCAGCATTTATCGAATCACAACAGTTGTTTTTATAGACCATCCCTTTAGTAATGGGTGCATCAGCCGATTTTAAAAAGTAAGTTAAAAACTGCTTGATAAGTTTCCACTGACACTACACACCTGAATCAGATGGAACCTAGTGTATAGCAGCAGTCAATAACCCTTTGCACAACCCAGCAAGTTAGGATTCTACTCAAGAGAACAGGAAACATGTTCACACAAAAACACACACCAGAATGTTCATAGCAGCCTTATTTATAATAGCCAAAATCTGGAAACAACACAAATACCCATCAACTGGTGAGCAGATAAACAAAAGAAACAACATAAATACCCATCAGCTGGTGAGTAGATAAAGAAAACAGGGTGTATCCATACCATGGAATATTGTTCAGCAATAAAAGGGGAAGAAATACTGATGTTTGCTACATCACGAATGAACTTCAAAAACATATGCTGAAAGCCAAATGAAAAACAACATATTGTATGATTTTCATTTATATGAAATGGCCATTTATATGAACTGGAAAGGCAAACTTATAGAAACATAAAGCCGTGGTTGCCCAGGGCTGAGGATTTGAACAGGAATTGACTGCAAATAGAACTTGAGGGAATTCTGTTGGGCAATCAAAATGCTCTAAAACTAGATAGTTGTGATGATTGCACAAATCTATAAATTTACTAAAATCATTGAATTGTAACCAAGAAAGAAAAAAAAATCCTTTCATATCTTTATTCCCAGAATATCTGTGACCTGCAGCTAATCCACAAGAGGAAACTTGGCAAAGCAGTTTCAGAGAAAAATATGTTAAAAAAAGATTTTTAGTTCTTATGGAAAGATAACCATATTTCTATTCAGCAAGTTCTATTTTGGCTGCTGCTTTGGAGAACCTTATAAGTTTTAAAGAAAGTTAATTCCCCCCTTTCACTCTTCTAAGTGATTAATTCCTGGGAACTAGAGTTAGGCATTCCAGTTCGTGACATTTTAAACACACCTACTCATAGACACAGTACAAAGTGCACATTTCAGAGGGGATTTTTTTATGACTGTGTTAGGATCTGTCTTAGAAATCCTTATCAAGCACTTGGGTGGAGTATTGTGTGATTACAGTTTAGATTTAAAAAAGTAAAAGAATAGAAAAAAAAAAAAAAAAGAACCCACTGACAGCTTAAATCGAAAGATTCAGTTCAGCCAGCCAGCCAGAAGTTTGGGTGTTTATCTTAACTTGCCTCACCTTTCCTTCACCTTGTTCTTCTTCAAGGGAGGAAGCCAGCCTTCACGGTTGCTCTGGAGCCAGGATTAAACAGCCCCTTCTGCTTCCTGCGGGTTCCAATCCAGAGAGATATGAGGCCCAAATGGGCCTTTTCTTGTCTTTGTCCTTGCCTGCACGAGGCTGTTAATTTCCTGTCAGTTCCTTCATCAAAGGTACCAGGCTGTCATTCCTTTGATGCGCCTCTCCTCAGACTCTGAAGATAGCCAGACCCTGCTGAGTCAGTTCCTTGTTTAGACTTAGAAGTTCCAGGCTCCCCAGGTCTTCTCAAAGCTTCCTGCTCTAGAGGCATCCTTTGGTAAATGGTGTAAAGAGTGATGCAAGATCCAAGCGGGGCGTTAGTTTCATCACATTGCAGTGGGCTCCAACCACGCCTTCCCCAGGCAGAGGAGGAAGTTAAGAAAGATGGAATGGGAATACCATTTCTGAATCAGACACTTCAGGAAGATATTCCCACAGCTGGATCTTTAGAGCAAGGTGGGAGGACCACAGGCCTTTGATCTGTCTGATTCCTGGCTCTGCCACTCCTTAGCGCCATAACTTTGGCTAAAGACTTTATCTCCTTGAGATATGCTTTCCAAATCTATACAATGGGCATTACTATCTGTGCCTAGATTGTGGTGGGGATTCAACATGCTCACATACCTAGAGCCAAAAGCACTAAGCTTGGAGCATAGGCTTCATAAGTGAAAGTTATTAATTACTATTATTAATTATGAGGCCTGATTATTATCACATTTTAAATGACCTGAGCAAGAAAAGAGACATGCTACAATTGTGAATTATAATAATTATAGAGATTAATCTTATCTTAGAACTGGTTATAAAACTGGCCAAGAATATTATGGCAGTTCAAAATTTCTGACACTGTAAATTGTCTAAATAAGGCTTGATTGAGGTCAGGTAGAATGAGATGTGCCAGGCTTGGGGGCTGAGGCTCTGAGTTCATATCTTAGATCCGCCACAAATTCATTGAGTCACCTTGGGAAAGTCATTTCCTTTCTCTGAGCCTCAGTTTCCCTAACTGCAAATAAGAGCTTACCTGAAATGAGCTCTGAAGAAGGTTTTTTCCAGAGTTTAAATCCTGGGCTTTTTAAGTGCTACTCATCATTTCATGTATTGAGACATCACATTGTACCCTATAAATATGTCCAATTTCTATGTATTGATTTGAAAAAATCAGAACATCTCAGAGATGCAATTCTCCTTTCCAACACTAGGAGCAATCAGCCAATCATCTCAGGCTAAGGTCTGACTCCAGGCAGCCCGTCTCTCAAACATACCCTTTTCAACTCTATCAATAACATCTGTCTTTCTCCTTCACTTAAAGTTCCCCAAGGGCAGGGGTGACACTTTTCTGGTTTATTTATGCATCCCTAACATCTAGCATGGTGCCTAACATGACATAAAGCATAGACATACAATATGCATTTTTGAATGAATTAATGTATTTGGGTGAATTAAAACCAATATATTGATCAAATATCATCATAATAATACTATGTTGCGAATGATCCTAGCACTCCTCACTTAGAAGAGCACGCATTTACTATCATAGATCTATGATTTAGCTGGGGTTGCCTGGTCTAAACTAGGCTGGGCTTGGGCGACTCAGCTTGGTTTTCTGCATGTCTCATCCTCCGCCTGGGACTCTCCTGGACATAATCTCATGGTGATAAAAACTGCAGAAGAGGTGAAGCAGAAATATGCATGACCCCTTGAGGCCTAGGCTCAGGACTGGAAGCTATCTCTTCTACTTTAATCTGTTGGCCAAAGCGGCATGATCAGATGGAAAGTTAAGGAGTGGAGAAATATGATCTGCTTTTATAGGGGGAGAAACTTTAGTTGCCTGACAAACAGTAGGGTTACAGGAAGGGGTGAAGTGTTGGGCCACTAATGCAGTATCACACAGGCAGAAACAGGTTTTCATCATCATTTACTCCAGACCATCTTGGATCTTCAGGTCCCCTAGGTTATATCCTATAGTCATTGTGACTACACAAACACACACACACACACACACACACACACACACACACACACACTATAGTGCCCTATATATTCTCTCTCCCTCTCTCTCTTTCTCTCTATATGTATATACATGTATATATCCATAACATAGAACAATATACAATGAGGAAGCAATCATGGCTTAAGACCCAGAAGTAAAATGACTGTCAAACAGAACACAATGGCTTTTCTGGAATACCCTCTCTCTCTCTCTCTCCACATATATATATTATATAGTTATTTTATATATTATATAGTATACTCTCTCTAGTATATATATACTCTCCCTAGTATAATATATGATATTATATATTATATAGTATATATAATTATTTTATATATTATATAGTATACTCTTTATATATATCTCTCTCCACATATATATATGTAGAGAGACAGAATATATATATATAGAATACTATATAATGTATAAAATAATTAAATATTATATATTTATATATATATAAAATAATTACATATTATATATAAATATAAAATAATTACATATTATATATTTATATATAATATATAAAATAATTACATATTATATATTTATATATAATATATAAAATAATTACATATTATATATTTATATATAATAAATAAAATGATTACATCTTATATATTTATATAATATATAAAATAATTACATCTTATATATTTATATAATATATAAAATAATTACATATTATATATTTACATATAACATATAAAATAATTACATATTACATATTTAAATATCATATATAAAATAATTATATATTACATATTTATATATAATATATAAAATAATTACATATTAAATATTTATATATAATATGTAAAATAATTACATATTACATATTTATATATAATATGTAAAATAATTACATATTACATATTTATATATATGTAAAATAATTACATATTACATATTTATATATAATATGTAAAATAATTACATATTACATATTTATATATAATATGTAAAATAATTACATATTACATATTTATATATAATATGTAAAATAATTACATATTACATATTTATATATAATATGTAAAATAATTACATATTACATATTTATATATAATATGTAAAATAATTACATATTACATATTATATATAATATGTAAAATAATTATATATTACATATTATATATAATATGTAAAATAATTACATATTACATATTTATATATAATATGTAAAAGAATTACATATTACATATTTATATATAATATGTAAAATAATTACATATTACATATTTATATATAATATGTAAAATAATTACATATTTATATATAATATGTAAAATAATTACATATTACATATTTATATATAATATATAAAATAATTACATATTACATATTTATATACAATATATAAAATAATTATATATTACACATTCTTATACAATATATAAAATAATTAGATATTACATATTCTTATACAATATATAAAATAGATATATATTCTTATACAATATATAAAATTAGATATTATATGTTCTTATACAATATATAAAATAATTAGATATTATATATTCTTATGCAATATATAAAATAATTAGATATTATATATTCTTATACAATATATAAACTAATTAGATATTATATATTCTTATGCAATATATAAAATTAGATATTACATATATTTTATATAATATATAAAATAATTATACATTACATATTTTTATATAATATATAAAATAATTATTACATATTTTATATATAATATAATTGTATATGTTATATAATTATACTATATATAATTCTATATATAATTATATTATATATAATTCTATATATAATTATATATAACTATATAATTATATATAATATGTAATATAATATATTATATATGATAATATATTTTATATATATATAATTTTATATATGGTGACCTATATAATATATGAAACCTATATAGTATACAGACGTGTTTAGCTACAGTTTCTGGCTCATAACTGGCATAGCCCTTGTTATAATGTTGTGGCTTTTTAGGCCTAAGAATCAGGCCTCAGAAAACAGTGTCTCTCCCTCTAACCTTCCCCTGTCTCCTTTCATCTGCCCAAGGCTGGACTCTAATCTGACTATGGGTCATAAGACCCTCATACCAGAGGGAGTCCTGACCCATACCCAGGAGAAAGGAATACTGCATAGAAAAGCCAAGAAGAATCTGGACAGGCCTTACTGGGTTTAGATCATAACCTTTCAGTCAAATCACATCTCTATATGGTTGTCAATCATGCGTATCCAATGAGGTCTCAATAAAAGGTCCAAGAGGACAGAATTTGGGGATCTTCCAGATAGGTGAACTTGTGGAGGTTCCTGAAGCATGGGACACCTGGGAGGGACATAGAAGCTCTGTACCCTGTTTCCCATACCTCACCTTATGCATCTCTTCATCTGTATCCCTAGTAATATCCTTTATAACAAATCAGAAAATTTAAGTAAATTTTGCCCCTTGATCACTCAAGCTTTCTTGCTTTTCAGACAAGTTTCCAGGTTCGAGACCTTTGCACTTGCTCTTCCTATTGTCTGGAATACCCTTTCCCTGTTCATTCCTATGGCTTGCTTCTTCATTTTGCCTGTTTAAAGGTGATGTCCCAGGGTGTCTCATGAACAGAAACACCCACTCGGCACTCCAATCCCCTTCCGATCATCTTCAGCCTATCCCTGTAAACTGTGTTATTCTCGTTCATAACACATACACTTGAAATTGTATTGTATGTTTTTATTTACTTATTTTTTGGTTGCCTCACCCGAGTAGAATACAAGCCTCAAGAGAGCAAAGCATAAGATCTCTCTCATACCTTCCTGGATCTCAAGCATCTAACACAGTACCAGGCATTTGGTGGGCACTCAGTAAATATTTATGGATTGAATACATGAAGAATAAATGCATTAATAATGCTAAGTGAATGAATGACTCCCAAAACCAGAAGCAGATGGATCCTCTGCTTGAATCTAAACATGATGCAAGTGTTCCTGTTTACAAAGTGAACTTAGTGATGCCAATTATTCACAATACAAAAATAATTCTTCAGTTTACCAAAGATTTCACTTGGAAGCTAGTTAAAATAACTCGTTCCTTTAGTGCTTTAAAAAATACAATCCAATTTACAAAATGATGGTATATGGGCAACTTTTCTAGACTATATGAATTTCCTAAAAACGAAGTATTCAGCTTTGCCTAATGACAATTCTGCTTCTGATCTCTGATTCCAGTTTGTTTGCTGTATGGACTAAGAGATTGGCTTATTAAAACACCTCACCGAAGGCTATTTCAATGTTCTTATGTGTGGACATTTACATCTTTTATAAACTTGCGAATAGGTGCATTTACATGTGTTGGCTCTCCAGGAGAACCACGGCAAATGTATTCAAGATTCATACTGGCTTGCTTTGCAAATAGTCTACAATTTGGACAACAGGATTTAAGAAAGCCCCAGGTCTGTGTTCCAATTTTCATGTCCATTAACTGTCAGTACTGGGAAGAGGAAGGCAGAAATCACTCCTACTCAATGGAGAAGCCATTTTTTAAATTTTTCCTTCTTCAATGTCCCCAGCTTATGATAGTCCATTTGCCCAGCATAGGCTATTGGTATTTCAGTGCTTTATCTAGTTGTTGTATATGTTTCCCTCTCCTTATTCACTCACCTCTTTCATAGCTAAGAACTGTGACGGTTTCTCTACAACATGAGGTAAGTCAAACCCAATGTATTTTTATACACAGGTGGCTCAAGAGCTTTCTTCTTGGAAACGGTATTCCAGAAAAGCCATTGTGTTCTGGTTGACAGTCATTTTAGCTCTGGATCTTAATCCATGATTGCTTCCCCATTGTACAGAATATTGTTCTGGGTTATGGATAGAGTTAAAGAATAATATTTTTAATAGTTATTCATTGAATGCCTATTAAGGGCTTTCATTGAAATCCTTACAACTATTCTACAGAACAGTATTATGCCTATTTTATAGGTGAGAATGGGAAAGCTCAGAGAATTGAACATTATATTTAAAGTCAAAAGGTTTGCTAATAAATACATGTCATTTTACTGCTCAGAGTTTTAAAGGGAAAAAAACTGGGATTCTAATTTATGTAGTGGAGATGGTAAAGAGAAGTATGCAGAGGCATTAGGATAAGTGAAGTGATAGAACATTTCACATACAAGGAATAGGGCTGTTTTAGGGCTTTGAGGCAAGATTGGCTTTGGAGAGCTTGAGGACCTAAAAAGCAATCTGTAGAGCTAGTGTTTAATAAGTTTTGGGAAAGTATTCAGAGACAGACAATCCAAGTTCATAGAACACAAAAAGAACCCCAAATTGTATCCCAAATGCAATGGGCAGTTTTGAATGAGAGTTTGTTGTTGGTATTGCTGTTGTCTTGTTATTGTTGTTGTTTTAAGCAGGAATGATCAGATCGTATTGGTTGACCAAGAGCACTATGGCTGAGGTTGGATGGCAGCTGAAATGGATTCCTCGAGACTGTTACACTTAACCAGGAGAGAGAATCCACAGCTGGGCAGAAGCAGTGACAGCAGAGAAGGGGACAAGTCCTGGGTGTGGTTTGAAGTGAAATCAGGCCTTTCTGTTGTGGTGGCTAAGAGAGAGAAGGATGTCAAGGATAATTCTCATGTAACTGCCCAAGCAATCTGGCAGATATAGGTGCGTGTTACTGACTCGGAGAAATCTGGAGGTTGACTAGATGTGTGAGTATGGGAGGGTAAGGGGCGTAAGCTTTCCAAACCTGCAGCTTTATCAAACCATTTGGGGCACTTGGGTGCTCTGCTTCCCTGCACTCACAGATATTTCCCAGGGTCAGGGAGGCAGTGTCACCTGATATTTAGTGACTTAAAAGAGAAAGCACTCATGTTTGAGTCAGGAAACTTGGGTTCTGGACTTGGACTTTGGGCTTCTCTTTATTTTTCTCTGAGCCATTTATTCTTGTCCAAAGTGAGGAGTTGGCCCAAAACACTTCTATGTGCCGATTTCCCTCTAAAAGCCTGTGATTACTGATTATGACCACTGCAGGGACAGTTTTTCAAAACTGTGTCCAACGATTACATTTATATTGATTCTGTGTCCGTTGGAGTCTCGTCCTGAGACACAGGTGAAGCAGGACGCAGGGCAGTGATAATGACCAGCAGACACACAGGGTCACTCGGGTTACCCAGAGCTCAGTGCAGAGGTCAGCTCCGTCCTCTCATGTTGCCACTCAGGACCATTTGTCAGTGACTGATTGCTGTTTTCACATCCCAGGATTATCACCTGCTCTCTTTTCTACCTAAAATGTCTACACCATCGCTCTTCTCCAACTTTTCCTTTCTGGTCCTATCAGAGAAGGGAGCAGAATTCCATGGCAGAGACCATGGGCTTAGAAATTGAGCTTCACAAGTTTAAGTCCTGCTTATATCCCTTACTTGCTGTGAGCACCTCATTTCCCTCTGTGAGCTTCCAGTTTCCACATCTGTAGAATGGCCACAGTGTCGGTACCTGCTTCAGATAATTGTGGTGGGTTGGGAAGATGATAATTCACAGTGCCCAGAAGATAGTAAATATAGTAAGTGAATTATTTTCTCCTCCTCCCTGTGTTCTCCCTGCTACCCCTTGTTATCTTTCATCTCTCAAAGTGGAGCTAAGGGATCATACACTTCAGAAAAATATCTCCTGCCCTTGTCCCTTCCCAGAGAATCATGTCTGTAATTTTATCTTGCCTTAGTGTATTCTTCCCTATGCTGTCGTCTCACCCCATCTCTGCAAGAGACATCTAGAGGCCAATCATTATAGACACTTCATTAATGTGTCCCAAGCAAACGGCATACAGCAGGTATTCAATAAATTTCTGCTAGCCTTTACTGCCAAAGGGCATGTTGAAAGGAAGAATGCTGGAAGAGGTAAGGAAGACAGAGGAACAGAAGAAGGAAAAATCCCATATGTCATGCCAGCTCCTCAAAAAAGATATTATTTTAGAATGTAAAGGAAAAATAGAGTTAAAGAAGAAACCATTAAGTGGCCCAAATTGCATTACTAGTTCTCTACTCTGGGATACACAGCCATCGTTCAGTCTTTAGTATAAGCAATTCTTGATTGACTAGAAGTGTTTAGCAAAAGAAGCAAAATTTACCATGTGTATTTACAGTCTGAATGGCTCGGCTCCTCTAGCTTTGCTTACATCAAAGAAAGGGGGAAAATGCACCCAGACAGTCTAATTTCTTTAAGTCAGATGAGTCACAGAAGCAAACATTGGAAGATGTGCTACAAAATAATCAATCATCAGATAAAACTGTTTTGGATGTAGCAGATGTATAAAATAAAGTGGGACTATTTTTTAAGCTAAAAGTTTGCATATTTACAGAAGATTCTGGTAGAATAGAGAAATTTAGCCAGACCATCACTTAAAAGGAGGTGTGGTTTCAAAGCAGAAAGGCAGCTGAAAATAGCAGTCAGTTCTCTTCATCCCTTAACTCCTACCCCTATTCCTCATCCTCATGCCCAGCACCCAGTAATGATTTTTCATGATAAACACCTTTAATTTTTATTTTATTAACAATGTGGTTTCTAGAACACCTGAATATTGTATTTGGCCAATATCTGCTTTAAATATCATGTCATAAATAGAAAACATCAGTAGCAGTAGGATTAGCAGCATGCTGATCAGTTACTAGAAGGGAGGTGCCTCCCCACAGGTGACGGTCCGTATCATTACACCAATTTTGCAAGTGGAGAAATTCCTATGCTAGATGAGAAGCTGTATGGCCACGTTCACACATCTTAGACATTATGAAGTTTAGGTGTCCAGACGGAGCTTTCTCATTTCAGTGTGCTCTGGCATTTCCCAAATGTAAACTGACAAGCATCCAATCTGATGAAATGATGACATCCCATAAAATAGATGTTTAATGTCTTATAATGTATCTATTTCCTGAAGCCAATTGTATGAAAATCTATCAAACTGCCTGTCTCCAAATGTCCACATGCTGGAGCATCACCATCTTCGCATACACTCTTCTCCCTGCTTAAAACAAGCTTCCTCCTTCATGTTCTGTCTATTTCCAGTTTATTTTTCAAAAATGCCATGCTCTTAGGTGAAATACCTAATGTAGATGACAGGTTGATGGGTGCAGCAAACCACCATGGCACATGTATACCTATGTAACAAACCTTCACGTTCTACACATGTACCCCAGAAATTAAAGTATAATAACAAAAATAAAAATTTTAAAAAATCTAATTTTACTTCTTTTGTACATTATTCATATAGTAACTTGTACTAAGGGATTTATTAATGTAACTTCATATGTATGTATTTAGTCATACATGGAAATATAAATACAGATAGGCAACAGCTAAAAAAGAAAAAAACTCCATGCTCACGTGTCCTATCCTCCAGACATATTTTCCTAGCACTCCTTGTTTCTCCCTCCCCTCATCACCAGTAGGGAATTAGTATCCTTGCTTTGTGTCCTGTGCACTCTGTGCCCAATTCTGAGAGCGTACTTGACCCATCTTCATTTTTTTTTCTCAAAGACTCTTATTTCTTTAAGGGTGGAAGCCATATTTTATACGTCATTAAATCCGCAGAACCTATCTGTGATAGTTAATATTGAGTATCAAGTTGATTGAATTGAAAGAAACAAAATATTGATCCTGGGTGTGTCTGTGAGGGTGTTGCCAAAGAAGATGAGCATTTCAGTCAGTGGACTGGGAAAGGCAGACCCACCCTCAATCTGGGTGGGCACAATCTAATCAGCTGCCAGTTCAGTCAGAATAAAAGCAGGCAGAAGAATGCGGAAAGCCTAAACTGGCTAAGTCTTCTGGCCTCCATCTTTTCCCCATGCTGGATGCTTCTTGCCCTTGAACATCAGACTCCAAGTTCTTTAGCTTTTCGACTCTTAGACTTAACACCGGTGATTTGCCCAGGGCTCTTGGCCTTTGTCCACAAACTAAAGGCTGCACTATCGGCTTCATCCCTACTTTTGAGGTTTTGGGACTCGGACTTGCTTCCTGGCTCCTCAGTTTGCAGACGGCCTTTTGTGGGACTTCGTCTTGTGGTCATGTGAGTCAATACTCCTTAATAAACTCTCTTTCATATATACATCACCCTATTAGTCCTGTCGCTCTAGAGAACCCTAATACATTATCACATCCCTTAGCAAATAGACTGTTAGTGCATGTAAGAATAAAATAAGAATAATTGCTAACATTTATTTAGTGCCTACATGGGATAGGCATCATTCTAAGCAGTTTACATGTAGACTTATTTAATTCTCATAATACACATGTTGAATAGAAACTATTGGCCTGGAATGGTGGCTCTCGCCTGTAATACCAGCAGTTTGGGAGGCCGAGACAGGTGGATCACCTGAGGTCAAGAATTCAAGACCAGCCTGGCCATGATGGTGAAACCCCCATCTCTACAAAAATACAAAAATTAGCCAGGCATGAAGGTGGGTGCCTGTAATCCCAGCTACTTGAGAGGCTGAGGTGGAAGAATCATTCGAACCCGGGAAGGGGAGGTTGCAGTGAGCCGAGATCGCCCCACTGCACTCCAGCCTGGGTGATAGAGAGAAACTCCATCTGAAAAAAAAAAAAAAAGAAACTATTGACAAGGATCTTTTTTTTGCAGAGGAAAGAGAGATAAAGAAATACCTACATAAACACATATACATATACAACTTATATGTATAAACACAAATATACATCATGGATCTAGATACTTTATTGATTCATATACTTAATAACTTTCAACACTAATAAATTGGACACTTACGTAGCTGCATTGATAAACACACAATGCAGATCATAGGTGGCTCTATGCTCTCTGTGCCCTGTCATGGTCTATGCGAGAGTTTTTAGTCCTGGTGTCATATTGACATTCAAGACATTTAAGGTCCTGGAATGTGAGCCACATGATGAGATAATTTGAGGATGGACAGTTTGCAGAAGAGAATACCCTTTGTTCAAATATCTAAACAGCTGTCATGAACAAGAGCGATTAGATTCATTTTGCTTGACCCAGGAGGTGCAAAACTGAGACTAATGGATGGGAGCTTCAGGGAGGGAGAATGTTGCTCAGCCCAAGGAAGGATTTCTGGCAAGAAAGGTCTATGCCGCTAGATCTTGTGCTCCTGGGAATAGAAAGCTTTGGCTCCCTTCCAGCATGGAAACTCAGACTATATGTCCATTTACTAGGTAGTATCATATTTCACAGGATACTTCTGCTTTGAGTAAGAGAGGGTATTACAGGACCACCATGATCTCTTTTATGTATACATTTTAGTGGAAATTGTAACAAGTCTAGTTAAAATGACATATGCCTTGGAAAAAAAGTTTATTTCTACTAATGTTAAAACTACTATGACTATCACTGCCAATGCTACTATAATTACTATTAATGGTCATATGATAAATAATGTTTGCAGGGCAGCTACTGTATACTAGGTACATATTCCCTCTGCTAGTTTGCATTTTGCATATACCATGTCATTTAACCTGCACAGCAATTCTGAGTGGTTGGTGTCATCGATCTCTTTTTGCAGTTTCAGGGAACTGAGGCTCTAGGAGGTGAAGCCATCTACTCATGGTTAGCCAGATAGTAACACTCAGATCTATGTGTGTCTGGCCACAAAATCAGTTCTCTTTCTGTTTTACAGAGCCATAGGAAGAGAGGGTAGGAAGAGAGGAGAGGAGAGGAGAGGAGATGAGAGGAGAGGACATATAATAGATAATCCTAGGCTTAAGTCAGATTTATTTTGGGAAAATATGAGACTCAGTTACTGAAATATTCTAATTTTTTATATATCAAGCTATACATTACTGATTATATAGTTTGCAATTATTGATGACAGATTCACTAGTTTGATTCTTTCTTTGTTGATCTCATTCTTCCTGAGGTTGTTTCATCCTTCATAGGAAGAGCTACTACTTCACAATTGCATGAGAAGAGATCAATTTATATGTATGGCTCATACACATCTCAAAAGGAGAAATCAAGAGGGACTTAGGTATGGTAAGTTGAAGAACATGAAAAGGAATTGCAAAATCAAAAATGGTGAGGTGATTTTGGGATATCATCAGGACATCAAGAATAATGAAATTAAACATGTATCTGAAAGCAAATGATTCTAAGCAATTTTGATAGAGATAGTCTCATCCAAGTTGGATGATTTACATAACATGCCAGCCTCAGTAGTAAATAAAAATGTATGGAAAGCATAGTTTTTTATATAAGATGCACCTAGATTTTTTTGTATAAGATGCTTTCTTTACATGACATACTTTCTCCCTCTTTCTTTCTTTAAGACCTACCACTACTATGAAGCCTTTACTGAATTCGCTGGTTCCTGAGGTTTCTTCTCAAGCTTCTGTAGAAGCTATCCTCTGCACCACAACATCAGATCCTGAATCATGTGCTATCAATACTACTGGATTTTCTGTTTTTCTGTGCCTGCTTTTCTTTCCTGTGTAGGTGGACAGAAATGCACATGGGTTGCAGTATCTAGGGAAATGCCAACTGAGGGTTCTTCAGGCCTATTACAGACTAACATAACTTTGAAGAGCATAGTGAATTCCAATATCTAATCTTCATCTTTGCAAGACCAAGAATTCACTCTTGTCTGAGTCCTAGAAATGATTATTGATTCGAACATTAATTATATTTTCCTAACGTTTGAGTCGTCTCAATGTTAAGTGGAGACAATCTGGACAAAACAGAAGCTTTCTGCTCCACCTACTTGTAAGGCAATGAGGGCAATCACTCAACAGAATTCCTCCTAAGAGGAACCCTGAGAGTGTTTGGAAGAAATAAATACTATGCAGAATGGATGGTGACCATCAAGAAAAAACTTCAGCGGAAAAAGATGGCTCCCAGATTTCTTTCTCAAGGAAACCAGAGCTCCAGGAGAATGTTTTGTTTGACTGAGTACTTTGCTGGGCCAGAAGATGAAAAATTGGGACCAGGCATGGTGGCTCACTCCTGTAATCCCAGCACTTTGGGAGGCTGAGGCAGGCGGATCATGAGGTCAGGAGATCGAGACCATCCTGGCTAACACGGTAAAACCGTGTTTCTACTAAAAATACAAAAAATTAGCCAGGCGTGGTGGCGGCGGGCACCTATAGTCCCAGCTACTCAGGAGGCTGAGGCAGGAGAATGGCGTGAACCTGGGAGGCAGAGCTTGCAGTGAGCAGAGATCGCACCACTGCACTCCAGCCTGGGCGACAGAGTGAGACTACATCTCAAAAAATAATAATAATAAAATAAAATTGGAAGTCAGAGTCAAGGTAGAGCTAAACTGTATTAGGCCGTTACAGTGCACAACTCCAGGTGCCGTCACTGGCATTAAAGCCAGGAAGCAATTGTGGAAAAGGGGAATGTCTAATGGTACCTATCTCTATGAGGTAATATAAGATCTCTATTTTTCTGGCATACGCTTTCAGTAATTTTATCATGTTTGATAATTCTTTTGTGACACTGGATTGATTTTGGGTGATAGAATGTTAAAAAAGGGCTGAGTTATGAATCTGAGTTACCACAGGTGAACGCAGGTACTTTTCCTGCAGCTTACCAGCTGAAAGAAAAGAGAATATTTGGGTTTCATATGATTATGGGATACTGATGTCTAATTTGGGGGGGTTGTTAAGATACTTAAACAAAAAGAAATTATAAACTGTATGGAAATTGTAGAAGCTCGACGTGTGTTTACTATCTTCTTACAGGAAAGCCGAGTGATACGGACTACTCATAAGAAACTAAACAAGATCATCAAGTTGGTAACAATGAGGGGTGTGTGTGTGTGTGTGTGTGTGTGTGTGTGTGTGTGTGTGTGTTGGGAATTGCATGAAGAGAGCATGGCAGTTTTGGGGGAATCTCACAAACAAAGAAGGAGAGCTCAGCAGTAATTCAGATGGTCAAGGCTCTAAGCCTGATGACCTCTGTATTATTCCTACAATAGGTCTAGGCCTGTCACAGGAGAGAGGGCCATAGAGCACGTCTAGCCTCTCCTTTCCCCCATACCTTGCTAGGACACTTGTAAATCTGTTTCTCTTATCATCTGCTCCTCTCTTTTGATAGCCACACTTTTCTTCAAATATATTAATGCAAGCGGCATTGCTCTAGCTAAATCTTGCTGTTGCCAAGAAGTCATTTATCTCTTTTAGATGATTTTACGTATTTATCACTTGTTTTATTTTTTTATTTTATTTTATTTTATTTTATTTTATTTTATGGTTTTTAATCTCAGAGCTGCCTCTTCTTATTGTTGTTGCTCTGAGTTCTGGAGTCAAGAGACCAGCAACTTATTAAAACCCCAGTTCTGGACAACATAGCCAACACAAAGTGTAAATCTACTAGAAAAAATATCTTGCTTTTCTCATTGTTTGTATTCCTATAATTTCAGTCACAAAACAAGGGACAAAATAGAAGCTAAATAAACACTTGAATATTTCCTGGGGTCCTTTTGATGAAAGAATCTATATGAACACTTCATGCATTTTTTTTTTAATGACAAAAGCTTTTGCCCTGTTCTTAAAGTCTATTATTGTTGCATGCCTCTTCTTGGGTTCCAGTGAATTAAAATTTGTAGCAACTTAATCTGTCTCTCTCTAAACACATTTGTAATGCTTTGTTTTCTTTATTCAGTTGTGCTTTGTGTGTCATATATCATTACACTATGTTGCATTTCTTACAGAGAAAATCTACTGAAAGTGTCTTTTTTTTTAGAAAAGAAAAATTCTTTATTACTATGGCCTATAGCAATTAAAGCTTGAAATTAGAATTAAGTATTGTGCATTGCGATGCAGACGACCATATAGATATATTAACATTTTGGCAAGGTTTTTCTTTGCAGGCACAAAGTTGTCATTAGGAAATATAATACTCATTTTTTGCTTGATTAATCATAGCAAAAGCATAACAAAGTATATACTGTGTGTTAGAGCATGCAACATTTTGTAAAATTATGAATCATGGGCAAGCTGGGGTATGAATCCACAACATTCTGTAAGAAACTCAGAGTAAGTATGAAATTTGTTCTTTGAAGTTCTTTGACTAAAGAGAATTTATGCACTCCAAACATAAAGAAACACATCTCGAAAACACAACTCACAATCTAAAATAATTTGAGTTCTCTTCCCAGCTTTCCAAATCTACTATGGATTTACTTATATGTAACCTTGGAGGATATTCTGATAATTATATGTAATAAATAATATGTAGTACATAATATAAATATAATAATAGCTACTATTTTCTAAGGGCTTTCTTTGTGTCAGACATCATACAAATGTTCTCCATGGTTACTGATTCAATCCTTACAAGACCTTTGCAAAGTAGGTAATATTTTATTATTAGCTATTATTATAATCATTATTGAGTTAAACTTATATTCAGTGAGACACACATACTCTATCTATATAATTTCATAAATTTCTGCAAATGTATACATTTGTGTATCTGATATCTAATCAAGACAGAGAACAGTCCCATTACCTAGAAGTAGACACTATTTATAGCTCTAATTTCCTAATACATAACAATGGACTAAGAAAGGTTAAATAATTTGCCCAAAGTTACACCAGTAATAAATAGCACAGCTAATTGTCAAACTCACAATCCTCATCATGCTATATTAGGATTCCCAAGGCTTAGCTTCCACATCTATTGGCTTTCTTTTGATTTTTATATGTATAAAAGTAGAGTTTGGAACAGATTGAAAGGCTAAATGGAACTAGCTGACATCTAACAGTGTTTTTCATATTTGCTAATTATTAGACTATCTTAGCTTTGTAAGCATAGAGATATCCTCTCCATGCTTAAAATTTTAAGCTAGTAGACTGAAGTTTTGACCTATAATATGAATTATGTTTGTATG
The DNA here is from genome assembly GCF_000001405.40 of Homo sapiens. NCBI lineage: Eukaryota > Metazoa > Chordata > Mammalia > Primates > Hominidae > Homo > Homo sapiens. The sequence goes on from NC_000016.10 coordinate 65,141,667, forward strand.
TTCTCTAGTGATTCTGATAGTCACTACATATTCATTAGAATAGGCTATGTAGTACTATGGTCACAAATTAACCACAAAATATCAGAACCTTAACACAAGATTTATTTATTCACAAATCCACTGCTTGGGTGACTCTCCAGAAAAGATGTCTTCTTTGCAGTAACAATTCAAGGTGCTCTATCTTTGTGCCATTGAAATGTTTATGTCCTTGCAGCAGGTGGAGAGAAGAGTTAGCTGAAGGATGGTGCACTGGCTCTTAAATCTTAGCCAAATCCATTGGTCAGAATTCATCCCATGGGCCTGCCTCTTCAAAGGGGCTGAGAAATATGGAGGAGAACAGAGGTATTTGGAGAAGAGTGCCACAGTCAGGTTTTAAGAATCATTGAATCATTTACCTCTAAGTTTCTTTCCTTCTCGGATGTTTGTGGATCACCTGTGACACAGATAGATTTACATTTTCTGGTTTTGTAGAAAGTAATACCGCTCTGACATCTCCAAATCACCATGAAATGCTTTTCTTTGTTTTCTCTTTGACTAGCATGATGTAATATTTCCATGAAAAGCATGAAACTATTATATTGATGAGGATCTGATGGTCCTGCTACCCCTTCTGTTGGTTGTTCTTTAATTCCCTTGAGTTAACATACTGTAAATTAGCCCTAGCCAGAATGCTTTGCATTTCCACCGAATTTACTGTCAATTGGATGCCGCCATAACACCTACTGGTACATTAGAAGGCAAATGTTTTAAGCTTCTAGCCTCTAGTGGTTATGAGTTGACTATGGAGTCAGTTTGCTTGGTCTTAGATCCAAGCTTCGTCATTTACTAGGTATGTGAGTTTGGTAAGTGACTTAACCTCACTGAACTAATCTCCTCTTGAGCAAAATGGGAGTAATTATATCTTCTACCTCATGGGACTGTCATAAGTATTAAAAATGATAATCTACATTAAGTGCTTACCACAGGGTCTTACCTATGGAGAGCAACCAATAAACTTTGTCTGCTTTTTACAAAGGGATGTCTTTAAGTCTGCTGACCTGCCAATAACTAATAAAAAGAAGCTCCTCTGCCTCACCTCTCCCAGAGTAATGGATTTCACCAGTATATGCTGAGAGAGAAGGCTTTTTCTATGCCTTCAAATCAATCAATTTCAATTCATTTCCCCACCTTCTTGTAAAGCCAGTTTTGACCGTATCTTTCAACTCTAAATGATGATTTTATGAAAGTCAAAATGAAATTAGCAAAATGGTATTTTTCTGTCAATGAAAGCATAGAAGCTTTAAAAGACTGGTGAACAATAACTCACATCTCTCCTACTCTATACTACATGAAGCTGTGTGTTGTCTAACAACAGGAGTATGTTAAATCATTAAACGTAAACTTTCTTCCCCCAGAGTGGCAAGTGAGCTATTTTCAACTTTCTGTTGTGACACCATTTTTTTAGGTTGTGTCAGCACACCTATTATTAATTTACCTCTTCACAAGCTGTGTGCATCTTCTCCAAGAACGTTTATTGAGATCTCTTTTCCAACACTGTCTAGGCATTTCTCAGGATGTCTTGCATGGAATGCTAGTCTGGAATAATTATTTAAGGTATATTGCCCTTGAAAAGATACTTTCTTGCTCAAATACGAATATACTTCAGGCTCTACCTATCTTAGACACTGACAACATATATTGGCACCTCACTATACATTAGCACATCCAGAATATGTTTTTAGACATCCTAAAGTAATGTCTGTTTAACTCCGTTCTACTGATTACCTACAAAACTAATTTGGCCATGAACAACTTATTTTCACACAAAAAAGTGTGTTCCAAAGAATGATATATTTGGCAAATCATGTGCAGAATTGATGAGAGAGCTTAAGCTATGGAAGTCTCCTTGCTTCTTAGGTTTAGAAAGATAATAACAAAGAAACAATGTCTTGGTCTGATCTGATTGTATAAAGCCAATGGCCACCATAAGCACAAAACTCTAATTTGTTTGACAGGACTGGAACTGAGGAGAGCAAAGTGAAGCACTTGTAGGAGTTGCACTATTTAAGGAGGCAGCAAAAAGCTCAGTAAACAAGATAAATCATATTTTAATGCAATATTTTAAGATAAGGAAAGTAAAACTATTTTAAAAATAAAAATGCCAAATGCCATGATGAACAAAACAGCAAATTTTAAATAAAGGCAAGATGAGTATTGCTGATTTTTTTTTTGCTCCCATATGGTTCTGAACAATACTGTTACTCTTCCCTTATTTTAAAATCTTGATATTTTGTTCATCATGAATTTTTGCATTAGGTTTTGATATGTTAAAATAAAATGGTGCATTGAAATATCACTTGCCTTGATTTCTGAGTGTTTTGGGGCCCCTTCAATGTTACGACTGAGCGAGCACCTCATCACCTCCCTCCAGTTCCAGATTTGCTACTTGATCCCTGTTCAAATGTAACTGGGGATGGAAGAGCAAACTCATTTTATCTAGGGCTGAGTTCTGCACAAAGTCAGCATAGTATTGGGAGGAAATGGCACAACCATGTTCATAGCAGCCCTATTCACAATAGTTAAAAGGTGGGAGCAACCCAAATGTCTATCCACAGATGAATGAATATACACAACGTGGTGTGTACACACAATGGCATATTGTTCAGCCTTAAAAAGGAAGGAAATTGTGACACGTGCTACAACATGGATGAACCTTGAAGACATTATGCAAAATGAAATAAGCTAGTCACTAAAAAGACAAATACTGTATGATTTCATTTATATGAAGTATCAAGTATAATGAAACTCATAGAAATGACAAATATGCATGGTAGTTGCCAGGGACTGGAAGAAAGGGAAAGAGGGACTTGTTGTTTAAAGGGTATAGAGTTTCAGTTTTCACAACGATACGAACATACTAAATACTACTGATATATACACTTCAAAGTGGTTAAGATGGTAAATGTTCTGTTACGTGTATTTTATCACCATTAATTTTTTAAATTAAAATTTGAGAAAAAGGAGAAATGGCAAGAGTCAAGGACAGAGGTGCACATCATCAAAAGCAGAATTGGAAAAGGGTGCCAAAGAAGCAGAAGGCCAGGAAAGGGAGGGGAGAAAACACAGGTTGGAGGAGTAACCTGGGTGAACTCTGGTCTCCAGGCTTCTACCTGTCCTTGGAACAGGCTGCATTGAAAAGGAGGCTGAAATATGTTCACTCAACTTCAGGTGTCTTTTCTGGCTCTTCTTCTTCTCCTTCGGAGACTTTCTGGGGGAAAGATCTTTAAATGTAAGATATATTTTGGTTAGAAATCCTGTCTGTTAATGTACAGCTTCACAGTGCTGACGGGCTGCCCACGACCTGCAGCACATTTTGGATGCTTTTTTAGAAAAGCTAAGATTATTTTTCTAATAACTCTTTCATCTGCAGCATCTAGTTTTTCCATTAGGAAAACTAAAATAGCTTGTGGAATTGCTTTTTGTCCTTCTACAATAACAGATGCTGCAGCAAGCCCATCACTTTGGGACATATGTAGAATATGATGTGGTTACAATGAGAAAATTCTCTCTTCTCTCCACACCCTTTTTGCAGAAGGACACTTTGTGACATCTCCTTCATGTTTCTGGGTCACAAAATATCTTGCGTGAGTGGAACAGAGATAATATATGTCAACATATGCTGAAATAATAAATAAGATCTCTTTAAGGGCAGATAGCATCCATGAATAATTTTAACAACTCACAAAGATACTTGGCCATAATTAATTCTAGGGAAGATTTTTTTTAATGTTTTCTTTCACTGGGACACACTGGATACTGTTTTCTTGGTGGTGGGAGAGAAGTGGATAGTGAATATCAATCAGGATAGGCTGGATTAAGCAGTGATAATAAACATCCTGCAAATCCTAGTGACTGAAAAAATTGAGTGTTATTGCTCTCTCATGTTACACATCTGCTGCACAGCTATAGCAGTGTGTTCTGTCATCTTCACTCTGGGACTCATGCTAATAGAGTGCCTGTCCTCTGGTTGTCATGACCAAGATTACAAAGACCTGTGATGGACCAGGCTGCTTCTGCTCAGAAGTGACACACCACTTGGCCCACATTTCATTGGCAAATGAAATGGCCCCTTGAGTTCAACAAGGTACATCTGTATAATCTTTCTTCAGGGAGGTTCTGTGAAACAATAATAAAAATGAACTGGAATCGTTAGCAAAGAGGACTCTAATGTACAGGTGGTTGAAGAAGGGAAAGAGAGCTACTATTGCCACAATTTTCCAGGAACATTGTATACTGTTCTTGGTCAGTTGTCACTCAGTCTTGACCACAACCCTATAAAATTCATTACTCTTCTTTCTGTTTTTCTTAGGGATGAACAAGGTAAGTTCAAGCTGATGCAGTGTTATCAGTCAGGGTTCTCTAGAGGGACAGAACTAGTAGGACAGATGAATAAATCAAGGGGAGTTTATTAGGAGAATTGACTCACATGATTAGAAGGTGAAGTTCCACAATAGGCCATCTGCAAGCGGAGGAGCCAAGAAGCCAGTCTGAGTTCCAAAACCTCAGAAGTAGGAAAGCCGATAGTGCAGCCTTCAGTCTGTGGCTGAAGGCCTGAGAGCCCGTGGCAAATCACTGCTGTAAGCCCAAGAGTCCAAAAGCTGAACAACTTGGAATCTGATGTTTGAGGGCAGGAAGCATTCAGCATGGGAGCAAGATGGAGGCCAGAAGACTCAACCAGTCTGCTCTTTCCATGCCTGCTTTTATGCTGGCAGCTGATTAGATGGTGCCCACCCAGACTTAGGCTGGGTCCACTTCTCTCAGTCCACTGACTCAAATGCTAATCTCCTTTGGCAACACCCTCACAGACACACCCCAGGAACAATACTTTGTGTTCTTCAATCCAATCAAGTTCACACTCAATATTAACCATCACCCTCAGTAACCTGCCTAAGGTCATAGAGTTATTATGTTAAAGCTGGTATTTAAATTAATGCTCAATTAACTCAAAGGTCATGTTCTTCCCAAGACAACTTGGTGACTCTTACAATCACATGAGGACAAAGTGAGGCTTAAATCACCTATTATGCAACCCATTTTTTCAATGGTGATACCCAGTATGGACGTCCATGTTAATTGATGAGGTAGATAACAAGCACAGCATGTAAAGATTGATAGAACAGTTATGTTCTTCTGAAGCAGAATGGGCTGGAAAGGCTAGGTTGTTTACCCCGCCTCACGCATTTTCCACATTAAAGAGGACATGAGTCTCACTGACCGTCTTATATAGGTTATAAAACTCCTTCAATAAAAACTTTTTTTTAAATCACTATTTCTGGAGCATCCCAAATAGGACGAAAGCATGTATTTCTAGAAATGGCTGGGAGTGAAGAATTAATAAAAATAAGTTCATGAATAATACAAGAAAAGAGTTTACCAAGGCAATGCATACATATCAAAGGCAAAAGCTGGCTAAGAAACCCAGTGTTGCAATACAAGCAGGTTTAATTTTTCTAGAAGATATATAAACAATTTTAAAACTCTCACTCAGAGAACTCACCACCCGCCTCAGCCCCATTGTTTTACCCTGTCTTCCAAATATTATTTGAAATAGTAAGGCATTATTTGGCACATAAGCTTATCATGCTGTTAATGAGAAGAGTGAATTAAAAATGGAAAGAGACTAACTGTTCAAAAAATGGGCAAATGTGTAAGGAAAGTCTGACTCATCTGTTTGAAGAAAGGCTACCCCACTGTTAAAAGACTCGTTTGTGAATAGTTCAAGATAATGTGTGAGTATGGTTTGGCTTTCGTGTTCAATTAAATAATTAGAATATGAAATGGAATATATTATAAGGTCTCCACTCTGTAGGACAAATGAACAGAAAAATCAAACAATGTATTTGTTTATGTAGAAAAAGATAAGGAAATAGAAATGAATATGAAATCCACCATATGTAGCATTGGTGGTTATAGTCTGTATAACTATAGATGATTATTACATTCATTGTTTATTTATTTATGTATGTAGTAGATATTTATGGAAAGGCTATGACACGGCAGATGCAGTTCTAAGTGTGGCAGTGAATAAAACCAAGCAAACCACTTTCTTGTGCTGCTTATAATATGATGGGGAAGGACCTATGAGAAACAAATAAACATTTTACTTGGTTTAAACTCCTTTGGAGAAAACTAAATAGGATAAGGGAATACAGTGCCATGGAGGAGGAGTTATTTTGTACATGTTGGTCAAGGAAGGCTTCTCTGAAAAGAGGATATTTGAGTAGAGGCCTGACGGAATTGGGGGAGCTGGCAAGGCAGGTTAGTGGGGACAAGCATTCAGGCAGAGAGGAACCAGATGCAAAGGCCTTGGGTGTTTGCATGCTTCAAGGAACAACAGAAGCAAATGTGGCTTGAATGAAAGGAGGAAGGGGAAGGTAGTAGTAGAAGGGGTCAGAGGAGTGGTGGTTGGTGGTGGCACAATCATGTGAGACTTGAAGACAATTTCCAGGACTCTGGCTTTTTTACTGAAAGAGATACAAACTACTGGAGGATTCTGAGCCAAGGTGTGGCATGGTCTATCTTACAAAGGCCATTCTGGCTGCTGGGGGAAAGAGACTGGGAACAGGATAAGCAACTCAGAAACAAGTGAGAAATATCAGTAGCTTACTTAGACTTGGGAAAAAAACAGCAAAATAATAAGAGATGTTTGGATTTTTAATAGTTCACAGATGAATCTGAAAGGATTTGCTTATAAATTAGAGAGGCCGTATGAAAAGAAAACTCAATCACGATTCCCAAGTTTGTGCACTGAGAAACTGATGATGAAGTTGCCATTTACTAAGAGAAGAATGCAGAAGAAATGATTTAGGGGTGGGATGGGAAGAAATCCGGAGTTTGGTTTGGGATGGATTAATTGTGAGATGTTTAGTCAAATAAGCAGATAAACATATGAGTTCCACATTCAGAGGGCTGAATGAAATAACGTAAGGATTAAACGTAGTTGATAAAATGTCCAAGAGTCAGTCCTGGGCATGTCACTATTTTGAGCTGGCAGGACGAGGAGGAACCAGAAAAGGAAAATGAAAAGTGATGGCTATTGATGTAGGAAGAAAACTGAGTATTGTCCCCTAAGCCAAGTATATAAAGATGAAGGGAGTTTATGTCAATTGTTGCTGATACAATAATATCTGCAATGAGAACTAAGTAGTGACCACTGTATTTGGTAACACAGGTAACTGGGAGGGTAGTTTCAGTGGAGAGATCAGACTGAAAGGCTAATTGGAATTGGTACAAGAGAGAATAGAAAGGGGAGAAGTGAAGACATCAAGGAATTTTGCTGAAAAGGGAAACAGAGATATTGGGCAATAGTTTAAAGAAGTTATGGAATAAAGAGAGAGCTTTTGATAAGATAGGAGGTAGGAAATATTGCAATTTCTTTTGAAACAGGGTCTTGCTGTGTCACCCAGGCTGGAGTGCAGTGATGCCATCATGTCTCACTGTGTACTTGGGATAGGCATGAGCCACCACACCCACCTACAATGTCCTTGAATAATAATGGGAATAATAAGTAAGTAGGGGAAACTTGATAATGCAGGAAAGAGAGAAGATAGCAAAAGAGATGTCCTTGGTTAGATGAGAGAGGGCCCAGGGCACATTGCAGAAGTGGGCCTTTGAAGCAATGTGGGTTCATTCATCCTAAGAGAGGAAAAGACACAGCTTGTGGACATGAATGCAGAAACTTTGCTGTATTTGGTGATAGATGCAGGTGGAACTTTTGGTATAGCTTCTATTTTCTCAGTGAATTAAGAGGAATTATGTTCTCTTCCCAAGTTGCATAGAAATAAATCACAGAGCCCTCTGGATTCCAGATTCCAAAGTCTGTTCTTTCCATGACAGCACAATGGTCTAGCCTAGCCTCTGTCAGGGTAAAAACTTAAAATTCATCTAAATTGTAGAAATCCACATTAAGTGTTAATATTCTTAAGAGAGGGCTCACCCTCTATTTAGCAAATCTTATATTGGAACTACTCTATTGGCCAGAGGCATCATTGAACTTTTCCACATAGAACTTTTCCACAATAGAAATCCCTTTGCTGATTTTTTTGTTTCCAAAGTCCAAAGTTAATAATAATAGCAATATCCATATCAAGATTACAAAATCATTATTAGCAGTACAATTTTACAAATAAGTAAATTAAAGTTCAGCCAGATTAAGGAACTTGGTCATCTTTGTACCCTCCACTCCTAGCATGGTTCACTGAGTTTTTGGTAGATCACTTATCTTCCTCATACAGCAGCTTAAATTACATGAATTTTTATTACCTAGCCAGTTTTCAGTTGCAACAAAGGGAAAACCCATCTAAAATGGTTTAAATTGTAATCCTGCTGTTTCAAGTTCAAGACAGGTTAATTCAATGACTCAACACCATCCCAAAGGGCTGTTTCACCAGCTTCACATTTTGCCACCCTAAAATCGTAGCTTGTCCAAATAAGGCAGCCTGACAGATGCCACTGACACTCTTTGGAGGCTGAATCAAGGGAACATTTCTGTTTTGTGTCTCTTTAAAATCAAGGAAAACCTTCCCAGAATCTCTCCCTGATCCCAACTGTAGACTCAGCTAGATTTTTTATCTACATCCTTCTCCTCCTTTTTGTCTCTCTCTTCTCCCCCTTCTCTCTCTCTCTCACTCTCTCTGAGATTCACTTTTTCCTGAGTACCCTAGTAGCTAATGCTAATTATGTAAAGCTTGATTCTCATACAACAGCTTAAATTATCCCGTAAAAAGCTATATTTAAAAATTATAGTCCTGAGTATAGTCCAGGATGATGTTCCTATACTATAGGATTTGTCTGGGGTCAACACTTGTTAAGGACTTTATTGATCTGGGTTGAAAATTAATTGTTTTATCAAGTCATTAAGAAATATATTCTATAATGTTATGAATTTACTTATGAAACTTTAAATCAGCTTTGCAGAAGTTAAGGAATCCATCACCAGCCCTATAATTTACCTAATGATAATTCCACATCAATAGGACAAAGCATGACCTGTTAGAAGTCAAAGTCATGTCTCTCTTTTAAAAAAACATGAAATAAAAAATCTACTGAATGGGAACCATACCAGGTATTGTATTCATAAACCAAAGGTCTTAAAATAGCCTTCAGGCTCTACCTGATGGGAAACCCCCCTGTTCTGCTACTTCTCTGACCTCACCTGCTACAACTGTGCTCACTCACATCTGGCTTCAGCAGCTCTGCTCTTGTTGGTGTTGCTTTCACAAGGGACATCATACACTCATGTTTCATGTCTTTGGCAATCACTGCTCCTTTGTCTGGGATTAGTATCACTTTATTTTGATGCCTTTCTTGACCCACCATTTATGAAATAGCTACCCTGCCTCCTAACCTTTAAGACTTCCTTTTCCACTTCCTGGGTTATTTTTTCCCACAGCACTTAATAGCACCAGGCACATTATATATTTATTTGTAAATCTGTATTTGTCTTTTTCCCTCTACCAGACAGTAAGCTCCAAGAGACCACAGTATTTTTTTTTGTATTTTTTTCCTTGCAATAGTCCAATTACTCCGAACAATGGCTAGCATGTAGTAGGCAATCAGTGCTTCCAGAATAAACAAACATTGTAATTCCTGCATTCAAGAGGCTTCCAACTTATTGGAAAAGTAATGCAAACCCAACAACCAACAACCCAACCAACCCACCCAATAGCCATCTGACCACCCACCAAATGGGTTTCATGGTACTCAGCATGAGACTTGACAACAACACCCAACAGAGTCAGAAAGCCTGAGATCCATGCCTAGATCCACTCACTAGGCCTGATGAGTTTAGAAAGGCTTTTTTTTTTTTTTTTTTTTTTGACAGAGTTTTGCTCTGTCATCCAGGCTGGAGTGCAGCAGTGAGATCTTGGCTTCGCTTCACTGCAACCTCCGCCTCCTGTATTTAAGCGATTTTCCTGCCTCAGCCTCTCAAGTAGCTAGGATTACAGGCACACACCAGCACGCCCAGCTAATTTTTGTACTTTTAGTAGAGATGGATTTTCACCATGTTGGCCAGGCTGGTCTCGAACTCCCAACCTCAGGTGATCCACACACCTTGGCCTCCCAAAGTGCTGGGAGTACAGGCCTGAGCCACTGCGCTTGTATAGAGAATAGTGGTAAATTATCTGCTCCTCTATTTCTTTATCAGTGAGATAGACTTAATACTATCTCAATTGATGGTTTTGAGAGATTAAATAATCTCTGGAAAACACTTTACACTGCGGCAGACATTTAAAGTGCTCATTTGACCCTTGAACAACATAGGGTTTGAACTGTGAGAATCCAGTTAGACGTGGTTTTTCTTCTGTCTCTACCACCTCTGAGACAGCAAGATCATCTCCTCATAATCCTCCTCCTCCTCCTCCTCCTCAGCCTACTCAATGTGAACATAATGAGCATGAAGATCTTCATGATCATTCACTTCCACTTAATGAATAGTAAGTATATTTTATCTTCCTTCTGATTTTCTTAATAATATTTTATTTTCTCTAGCTTGCTTTATTCTCTAGCTTGCTTTATTTCTCTAGCTTGCTATATTGCTATATGTATATAATATATATAACATACAAAATATTTGTTAATTGACTTTTTATGTTATTGGTAAGGCTTCCAGTCAATAGTAGGCTATTAGCAGTTACATTTTGGGAAAGTCAAAAGTTATACATGGATTTTCAACTGTGTGGGGCTCGGCGCCCCAACCCGTTGTGTTGTTCAAGGGTCTACTGTAAATGTACAATTTTATTATATATAAAAAAGGGCGAGATTTGATAAAGGCACAGATGAGCTCTGCCTGGGGAATTCAGGAAAACAAAGATAAGATAAGCCAGAAACCCAGGTGCTCTGTGGAAACTTATTGATAATTGACAAAAGAGTGGGGGTTGTGAATGTTTTAGTTCCTTAAAACTTTTACCTATAGAGAGGCACACCATTGTTCTCCTTTGTCTCTGATCATCAGTCCATATTAAAATTGAAGAGATTGGTGTCGGAATGAAATCAGTACCTGGGTGCTAAAACGCTGACAAGCCGGAGGTGCCTGATGAAATACATGTTGACTTATTTCCTACTACAGTATCTCTCTTGTTTCACAGGCTACTGAGCAAAACCAGGGAAGTTCAAATACATAATTCAACTCAAATATATTATATAATTAAGTATAACAGTTTTGTCATCCTATTTCATATAATTTCCAAAATACCAACATGTCTATATAATTTTAATTTCTTTTGCTTTCAAATTAGAGAATATGATGCCTTCTTCTGCCTAATTGTACATACATAATATGTAAATTATTAGACTATAATTTGCACAGAGTAGGTGCACAGAGAACATTAGGGTTCAAAACTATAAACTGACATGGCAATTTGTTTTTGCAAATAATATACAACTTGTGTCAAAGGAGGAAAAAATACACACAGTATTTCACTAAATAACAATTATCTAGGAAATGTTGAGTTGTTATTATTCTCTATTAGTTCTACTTGCATTCATGTTAAATGAATAAAGCTGAATTAAAAGGTGACATTTGGGCTATTTCCTAAAAAATGTGATTTCTCAGTCTTTAAATACATTTCCTTGGCTCATGTTTTCATCTAGGCAACACTGCTACTTTAATGTTATTTAAAATTAAATTTGTTCTTTGGTTCGTTACAATGCTTAGCAAGTTAATAAGTTTATAAATCATAATTAACTACAACTTTCTGTTCTGTTGCCCTTCTGAATTGCTTTCTTTTTGATTTTTTTTTCCCTATGTAATTTGCTGCATGCATACTTTATTTTAAAATGGGTAGACTTCATTTTTATGGTGTGATGGGCTTGGCTTAACTGGAAATGTGTAACCATGTCATGAGTGAAACACATGTGAGTGTGTGAATGCACATGTTTGCACATGTGTGAACATAAATGTGTACATAAATGCTTAACTGACTTCCAGGGAGCATCATTTTTTTGTACAGGTGCTCCCCCACTTGCTGGGTGCAATTTCTGAAACATGTTGATTCCAGTATTCCATCAGGGACTCCTTATTTCTGTACAATAAAGGGAAGTCAAATAAAGTATAATGAATTTTCAAACACTTCAGAAAAGCTTTAAAATGTTCAAAGAGAGAGTCAAAAAGCCTCACTCATTAGGATTCTACTTGAGGAATGTGGGTGAGCTTCATTAGAGTGTGGAACCACAGGGGGCAGAAAGGATTCCTGCAAATGCCTTTTTCTTCATTGTATCATATCACAGATCTCCCCTAGTGGCTTATTTAGAATGAACTGTGATTTTAGCAACACAGGGTGCAGAGGTAAGTGGTAATAATTAAGAGAGCACAGGCCTAACTGTGAAATCCTTTCCCACCCCTCTGGCCAACTGCATCCTCACAAGCATTCTTGATCACCTGTATGTCAATGTACACACGTGCTTATCCATGTTGTTCTTAAACTTAAGGCATTTATATTTTCCCCTAAACCTCTACCTTTTTCTCAACTAGTTGTTACAGGTTTCTTTGTTGTCTTCTTTTCACTGTCATGCAAATATTGTAAGTTTTATGCCAATGCCAAAAAATGTTAACAGTTTTATATGTTGTCCAATACATGTAGTTGATTTCAGGCTGTCTTTGCTATTCTCTTATATTTTTCACAAGCACTGTTTTCCCCTCTGTAAGATGTGAGGATAGACGCCCCTCCTTCCCTCCAGCCTTTTCTCTAGTTGCTAAGTCTCACATTCAGTTCTTGGTTGATTGAGCAGCCTCGTCTGGGGCATTTCCACAGCATGAGGTCATCCTCTGTAGTGATCTCTTAATTGATGCCACTACAAATCTACAGCCTCCAGCATTCCCTTCGCCCCTGCAGAGCTGAAGGTCACACATCTCCCACCTCTGGATGGCCAGGCCAGGTCAGTACCCAGAACAGCTCCTTGTGTGCCTACATTTACAGATAAAGACCTTTAAAATAAAATGTACTATGCTGACCCTTTTTGGCCCTGAAAGAACTCCACTAGATTTTACCTTCTCCCTATGATCTCTGGTCTGGTAGAGTTGGTTTTCACCCTAATAACTCCACACGTAGATACTCATCTTCGAAACCCTTATAACCGAGAATTCACTCGAATACTCTAACTTTCCCACTCCACACTTTCCTCGTGACATAGAACCCCTTCTTGTCTGCATATTATAAAGTGCGCCTCCAGCTGAATCCCTGATGATACCAATTATAAAACTGGCTCAAAATATTTTTTGTGCAAAGTGGAAACAATTTAACATTGTAGACCCAGGGAAATATCAGATAAATGGTGTTATAGATGAGCAGGCAATAACACAAACCCAACACTTACTTGCCTAGAAAATTATTTCTTCTGAAGTAGTCTATTATGCTAACACTGAGGTAGAGAGTACCTGCATTCTGATGTTAGCTCTCTCTCGAATCTTCAATAAATAATTTTAGATACATCTCTCTTCATTGAAATTTAATTTTCACATTTTTAAAAGAAGGAAACTTTTTTAAAAAAAGAATTTCCTAGCTCTTATATGATATGGAGGACCTGCCATCTTCCATTGCCAAGGCATGGTGCAGAATAGAGAAGAATTCATCACTATTTGTATAACCCACCACATCACATCTCAAGGTTGATGTGACAGTTGGAGATAATGAAGTATAAAGTGCTTACAAACATAATAGATGTTCAATAGATTTTAGTTTTATCACACACGAGCATATAATCTATTTGTATTAATATAGTAAAGCACATCATAAATTAAATGCCTACATAAAGTCATAATAGAATACATTAAATATCTATTTTTTACTATATTTATTTTTAAATAACATTAAACTTTTTCTTCCCTCCAGAGACAGGATGGAGGAGGTAACTTCTTTGAAGCCTGTATTAGGTAGGTTACATTATGTTCTGCTAAGAAAATGCCCCCAAATCTCAATAGTTTGTGATGGCCAAGGATTATTGTCATCCAGTTTACATGACTCTCATGTGTTGGATGTGGCCTGTATCACGTTATTTTTATGCTAGAACTCAAGCTGAGGGAGAAGTTTCTGTTGGGAATATTGTCATGCTTATGCCTGAGGGTCCATGTACCTTGGGACTACACGATGATGAAGTTTCTGCTGAAACGCGCTTATGTCCTTTCAGCTCGTATTTCATTCACCATGCAAGTCACTTGGTTAAACAATGTGCTACATTTCTTGCTGAGAATTCATTATTTATATATATATATTTATGGGATACATCCAAATGTATCAAGAAATGTATTTACATTTATTTATAACAAAATTAATGAAGCATCTGTCAATAAGATTTTAACTTATTGTTACCTGAAACTTGAAAAAAAAACCCTTAAAACCTGATTTATAAATTTATCAAGATGCTAAAATTAGACTTTTTTTCAGAATGGGAGAGAAAAAAAAATGAACAATTTTCTACTTTTTTTTCCTAGCACAAAGCACAATTTACTAAAGACATCAATATAAATTTGACATTGCAGTGACCTACAAAATAAAAGCAGTCAGGATCCAGCCTAGACAACCTACCAGGAAAAATTGTGTGTGTGTGTGTGTGTGTGTGTGTGTGTGCGTGCGTGTGTGTGTGTGTGCATATGTATGTGTTCATTCTATGAAATTGACTATGATAGCTTCAAGGAAACACACAGAGGTGAGACAAAAGAGAGATTACCAGAGAATAAAAACATATAGTACAAAGAATGTTAATTGGAGTGTTATTTAAAACACCATCTTATAAAATCTCAATGAATCCTAATGAATCAGAGGATTTATTTGAGCCTAATAATGACTAAGTACTTTATAGAATAAAATTGAGGGAGATTAGAATACAAAAAAAATTAAAGGGTCCATCTTGAGCTTAAAAGTCAGGAAATAAAGAAGCATTGCATGTCAGGTCAGTGGAGAACTTGAAAATTTGTTCTGATTTCACTAACATATTTAACTCTCTCCAAAGCTGAGTCTTTGTTTCATAGTCAAGTCATTAGATTCCACCTTTGGCAATATTTTCTCTGCTCCCAGCTCTGCATTCTGTTATTTATTTCCCTTTCTGCCACAGAGAAATGGGGACTTAATAAAAGCATATTTTATTTCCAATCTGCTATTTCATGGTTCTTGCCCTGATAATCATTACTTTTCTTTATTGCAAAACAATTTCTTTCTTAAAAGACATGTATCTGGAATGACCATATTTATGTGCTGGCTGTTCCCTAAATGATAGCAAATGTCCCTTTATCTTTACCAGCTCTTCTGTGTGGGCTGGGGACCAGGGTGGATTGAATGATTGATGGGCTTTATTGGTGAGGGAGGCCCCTAGTTTGACTCCCTTAGGCCAGAACTGAACAGCATAAGCAAAGTGGAGGGTTGATAAATACTCAAATATTTTTGCCCAAGTTACCCTTGAAGCTTCACAACTCTAAACAGATCTGAGGACAGAGGAAATATACTGATATGATTCCACAGAACCCAAATCAAGTTCATAGTCCCATTCCCCTCTGAAGCAGCATAAAGCCCTCCTTTGCCATCTCCTATGGAAAACGCTTGTGGTAAATATCAAGAAACTTGGGGTCAAGTCAAGATTCTGCTATAAAACCCCTGTAACATCAGTTTCCCCACGTGTAAAATGTGGCTTCACTTTTTCATCTGATCACTGCCAAATTAATGATGATCATGTCAGCCAGCTTTCATGAATGAATGAATGTATAAGGGAATCGAGAACAGAAAGGTTTAATAATCTGTCCTCAGGTCTATAGATAGCATGTGACTGAGCCAAAGTTCCAAACAATTTTGGGCGCCACCATACACAATGCTGTCTCTCTAGGGATTTTGACAAGAAATGTTGCACCAAAAGGTTGGAAGTGAAAAGAGGAAGACTTCTGCCTGCCCACGTCATGAAATTTTCTTCTCTAAATTTTTGCTTTTTTATTATTCCTTGAACAATCCTTAATTCACCCTGTCTATGCACATAGTATAATAGTTTAACTTATGCTCAACTTCTTTTCCTTTTATTTGTCCTGGTGCACCCTTAGCTGGTCATCCAGTGACATCTTACCTTCATTATCACTGCTGTGTCCTTAAACTTTCCATCCAAGCAGATGGAAATTTCCATCCATGCAGATGGAACATAACAAGAGACAGCCAAAATACAAACAGAATCACATCTCAAGAATTGCCCATGGGAAGAAGATGGAAGTCACATCAGATCATCTTGGACTTACATTTCATTCTCCTATATTTTTTATTCCTATGGACATAGACACACAAATATAGGTTAGGAACCCCACTTAAGAGAAGCCTTGAGTTTTTATATATTTTTTCACACCTCTGGCCAAACCTTCTCCTGATCACCTTACCTTGTGAATCAACCAGGAGTCTCTCTCCCTTTCTACAACATGCAATGAATCCCAAAGCAGGAACAACAACCACAGAAATTAACTGTGAACTGTGCTTCTTTTTATGTTCTGTTGGCAAGGCTAAAGTGCAAAGCTCTATACCTTGCTTAGAGTTATAACAACAAGAAGGCCTAGGAAGCCTGGATCCCTGCTTTGAAAATCAAGACTTATCTACGTCAAGTACTTTATTACATCTAGTTAAGAATACTTCCCTGGCTGGGCACAGTGGCTCACGCCTGTAATCTCAACACTTTGGGAGGCCGAGCCGGCTGGATCACTTGAGGTCAGGGGTTCGTGACCAGCCTGGCCAACAGAGTGAAACCCTGTCTCTTCTAACAATACAAAAATTAGCCAGGTGTGGTGGTGCATGCCTGTAATCCCAGCTACTCAGGAGGCCTAGGCAGGGGAATGGCTTGAACCTGGGAGGCGGAGGTTGCAATAAGCCGAGATCGTGCCACTGCACTCCAGCCTGGGTGACAGAGCAAGACTCCATCTCAAACAAAGAAACAAACAAAAAAAGAATACTTCCCTAATTAATGAAAGTAATTTTGGCTCCTGTGATAATATTGAATTAGCAAACTATCCAGCCCATCAAACTTACTTCTTTCACTGAGTTGCATCTTTCCATGAGTAACCTTGCTCTGCCTCACACCCAGTGCCCTTAGAATTCTAAGAGTCATCTTACCTTTACTGTATCCAGCATATAGCAAATATATTCAACAATAAGGATAAATGGTGAGGGGAGGGGGACCTCAGCACCCTCCTCCCCTCACTATTTATCCTTATTATTTTTCAAACAGCCTCAAGGAGCCTCAAGGAGCCACACACTTTAAGACCCTTACTTGACATATTGTTCTAGTCATCTTCAAGTTGCCATGTTGTCACCAGAATGGTGTCCTTAAAAATATATCTGTAGAATGATACTTTCCAAAGTCTGCAAATGGGTGGAGGGATGAAGAGAGGTAGGTTAATGAGTACAAACATAGAGTTAAATAAAAGGAATAAGTTCTAGTGTTTGATGGCACTGTAGGGTGACTCTAGTTAACAATGTTATGTTATATATTTAAAAATAGCTAGATGTGAAGATTTAAAATGTTCCCAACACCAATAAATGATAAACATTGAAGGTGATAGATGCTCTAAACTTCCTGATTTGATCATTACACATTGTACGCATGTATCAAAATATCACATGTACCCCATACAAATGTATAATTATTATATATATCAATAAATTTGTTTTGAATATGATTATTTTCCTTGTTTTTTGCAAACTCCAAGTGGATAGTTCACCTCCCCAGCCTTATCCTTGTCATTCACCCATTGGTACCCTCCACCCCAAGACCAAGTCCCTGAAAGTAGCCTCTCAGCACAATGCTGCCTTCTACTTGCCAGCCTATGATCTTGCTATTGCAGCAACCTGGCATAGCTTCCCTGCTTTATCTAGCGAGGAGGTCCCTACTTGTCTCCAGCTTTCAGCTCATGCCATCTCCTTTGTGAGGTGAGATATATATATAAAACATCAGATAAAATGGCACACTTGTAACCTTTCCATGTACTCTAACATGGCACCTCTACCATCACATTGAATTTATTTGTACAAGATTTGGTTTCCTCCATTATACTGTGGTTTTCTTGGCATCATGCCTCATCTTAATTTGTATCTTTAGTGTCCAACACAGGGTCTGGTATTTAGAAAGTATCAAATAAATATTTGTGGAATAAATCAACAGAAGCACAACTCATTTTCCTCATTTCCTGTCATCTGCCTCAGAACAACCCTTTCAGATACTCTAAAAAATTATTTCCATTGTCTTAGATTCTGCAATAACTCAGACATCCTGTCTATAACACTTATTAATCATAATAACTTTGAAATAATTTCTCTGTGCAAATATTCAGGGGCTCATCCATAACTAAGTGAAATACAGCCTGAAATAATCAATCATTATTTTCTAAACCAAAGATCCTGTAATTAAGGAGTCTATCAATGTGCCAACAACTTATGGGTCTAGGCATTAATTTTTGTTTGTTAAAGGACCTTAAAGATAATGTAATATGAGCCCATTGTGAAATGGATTAATAAATTGCTTGTCTCATTTCACTTGTTCATTTCTATATAAATTCTGCAAGAAAGAAGGAAAGTTGTGCAGTTTTATTTCTTTAAAAATTTGACATGATGCACACTTTCTTGCAAAATCAGAGGAATCATCATGGTATTTGTCAACTGTGTGGAAGGTGGAAGTGAACACCTGCACACTATGTCACATGATATAGATAATTTCTTTTTATCCTTTGTTGAGTTTATTCTTCAACAAATACGGACTAAATGCCCTCTTTATGGCATGCACACATTGCTATTGCTTTTTTGGAGATGATACAAACTGAAGCCTGGAGGCTGGGTCTGAGTTACCCTAGGCTTCTCATTCAGTAACAGGCAGCATCAGAATCAGAACTCAGGTTTGACTCCAGGGCCCATGTCCATTCTTTCACACCTTCAGTCGTTATGCATTTGATTCTAAGGCCCTATGTGATATATTGCTCGATGCTTTTTCTTTGAAGCAGTTAAAGGCAAGTTGAAGGAAATCCCACAGAGGCCAACACTCTTATGAAAAGATCCACTTGACACATAACTAAAGCATCTGAGCTGAAACAGGACTTGGCAATCATCTGCTTGATCTCTTTCATTTGAAAGATGAATTAAATCCATTTAAAGATGAATGAACAAACATTCAATGTGTATCTTCTATAGCCCATTCATTTATTTTATTTGCTCAACCAATATTCATGGAACACCTACTATATGAGACACAGTGCTAAACAGGGGTTAAAATATTAAACAAGGCCAGGCACTGTGGCTCACGCCTGTAATCCCAGGACTTTGGGAGGCCGAGATGTGCAGATCACCTCAGGTCAGGAGCTCAAGACCAGCCTGGCCAACGTGGTGAAACCTTGTCTCTACAAAAATACAAAAATTAGCTGGGCATGATGGCGGGTTCCTGTAATCCTAGCCACTTGGGAGGCTGAGGCGGGAGAATCGCTTGAACCCGGGAGGCAGAAGTTGCAGGGAGCAGAGATCACACTGTTGCACTCCAGCCCGGGTGACACAGTGAGATTCCATCTCAAAAACAAACAAACAAACATTAAACAAGACAGACTTGCTTTTAAGTGCTCATGGAACTCAAAATTTTCATCAGAGTAATGGGATGAGACAAAGTTACACGGAAACCCCCTGAGTTACTGTAAATGTAGGGCCCTTGCAAGTCCACCCTCACCCACCTTATCTGAGTGACAAGGTCCTTTAGCACATGCATGCATCTATTGTTTGTGGATGTAAGGTTAAACACCCATTGCCTCTCCTAGACTTCAAGCTCCCTGAGGTCAAGAACGTCTTGCTGATGAGGGAACATCAGGAACTCCTTGTGTTCTCAATATGTTGACAAAATGAATGAATAAATGAAAACATTTGCCATTCATTTTGGTGGAAAGCGAGTTTCCTTCTCAATGCTAAGTTACATGAATTGAACATTAATGACAGTATCAGCAAAAATGAGGGATTTTATGCAGAGAGTGACAAGGGCTTTGATATAAGGGACTCACCAGCTGAATGCAGACCAATGTGGAGAGGAACAAATAGAAGCAAATCAGCAGAACTCAGGCAACACAAGAAAAGGTAAGTTCAAAAGAAACTTCAGTGGATACAATTGTCCCTGACAGTGCTGGCTGATGGAGTTGAATAGTTTTCTGATGAATAGGGAGTTAGAAGTTTGTATCAAGAATATAATCAGGATCTCTTTTGGGTTGCTTTACATAATTACACTTGAGATAATGATACAGTAAACTGTATGTAGTTCTCACCCCGACAGTCTTTATCTACTCAATCAACAAATATTTTAAAATTGTTTACTGCCTGTTAAACACTAGTATATATTAACAGCAGTGCTTCTGAGTAATGGATTAAGTAATTTTTGACTGAATATTTTACTGTTGCTGCACATATCTGAATAAAGCAATCTCTCCAGATATTGTTGGAGATGGGCATATGTATTTTGAGGACTTTAGCTGACAACTGGAGCCCAGATTGAACAAAACTAGTTAAGTCACCTTGCTTTCAGAATGTTACCTTTGGACAAACCCTGTATCTTGTGCGGGTGTGCCAGATGTTACCGTTTCTCATTTAATCTTGACATCATTTCTCCCTATGACGGCCAGATTTATCTTCCAAAATTCATTTGCATTTTAAAACCAAGCTTTTATTTCTGAACATAAAAATGAGATGTTCACTACATAAACTTTGGAAAGTACAGAAAACTTCACAAAAAGAGAAAATTGTTGCTTATAGATTACTATATGTCCAGGTGATTTCCTTTTTTTTTTTTAATGTAACAGATTTCTCAAAACAGATCTTAGTATCCTTGTATTAATTTAATTATTTATTTTGGTTCTATAATAACTTCCTTTTATTTATGTTTTTAAATGGACAGTGAAGATTGTATGCATTTACTGTGTACAACATATTGTTTTGAAGTTTACAGACATTGTAGAAAGACTAAATCTAGCTAATTAACATATAATTAATAAGCATTTCTACATGTTCACGTCATTTTTAAAATGACTATACATAATAAAGACACTATACTTATTAAGCACTTCCTACTTGCTAGAAACTATTCTAAGAGGCTGAAATTTGCTAATTTTTCAATCCCTAAGACAAAGCTGTGAAATAGGTTTTTCATTTTATTATGAAATTAGCTTCATTTTACAGATGGAAGAATTAAAGCCATGAAAGTATCAATAAGTTGCTCATTTGGGAGGCTGAGATGGGCGGATCACGTGGTCATGAGTTCCAGTCCCACCTAGCCAATATGGTGAAAAACCCGTCTCTACTAATAATACAAAAATTAGCCAGGCATGGTGTCGTTCGCCTGTAGTCCCAGCTACTCGGGAGGCTGAGGCAGGAGAATCAATTGAACCCAGGAGGTGGAGGTTGCAGTGAGTCGAGATCGCACCGCTGCACTCCGGCCTCGTGACAGAGCGAGACTCCGTCTCAAAAATAAATTAATAAAATAAAATATAAGTTGCTCATGGTCACACAGCTCATTGAAGGTACAGCCAGACTATGAATCCAGATAACACAACTGAGAGTTTACATCTTAACCACTAGGACTCATTGCCTTCTATGTGCACTAGCCTATGACACTGATAAACCCTAATTGTGCAAAATGTGTGCATAGTTTTTTTAAAAGAAATCACATAGGTCTATGAGTAACAAAATTCAGTAAACCTTCCTCAATCTGGCATTTTTCTCCCAGAAACAACTGTTCACAAATCTCTTAATTGTTTTCAATTATTCTATTCACCTTTCTATTTCTAAATAATATGCTAATGCTTATTTTCTTTTTTTATCTTTAGATATCATCTATCAATTTTCTAGCATGAAGATGAGGTTCAGTTCTTTCATACTCACTGTCCCTTGTCAAACATTCTCTCTTTCTCTCTTCTTTCTCTTCCCTCTTCCCGAGCCCTCTCCTTTCTCTCTTTCTCTGATTTCCTAAAAATATAATATTTTGTGTAAGTCAACATTCAGTGTTTATTATGTTTACTTTTGAATGCATATACACAGTGTTTATAACTATCACAATATATGATAAATGTACTTCCTTTCTTGAAAAATACTCTCCCCCCAGAAATAATAGTTGCCTGGTAAAATTTTGAGGGAATTGTCATTTAATTTTTTGCCTCTTTATCAATGATACATCTCCTGAATCTCTGACAAAATGGCAAAATCTCCTCTCGACATGGTCTAGACCATCAGTTCCATTTTCTTTTCTGGAAGACAGCCTCACTGAAGCCTCCATCCTGCTCCAATATGGACTGGTTGCTCTCAAAGTTCTCTATACAACTGTGGTTTGAGACATCTCTTCACCTTCAGACTGGATATTCCCTTTGCCTCTCTCCTGTTAAGTGTCTGTCATCTCCTCTATGTCAAGTCTTCATCTTTCTTGACTCACTCTTTCATGCTGGTGGTATATCTCTTCCAGAGGCTTCATGAGATGGTGCATGGTACATCTAATATTTTAAGATTGCATGTCTAAAAATATCGTCTTAAAACTCTCTCACACTTGGTTGCTGGTTTGCTTGGATATAGGATATTAGGTTGAAAATAATTTTACCTTAAAGTTGTGAAAGTATTTCTTCAGGTCTTAAAGATTTAGCTGCTGCTGAGTTATTATTCCAAATTCCTTCTGTGCTCCTTTTCCCCCTCTCTGTAATCTTTTGGGATTATTTCTTTAGCCTCATATTATGAAATCTCAGGATGACATCTCTTGTATTCATTTCCCATTAAATATGCTGGGCACTCAATATAGCTTTATATCGGAAATAAGTCAGTTAGTCATGAAACATTTTCTTAATAATTTCTTTAATAATTTTTCCATTTCATTTTTACTATTAATTCTTCTTAAAACATCTACACATTAAATATTAAACTGTGGAAAAGAACCTCTATTTGTGTCTTTTCTCCCCCTTTCCTCTGAGGGATCCTTAACTCTTCCAGTCCTTCTAATTTTACTTCTGATGTGGTATTTTTAATACAAGATATTTTTCCCATTTATATATATTCCTTTTCTGTAACATTTATTTCATGAATTCATTATCTGCTCTGATCTCCCTGATGATATAAATAAGGAATTCTTCACTCACAGCATTTTTCTGTTTGCTTCAAGTGCACTATTTTCCCCCTACATATGTCTATTTATCTGGTGTCCGTCATTCTTGTTCGTGATGTCACTAAAGTGGTGATGTTCACTGACAGTCATTCACATCTTAAAATGAGAACCAGAGGGCTGATTAAAAGTTTCACGTACTGGGGGGAGATTAATTTATGAAAGCCATTGTATGGGTGATAAGGTAGAAATACAGCTGTTTCGTTGAGAGGATTTCAAATGTCAAAATCTATTTTTATTGTGTTGTGTTGTGTTGTACTGTATTGTATTGTATAGGATTGGATTGTATCCTATCCTATCTATCCATCTATTCACTCATCTATCCATCTATTTATTTACTTTTTTTCTATTTCTCTTGAGCTGGTCAGTTTTTCTAGTCAAAAAATAAACTCAGCCAGGTGCAGTGACTCACACCTGTAATCCCAATAGTTTGGGAGGCCGAGGCAGGTGCATCACCTGAGGTCAAGAGTTTGAGACCACCCTGGCCAACATGGTGAAACCCTGTCTCTACAAAAAATACAAAAAATTAGCCAGGTGTGGAGGCCTGTGCCTGTAGTCCCAGCTACTCTGGAGGCTGAGACACGAGAATCACTTGAACCTGGGAGGTGGAGGTTGCAGTGAGACAAGATCATGCCATTGCCCTCCAGCCTGGGTGACAGAATGAGACTCTGTCACAAAACAACAACAACAACAAAACAAATAAACAAACAACAACCAAAAAAACCCACCTCATATCTCCAAGAATTCTAAGATTGCTTATCAAAATTATAGGAGCCAAGTGAGGAAAGGGGGTTGGAGGTGGCGTCTCACCTCTCAAGTCTGTAGAGATTCACTTACTCTCTTCCTTTTTGGTATGATGCCTCATTTATATCCTTATCTGTGCCTGGTAGCCCAAGGCTGGAGTTTCTGGTTCATTTTCTCTAGGTATCAAACTTACAGTCTTCCACTGAAGTTGGTAAGTGTTGGTTACCTGGTCTCCCTAAATGGTAGACGTGACTTGAGGATCTGAGCGACTTTACATAAAGTCATATGAAAAACTCCTCTGAGTTTGATTCTGCAACTCATTCTGCCTTCTGAGACAACTGGAGTGTCTAACTTCAGGGGCTTTCTTAAGTTCTCAGATACAAAGGGGCTTGCGCTTCCTGGATTCCCCAGCTGCTTCCATTTTAGGAAGTCAGTTTTCACTCTTTCATCAGTTTTCTATCTTCTAAATCTGTGTTTTCATCACTTTTCTACTTTGATTTTCTGTCTTGTTCTCTTTGACTTTTTAGGCTTTTGCCTCTTTCAGGCTTTTCTTGTCATTTTAGTGAAAAGTTGGGAGGGATCAGTGACAAACCCAGATATTCCTTCACCCATTTTTAGCTGGAAATCCATAACAGCATTTCCAGGTGATTATTGTCCCATTTCACAGATAAGGCAACTGAGGTAAAGAGAATATTTAGCATACTTAAGGTCATAAATTGAGTGAATGAGCCTGTGAATTTGGTGCTCTTTCCCGGGGAGTAGCTGACTCTTGCCTTAATCCTGGGCTCTATCCAGCTAAGCAGTCATTATTCTCCTTAGATCTAACCAACAAGCTCCAGCCCTAGATTTATGAGTCTGCTCTGAACGCTAAAGTCTGAAGAAAGATATATGTGATTTCCAAAGTTTCATGCTCATCCCTTAAATAGATCTTTAATTTATTGCCTTGAAATCCAAATAAATAAAATATTGTATATGAATGATGTAATGGCTTCGGGCCAGAGCTCCCTGTGATCCTGCGACAAATTTTGGATTGGTGTTGCCATAAAACGTCCCTGCCCACACCTCAAAACCACACATAAGCCGTCATTAATCTCTCCGCTTACGAGTTGTGTTGCTATCTCAGATTGATTCAAAAATATTTGGGTGTGGGTGCATACAAAGAGTTCACAACATTGTTATATGAACTGTAGTAGATGTTTAAAAGTTAAGTAAAAGAAAAAAATGAGTTAATGCTGAATATCAGAGTCCAGGGAGATCATACTGATTCCTTTGTTTACATTTAGACATTCTGCGATCAATCTTTACTTTTTACCTTACTTTTTTCTCCTAAACATTTTATTATAATTTTTTTCAAAAATATGGCAAAGTTGAGAGCATTTTACAGTGAGCAATCATCTCTTCCACCTACTTTCTACCATAAATATTTTACTATACTCATTTTTAAAATCACGCATCTATATATCCCTCTGTCCATCCATCAATTCATTTGTAACACATTTCAAAGTAAATCTCAGATACCTGTACACTTTCCCTAACTACTTCAGTGTGCACATTATTAACTAGAGTTGATTATTTATTTACAATATTTTTCTTTCATGTCAAGATTTATACATAACAAAATGCAAAAATCCAGTTTCCATTCATTGAGATTTTACAAAAGCATTTATTTCTTGGTCTTTCATTTTCTCTTGTAGTCTATGCATTTATTTAATTCAATAGATGTTATTAAACACATCCCATGTGCCAAACATTTATAATGACACACATTAATATGATGTATGCTAGACAGAGGAGACAGTGGCTAATTCTCATGTTGGAAGTCAGGGAGTTAAGCAACAGAGAGAGAGAGAGATGTTACAAAAAGCATTTATCACTGAATTAACCCATGAACAAAATTGAAAAGAATGAGAAAATATGGTGTGTTTAGGGCAAAATGCATTGTCTTTTGTAGCCTGAGCCTAATGAGAGTATGCATGTGTAGGAGGGTGGTGAGTAAGAGACGTAATTATTTTAAAAATTCAAAATTCAAAACAACATGTATTAAAAAGTTGGCAATAAATGAAGTGCTTCATACTATAGCACTGAACTTATGAGAAAGCCTGCTCTTCTTCAGCTGTTCCTTCTTGAACCAAAATGACAAACTGACAACTCAGATTTTAGCCTGTTTTATTTCATTGATAAACTGCTAAAATTTAGATTTAATGCATGTTTGATTTCTGACTTTTGAAATTTGTTTGAAATGTTTGAAAATTGACTACACATTTGCTCCCAAATGTCTTAATATAAATGTTTGGAGGAAACAACCAAGTGAGTATTCTAAAGTGTGAAAAGATCACTATGAAAAATGCTTCATTATTTAAATCAAACTATAAATGAGTTTGCCACAAACTGGAAAATAAGGAGAAATATTAAGACTCAAAATAAAGCCTTAAAATAGTAAAAAAAAAAAAAATGAAAAAAAGAAAACTTTTTCTTAAATTTGTGGATTTATGACTATGAACATGACATGGTGCAAACCTTGTCATCATTCATTCATTGACCCAATATGCTCTGATGACAGATGCATAAGAGGGGCTGTGTGTGTGTGTTTCCCTAAAGAGGACACTATTTTTCTGACTCTCCAATTAACTCTCTGACTTCTCTGTACTACTCCTGGTTTAGGATCTCACGTCAGACAACATTCTCTACCTGCATCATTATTTTATCCATCTATCCTGAGTGATTTGCACTTCTGTGATAATGACTACTGTATTGTACTGCTATATAATATGTAAAAATTTAAAAAAAAATTGAGGGAGAAAATGAGCTTTGGTTATTTATTTATTTATTTAGAGACAGAGTCTCGCTCTATCACCCAGGCTGGAGTGCAATGGCACAATCTCGGCTCACTGCAACCTCCACCCCCCGGGTTCAGGCGATTCTCCTGCCTCAACCTCCCGAGTAGTTGGGATTACAGGCATGTGCCACCACACCGAGCTAATTTTGTATTTTTAGTAGAGACGGGG